>NC_000010.11:101809761-102112792 GCF_000001405.40 Homo sapiens | reverse complement strand
GTGACCACTTGCCCCTAGACTGAGGAACATAGGCTTCTTCCCAGACCACCTACTTCTCAATTGTAGGTAGAGTGGGATGCAAAGGAGGCTCATCTGCCTGCTTCCCCGACTCCCAAGTCTCAGAAGAGAAAAGGGGTTGAGGCTTTGGGTTTCTGGTTTGGAGACAATACTGTCTACCCTTGGGGGCGGGGGTGGGGGCTGGGCTGATAAGGGAGTGGCCGTTAGTGGGGAGGCAGAAGGCCCAACTGGTTATCTGGTAGGCCACACCCAACAGGCACCCACCCCCATTTATCTTTCCATCCCTTGCCCTCCTGAGACCCTGAGGGTGGAGGAAGGGCAGAGTTTGAAAATCCTCCCTTTTCCTCCCCCACTTTGGTCTCTAGAGGGCAATAGAGGGGTCAGATGGTAGAAAGAGTATAGGATGTGGGAATCAGAAGATCCAAGCTCAAGTCCTAGCTTTGACAGTTACTAGCTTTATGATCTTGGCAAGGTCCTTTGAGCCCTCAGTTGCCTCATCTGTAAAATGGGAATGTTATGGTCAGCCCTGCTACCTCATAAGGTTGTTTTGATGATTGAGTGAAAGTATGTAGATTAAAAGGGGGTTTATCAATATTAGATTCTAATGATTGGATATTTATTTATTCTGTAATCATTCTTCCCAGCTTCAATTCCTCTTCTGTCATCTAGGACTCAGCCAAATGAAGAAATGGGATCTTGGGTATGCGCTGGGATTAGGGTGGACTACTCTTGTTTCTTAATGAAATAAGATTGGAGCCAGAATTAGAAGGAGAGACAGGTGCTCCCTAGAGTAGCCCCCTCCCCTAGTCCACCACTCTCTTATAATCAGGCCAGGGAGCTCCATAAGACCGTCCCTATCCACACAGTCTAGCAGGATTATCGGACAGCTCCCAAGAGGGGGTCAGGGGACTCCTTTTTCTTTTTGAGACAGGGTCTCACTCTGTTGTCCAGGCTGGAGTGCAGTGGTATGATCTCCGCTCACTTCAGTGTTGACCTCCCAGGCTCAAGTGATCCTCCTGCCTCAGCCTCCCAAGTAGCTGGAACCACAGGCATGCACCACCACACCCGGCCAACTTTTCAATTATTTTTAGAGACGAGGTCTCGCTATGTTGCCTAGGCTGGTCCCTGCAGCCTCGACCTCCTGTGCTCAATCAATCTTCTTGCCTTGGACTCCCAAAGTGCTAGATTACAGATGTGAGCCACCGCGCCCAGCTATGACTCCTTTCTTTCTCGTCTAGGTTGTTCCTCAAAGTCATTCAAGCTGTACTCGCCGAAGGAGCCCCCGAACGGCAACGCCTTTCCCCCCTTCCATCCCGGCACCATGCTGGATAGGGATGTGGGGTAAGTGAGTCTCTTGGCCACTTCCTAACCCTTCTCCAGGTGGGATCCTGCCTGGAAAGGGGAGGGAGTAGCCCCCTGCCCCCAATAATTCCTATCTTCAACCCCCATTCTCATAGCCTCTTCCTTTACACAGCCCAACTCCCATGTATCCGCCTACATACCTGGAGCCAGGGATTGGGTAAGTGGAGTCCAGTGGGGAAGAAGGTGCTTTCCACTGGGTGAAGGCCGAGGTAGGGGGTGGAGGGGGCAGGCTCCGCTCCTACTGACCTCTCTCCTTCACTTCCTCCAGGAGGCACACACCATATGGCAACCAAACTGACTACAGAATATTTGAGCTTAACAAACGGCTTCAGAACTGGACAGAGGTATGGCCAAGGGAAAAGGGGCTGGGAGCAGGAGGGCCATCTGGGCACCCTATGGGATATCTTATGACACATGAACACCCGTTACCATGCTCCCTAGGAGTGTGACAATCTCTGGTGGGATGCATTCACGACTGAGTTCTTTGAGGATGATGCCATGTTGACCATCACTTTCTGCCTGGAGGATGGACCAAAGAGATATAGTAAGTGGCCTCTGGGGTCTTGCTATGAGGGTGTATACCTCCTATGTCGTTCTAAGGTCTAGAAGTGGGTCTGGGAGTGCCAGGGGATATCTAGATTGGTAGGGGAGGCATCTGCCTGGCCCCTTTTGCGGTCCCTTTGTCCTGAAGAGTTTGTCCCATCTCTACAGCCATTGGCCGGACCCTGATCCCACGCTACTTCCGCAGCATCTTTGAGGGGGGTGCTACGGAGCTGTACTATGTTCTTAAGCACCCCAAGGAGGCATTCCACAGCAACTTTGTGTCCCTCGACTGTGACCAGGGCAGCATGGTGACCCAGCATGGCAAGCCCATGTTCACCCAGGTCAGCAACCCAGCTGGATGTGGAACACCATGGCACCTGGGTTTGATTCCCATCCTCTCTCCCAGTGTATACTCACAGCTGTTCCCCAGGGAGGCATAATGTGAACTGGCAAAATAAGAAGGGCGGGTAGGCATGTTGCAACCGTCAGCAAACATGTATTGTGTTTGTATGGGATAGTTTTCTGGGCCCCAAGGCTACACGAGTGAACAAGAGTCTGCCCTCATATAGCTTAGAGCAGGTGGGTGTATCACTAGCCACATGGGGAGAGGACAAGGATCTGTTAAGCTTTTCTACTGTGTGTCTGTGTGTGTAAGGGCCAGGTATATGGGTGGGGGGTACTGTGACATTTATGCACCCAGATTTAATGTGCAGGTGACAAAAGTGTATGCAATGGGAGAGTTGTAAGCAAATGGGAGACTGTAATAGACATACCTTCAGGTATGGTATGTGGGGAGGGGGCAGGGTTCTGACAAGCCTGTCCCCAGGTGTGTGTGGAGGGCCGGTTGTACCTGGAGTTCATGTTTGACGACATGATGCGGATAAAGACGTGGCACTTCAGCATCCGGCAGCACCGAGAGCTCATCCCCCGCAGCATCCTTGCCATGCATGTGAGTCGTGGGCAGGACCCAGGATGCAAGAGTGAAGGCAGGCGGGGGAAGGGTGGAACAAGGTCTGCCATTTCCCGACTGACTACTTAGACAGAGGGTTAGGGTTTCTTCATCTGAACAGCAGGTTTAATAAGAGACTATCCTCTCTCAGGAGTGTCACAATGCTCAGATGATAGGGCAGGTGAGCAGAGGCAACCCAGGTGTCAGTGTTCTTTCTTGTCTTTTCTCCCACTCTAGGCCCAAGACCCCCAGATGTTGGATCAGCTCTCCAAAAACATCACTCGGTGTGGGCTGTCCAATTCCACTCTCAACTACCTCCGAGTGAGTCTCCGACCACCCAGTTTCTGCCCCAGTCCATTTAGTCTCGGCTCCATGTCTGTCCCCTGACAAGCCACCTCCTTGTCTACCCCTAGCTCTGTGTGATACTCGAGCCCATGCAAGAGCTCATGTCACGCCACAAGACCTACAGCCTCAGCCCCCGCGACTGCCTCAAGACCTGCCTTTTCCAGAAGTGGCAGCGCATGGTAGCACCCCCTGGTGAGTGCCTTGCACCTGCTCTTACCAGGATCTCACACCGCTCCCCAAAGCTGTATCTTTATTTCCTTTTGAAGTTTTCCCCACCCCTTCCTTGTTCCCGGGTCTACAAAATTGGGATCAGGGCAGGCTCATGCTCCTTGGGAGCCACAATGGAGAATAGGGGACCTGGGGCCCTCTCCCATCTGAGTCTCCGTTTACCGGCACAGCGGAGCCCACACGTCAGCAGCCCAGCAAACGGCGGAAACGGAAGATGTCAGGGGGCAGCACCATGAGCTCTGGTGGTGGCAACACCAACAACAGCAACAGCAAGAAGAAGAGCCCAGCTAGCACCTTCGCCCTCTCCAGCCAGGTACCTGTAAGCATCTCGGCTTTCTTCTCTCTTCTGGGCTGCCCCACCACTCACCCCTGACCCCTTTCCAAGCCTGAGCTCACTAGCAGGCGTAGAAGCAAAGACAGTTTTTCTCATGTACTCTGCCAGCATGGGCTAACTGCTTTTACTGGTGAGAGAGTTCTTGTCAGGCACTTGCATGGGTGTGATCACACAGACTCAGCCATAGGAAGCTAGGGCATAAAGGGACAGAGACACCCATGAGGACATACGGATATTCAGGACAGACAGCTTGGGGCTCACAGACCATCCAGCACACACACTCACACTGATAGACATGCAGACTGGAGTGTTTGCAGATCCAGAATACATACCCTTGCACATGCACACACTGCCCTCCCTCATGTTTTTGATATGCTCCCTTTCTTACATGTGGACAGAAGTTGAGGAGTCCCCTAAAATTTTGGGGAGATGGGCTAGGGAGCTAGGGGAGTAGAGTGACTTCTAGAATGTAATGGATATGGGCTAAAGGCTTTGATGCTCTGGTGTTCTTCAGTAGGAAGGATTCCAGGAGCTGAGGGTGTCAGGAGTTGGGGTTTTAAATTCGGGTATGAGGAGGGGGTGGGGACTCTTGAGCTTCCAGGGTGGGTACTGGGGCTCTGGGGGTATCTGCCGCCCTGGGCCGGGCGAGCCCTTGCCCCGATTATGTTTGGGGACCTCCGCCACTCTCAGGATGTGATGGTGGTGGGGGAGCCCACCCTGATGGGCGGGGAGTTCGGGGACGAGGACGAGAGGCTCATCACCCGGCTGGAGAACACCCAGTTTGACGCAGCCAACGGCATTGACGACGAGGACAGCTTTAACAACTCCCCTGCACTGGGCGCCAACAGCCCCTGGAACAGCAAGCCTCCGTCCAGCCAAGAAAGCAAATCGGAGAACCCCACGTCACAGGCCTCCCAGTAAAAGGCCCTGCTGTGGCCACCCAGTGCTCTGCCTACCTGCCCCACCCCTCACAGCCCCAGGGAGCAGAAGACAGAATGAAGAGACTGAGCATCTAAAATGGGCAGCCTCCATCCACCCGCTTCAGGGAGGAACTGGACTCTCTGGGGGCAGGTGCCAAGATTTGCCCCCCCAGTGGCCCTGGGCTGGGCCTGGCCTCTACAGAGCCTTTTAGGGGGAGGGGGTACTCATGTGGATGCCTACTTGGAACCTGGGCCTCTGAGACATGTCCTGACCACCCCCCAGGGCATTTGCCTCCATCTTCACCCCAGATTGTGGGTTTCCCATCCCCCTGACTTTACCCCTTTCAAGCCTGGGGTTGTCTATACCCACAGCCCTTAGGGACTTAAAGTTACGGGGCTTCGTTGAATGCTCCTTCCCCTAGGCAGCTGGTAATAGAGGGGTAAAGCTCTGGGCCCCTCCTCCCTGCTGCCACTTATCCCAGCTCCAAGTTTTTTTAAAAATAATATTATTAAAAATGTAAGTTAAAAAAAAAATCACTCATGTCCCCCCCTCTTCCCCCTATTAAAAGTCCAGCTACCTCCCTACTCTTGGCAGATGGGGGCCTAGGGCCTAGGTGGGGGTGAGAGTGGGGGAGGGAGGTGTGCATACCATTTTATATGGTGTGAGAGCTTCAGACCAAGGAGACATTTCACCATCTCTCCCCCTTTCCTCTGGGGTGACTGCAGTTGAGGAAAGCATGCCATGGGGTAGGGGGACATTGGTGGCCACATTTTGGTGACAGACCCCTGCTGTTGTCTCTGTGTCCCCATTCTCTGGACTCTGGCCTGCCCTCCTAGTGCTTGTGACTCCCTCTCTTCCAGCCCCACCCCCATGGTATGTATATTCCTTACAAGTCCTCCACAAGAGCAGCTGTCTAGGATGCGGGGAGGGGAGGCTCCTTCCCTTAGGGAGCGTGGAGAGAAGGGAGCAGCCTTGTTGCTGTATTTTTGGTTTTGTTTCAGTTGGGCAGGCATGGGATGGGAGAGGGGCTCAGCCACTTTCCTCCAGAATCTTCCCTCAGCCCCTCCAACTGCATATGTAATCCTACTCTGTCCTTCATAGAGGGGAAGGAGCCACAGATGACATCCCAGTTCTAAGCCCACCAGGGAGGAACAGGCCTCTGTCCCCATAGGTGAGGTAGAGGTAGAGGGTCTTCACCTGCCAGTATCCCCTGCCGCTCCTTCCTCACAGAAGGAAGGAGGAGGAGGCAGCCGGGATCCTCGGCTCTGCCAGGGTGCAGCCAGGAGCAGGGTTTCACGCAGCTGGTCCAGCTCTGTGGCTTTGCTGCCTTTTCCTGTGGCCAGTCCCAGGAAGTGCTAACACCACCTCTCTCCCCACTCTTCCCTCTGGATTCTGGGGTCCCCCACACCGTATTTCCTCCACTCCAGCTGCCACTTTTGGAAGGGTATTGAGTCAGGAGCTGAGGGAAGGGGTGAGGAAGGTGGACATCCCATCCCAACTGTAATGCCTTTTTTTTTTTTTTTTTTTTTTTTTTTTTTTTTTTTTTTTTTTGGGCCATTTGAGTCATGTATGGTACCAATCAATAAAGAGACTTTTCGGTTTGAGAGTGTCCTGGTTGGTCATTGATGCCTAATAATGACTCAGTCCAAGGCAATCTTTTCCCCATCCTTGCAGTTCCTAAGACTATGAATTGGATCCCTTCACTCACCTCACATTTCCCCTCACTCTTGAAGTTGTTTCCCTGAATTACACTTCTCCTTCACCCAAGACCCTAAAGTTTGTTCCCAGATGTCCCAGCTTGGCCCCATCTCCCTCAAAAGTTGAGGGAGAGTTGGCTTTCTCAGTCTGCTCCCCACCTCTCACCCCAGGACTGTTGCTTCTCACCCTTAGCTGTCATGGGGCAGCCAGACAGGTGGCCCTCCTGGGGCAGGTTCCTGGGATAGACTGCCTTGGGTTATGCCGTTGAGGGAGGGGTGGGAGAGGGGACTTGGCCCAGGAGGGGGCTTGGGTTAGATGGTCTTGGGGTACTTAGAGTACCTGGGAGACTCCTACCCCTACCCAGCCCCCAGTCTACTAGCCTGGCTGATGTTGGTTGGTTAGTTGGTTTATTTATTTTGAGATGGAGTCTTGCTCCATTACCCAGGCTGGAGGGCAGTGGCATGATCTGAGGTCACTGCAACCTCCACTTCCTGGGTTCAAGTGATTCTCCTGCCTCAGCCTTCCAAGTAGCTGGGATTACAGGTGCCCACCACTATGCCTGGCTAATTTTTGTATTTTTTTTTTTTTTTTTTTTAGTAGAGATAGGGTTTCACCATGTTGGCCAGGCTGGTTTCAAACTCTTGACCTCAGGTGATCCACCCGCCTTGGCCTCTCAAAGTACTAGGATTATAGGCGTGGTCCACTCTGCCCGGTCAGCAGCTGAGGTCTAAATTAGTCTCCCCTGGTGCTAAGGTCCCTGGGTGGGGGATTAAGAGAGTAGCAGGATTGCTACTCTCCAGACTGGGAAGATATGGAGACCCCGCTGTAGATTGGAGATGGGGTCTTAGTGCCCATAAAGCTCCCTATCCAGTGTCCCTCTTTGTCATCCCAGGCAGGGGAAGCTGAGGCCTCAAACTGTTCCCCTCCTAAGTTCTCCCTGGACCTGAAATAAAGCCCGATAGACTGGCACCTCTACCCTCACCTCCCTAGCTGGTAGGAAGACACCAGAGGAAGGGACTGTATGACCTGTCCAATCTCCAATCTACAGTTATCTTGGCCGTGCCCTGCTGCCAGCCCAGCTTCTCATAACCCAGTGCCTCAGGACCCCAAGGAATGCTATTGCACCCCACCCCCAACTCTTCCTTTGTAGATCTGGCCAGCCTGAAGGACATTTACCAGCCAACTGCCACCAGCAACTCACCCTGAGAGTGCCAGGTAACATCTACAGTGGGTCTGTGTCTGGCACTGAGTGTACATCTAGCCCATTAGCCTGAGTGTGTGTGTATGTATGTGCTGCTGAGCTAGGGAGGGCCTGGATCTGTTTATATGTGCAGGTAAGGGAGTATATACATGTGTTTGTATGTGGGCATGTATATGCATATGTTTATGTATGTGTCTGTTGGTTAATTAATTCATTCAAATATTATTCATTGAGCCCTCTTTAGGTACTAGGCCCATTCTAGGTGCTGGGGATATGATGTTGAACAAAGCAGAGAAGATGTGACTGCTGAGTGTGAGTGAAGGCTATAAATCCGTAAATGAGGGTGTGTTGTTAAATGTGTGGCTTAGCAGTGCGACTGTGTTGAGTTATGGGGCTGCTGGGACAGTGGTTGTGTGACTCGGTTGGGTATTTGTAGGTTCACGTCTTGTATGTATATGTTTGTGTATGGAGGGAGATAGTCAAGGGAAAAGGTAGATTGCCAGGCCTGGACCCCATCCTACTTGGGGGCAGGGGGTAGGTCAGAGAAGCAGGAAAACACACTATTGAACTCAGGAAACACAGTGGCCAGCAACTTCCTCTGGAGCCCCATATCTGGCTCCTCCCCATTTGCCCCCAGGAACCCCTGGTGAAGAGGAATTACTGGGGTGAGGGAAGAGAGAGACCCTCCAAAACCCTCATGCCCTTTGTTTTCAGGTACATATGTGGGCCCAGTCCCAAGCCTTAGCACATTGCTGAAGAGCTTTGTGCTGCTGAGCTAGGGAGGGCCTGGATCTGTTTATATGTGCAGGTAAGGCAGTGTATACGTGTGTTTGTATGTAGGCATGTATACGCATATGTTTACGTATGTGTCTGTTGGTGAATTAATTCATTCGGATAGTCTGACCATGTACCCCAGCCAGGGCTTCTGGATCCACAGAGGTCTGAACCCAACCCCAAACCTCTGTCCCTCCTGGACTCCCAGCTCCTTCCTCATTTTTCCTGACCCGGTCTGATCTGATTCAGCCAGAGAGCTCCATCCCCTTTCCTAGGAACCTACTGTAGTCTGGTGCAACTTCCAACCCCTCTTTTATACCCTTAGCCCAGTCCAGCCTGACTTCTTTTTTTTTTTTTTAAGATAGAGTCTTGCTGTGTCGCCCAGGCTGGAGTGTAGTGGCATGATGTCGTCTCACTGCAACCTCTGCCTCCTAGTTCAAATGATTCTCATGCGTCCCAAGTAGCTGGGACTACAGGCACATGACACCATACCTGGCTAATTTTTTTATTTTTTATTTTTAGTAGCGACGTGGTTTTACCATATCAGGAGTTCAAGACTAGCCTGGGCAATATAGTGAGACCTCATCTCTACTTTTTCTTTTTTAAGAGATGGAATCTTGTTCTGTCGACGAGGCTGGAGTGCAGTGGCATGATCTCGGCTCACTGCAACCTCCGCCTCCTGGGTTCAAGTGATTCTCCTGCCTCAGTCTCCCTAGTAGCTGAGACTACAGGTGCGCACCACCATGCCCAGCTAGTTTTTGTAATTTTAGTAGAGATGGGTTTTCACCATGTCAGCCAGGCTGGTCTTGAACCCTTGACCTTAAGTGATCTGCCTGCCTTGGCTTCCCAAAATGCTGAGATTACAGACCTGAGTCACTCCACCCAACCGAGACCTCATCTCTAAAATAAATAAATAAGCTGAGTGTGGTGGTGCATCTATAGTCCCAGCTACTTGGGAGGCTGAGGTGGGAGAATTACTTGGGCCTGGGAAGTTGAGACAACAGTGAGTTGTGATTGCACCACTGCACTCCAGCCCAAGTGACAGAGCAAGACTCTCTGTCTCAAACAACAACAACAACAACAACAACAAAACAGGTGCAGTGGTTCAGAACGCCTGTACTCCCAACAATTTTGGAGGCCGAGGCAGGTTGATCACCTGAGGTCAGGAGTTCGAGACCAGTCTGGCCAACATGGTGAAACCCCATCTCTACCAAAGATACAAAAATTAGCTGGGCATGATCATGCACCTGAAGTCCCAGCTACTCGGGAGGCCGAGGCATGAGAATCACTTGAACCTGGGAGGCAGAGGTTGCAGTGAGCTAAGATTGTGCCACTGCACTCCAGCCTGAACAACAAAGTAACACTTTGTCTCAAATATATATATATTGAGTCAGCAGCTCCCTAGTTTCATGATGGACTTCGAAGCCACTGGTTTAAGCTGGGCATAGTGGGACTGTGCCCATATAGTTCTGTGCCTATAGTCCCAGCTACTTGGCAGGTGGCAGGCTGAAGCAAGAGGATTGTTTGAGGCCAGGAGCTTGAGGCCACAGTGTGCTATGATAGCACCAAGGAATCGCCACTGCACTTCAGCCTGGGCAACATAGCAAGACCTTGGTCCCAGCTCCCTAGTACCCAGAATGTTTATAACGACTATGACTGTCATTCATGTGGCCACAGCCCCATTCACTCAGGGCCCAGCTCTGGGGCTCCTCCTAACCCCCACCCTAAGGTCATAGATGAAATGGATGGGAGACTACATACTCAAAAGTTCTAAGCTGGGGAGTGTGGGAAGCTGAATGGGAATGGAAGCTGACTCACACTTCCAGATTCCTTCTTCAGCCTCAGGAGAGGCTCATTTTCCCACTGATTTCAGGACCCATTTCCAGAGGAAGCCAAACCCTGGATTACTTCCCTCCTTGCTGCTCCACCTCTATTCCACCAGCTCACCTCTACAAGAGGAGGACCTAGGGCCAGTCCCTGGAGAAAAGTCCCAAAGGAGCTTGGGGGAGAAAAATCTTCTCCCCATCACCCCCAACAACTGAGGCTGCCTGGAGGATGAGGTAGGCTAATTTCTCTCCCTTTCCTTTAACGGATTTCAGATGCACAGAACTAGATTAATCATAACCTTGGTTCATGACACACTCTCATCATTGTTCCATGCACAGCACACATTTACTTATAAGGCTATCATATGGGGCCAGGTGCGGTGGCTTACGCCTGTAATCCCAACATTTTGGGAAGCCAAGGCAGGTGAATCACCTGAGGTCAGGAGTTCAAGACCCACCTGGCCAACATGGTGAAACCCTGTCTCTATGAAAAATACAAAAAAAAATTAGCTGGGCATGGTGGTGCATGCCTGTTAATTCCAGTTACTTGCGAGGCTGAGGCAGGAGAATCACTTGAGTCCGGGAGGTGGAGGTTACTGTGAGCGGAGATTGCACCATTGCACTCCAGCCTGGGCGACAGAGCGAGACTCCATTTCAAAAAAAGACTATAAGAAATAATCAACATGGGCCGGGCACGGTGGCTCATGCCTGTAATCCCAGCACTTTGGGAGACCAAGGCGGGCGGATCACAAGGTCAGGAGCTTGAGACCATCCTGGCTGACACGGTGAAACCCCATCTCTACTAAAAATACAAAAAATTAGCCGGGTATGGTGGCGGGTGCCTGTAGTCCCAGCTACTCGGGAGGCTGAGGCAGGAGAATGGCGTGAATCCGGGAGGCGGTGCTTGCAGTGAGCCAAGATCGCGCCACTGCACTCCAGCCTAGGCGACAGAGCAAGACTCCGTCTCAAAAAAAAAAAAAAAAAAGAAATAATCAGCATGAAAGCTAGGACCTTGGGAATAACTTGGCAATAAATCTAGCTATGTGTTCCATCTCTCAAGATATCCATCATTCTCTTGTTTTCCTTATATACACACACATATATATTTTATAAGACAGAGTTTCACTATGTTGCTCAGAATGTAGTGCTGTAGCTATTCACAGACCCGATCATAGTGCACTGCAACCTCAAACTCCTAGACTTAAGCAATCGTCCTGCTTCAGCCTCCCAAGTAGCTGGGACTACATGCATAGCTGGGACTGTAGGTGGCACCACTACACCTGGCTCCTTTTCCATACTTACCAGCTGTATGTATTCCTGAAAATTTATAAGAATTTTTAGCTGGGAGCGGTGGCTCACACCTGTAATCCCAGCACTTTGGAAGGTCGAGGCGGGTGGATCACCTGAGGTCAGGAGTTCAAGACCAGCTTGACCAACATGGTGAAACCCTGTCTCTACTAAAAATACAAAAATTGGCCGGGTGTGGTGGCTCACGCCTATAATCCCAGCACTTTGGGAGGCCGAGGCGGGCGGATCACAAGGTCAGGAGATTGAGACCATCCTGGCTAATGCGATGAAACCGCGTCTCCACTAAAAATACAAAAAATTAGCCGGGTGTGGTGGTGGGTGCCTGTAGTCCCAGCTACTTGGGAGGCTGAGGCAGGAGAATGGCAGGTGAACCCAGGAGGTGGAGCTTGCAGTGAGCCGAGATGGCACCACTGCACTCCAGCGTGGGCGACAGAGCGAGACTCCGTCTCAAAATAAAAAAAATAAAACTACAAAAATTAGCTGGGCATGGTGGCAGGCACATGTAATCCCAGCTACTTGGGATTACTCCATCTCAGAAAAAAAAAATTTTTTTTAAGTTTAGTTATTTTTTACATTATTATAAGGGAGTATTGCTGTATGTAATTTTTGGTGGCTTATTATATTGTATTAACAAGATTTATATTGTTACATATTGCTTACAGTTTACTCATTTTGGGAACTCTATAATATTCCATTTTGTGACTCTACCCAGTTATTCATTCTCCTGTCACTGGACATTTGGGTTGTTTCCAGGTTTTGGCTATTGTGAAGAGTATTTCCATAATTTTACTTCCATCTCCTACTGTAAATGTGCAGTTTTTCCTGGTTATATGTTTAGTAGTAGTCTCTGCAAACTCATGTTCCCACCTCTGAAGCCTAAGCTTGAGTGCTTTTACTATGGAAGTTCTACGGTTAACTCAAATTAAAATTTTAACATTTATTGAGTCCCTGCTATATAAACTCTACTCGGCTCGTTCATCCATTCGGTCAACCAAGCTAAATTTAGTGAGCATCTACAAAATGCCTGGAGCTGGAGACAGAACAGTGAATAAGACAATATGGCATATTACACAACTGGGTGGAGAAATAGATATTACAACAAATGGGGGCAGGCACGGTGGCTCACGTCTGTTATCCCAGCACTTTGGGAGGCCAAGGTGGGTGGATCACTTGAGGTCAGGAGTTCGAGACCAGCCTGGCTAATATGGTGAAACACTATCTCTATGAAAAATAAAAAATTAGCCGGATGTGGTGGCACACACCTAATCCCAGCTACTCTGGAGGTTGAGGCATGAGAATCACTTGAACCTGGGAGGCAGAGTTTGCAGTGAGCAGTGATCACGCCACTGCACTTCAGCCTGGGCAACAGAGCAAGACTCCGTCTCAAAAATAAAAAAATAAAATAAACAAATGGCCACATACATACACATACGCAGTGACAATTTTTTTTTTTTTTTTTTGAGACAGGCTCTCACTCTGTTGCCCAGGCTGTAGTGCAGTAATGCGATCATGGTTCGTGGCAGACTTAACCTCCCGGGCTCAATCAATTCTCCTATCTCAGCCTCCAGAGTAGCTGGGACCACAGGCATGCACCACCATGCCTGGCTAATATTTGTATGCTTTTACAGAGACAGGGTTTTGCCATGTTGCCCAGGTTGGTCTCAAACTCCTGGGCTCAAGCCATCCTCCATCCTCCCTCCTCGGCTTCTCAAAGTGCTGGGATTACAGGGGAGAGCCACTGTACCCAGCTGACAATTTATGATATAACCAAATAGTGTAGGATAAACATATAACAGGGAGACCTTATTTAATCTGGTGTGTTAAGGAAAGCCTCTCTGAGGGAATATTTCAGCGGAGACTTGAAGGATGAGGAAGACTTAGTCAAGTAAAGAGTATGGGGAATAGGATTTCAGGTATAGGAAACACACTCTGATGCTGGGGAGTGTTTGCTGGGTTAAATTAGAAGAAGGCCAGCTGCAGTGGCTCACACCTGTAATCCCAGAACTTTGGGAGACTGAGGTGGGTGGATCACTTGGGGTCAGGAGTTCAAGACCAGCCTGGTCAACATGGTGAAACCCTGTCTCTACTAAAAATACCAAAAAAAAATTAGCCAGGTGTGGTGTGCATGCCTGTAGTCCCAGCTGCTCAGGAGGCTGAGGCACAAGAATTGCTCGAACCTGGGAGGCAGAGGTTGCAGTGAGCGAGGATCATGCCACTACACTCCAGCCTGGGCGACTAAGTGGGACTCCATCTCAAAAAAAAAAAAAGAGCCTGGGCGAGGTGGCTCATGCCTGTAATCCCAGCACTTTGGGAGGCCGAGGCGGGCAGATCACCTGAGGTCAGGAGTTCAAGACCAGCCTAGCCAACATGGTGAAACCCCATCTCTACTAAAAAATACAAAAATTAGCTGTGCGTGGTGGCAGCCGCCTGTAGTCCCAGCTACTCGGGAGGCTGAGGCAGGAGAATCGCTTGAACCCAGGAGGTGGAAGTTGCAGTGAGCTGAGATCATGCCACTGCATGGTGAAAGAGCGAGACTCCATCTCAAAGAAAAAAAAAAAAAGGCAGGGCACAGTGGCTCATGCCTGTAATCCCAACACTTTGGGAGGCCGAGGCGGGCGAATCACGAGCTCAGGAGATCAAGACCATCCTGGCTAACACAGTGAAACCCCGTCTCTACTAAAAATACAAAAAATTAGCTGGGCATGGTGGCGGGCGCCTGTAGTCCCAGCTACTCTGGAGGCTGAGGCAGGAGAATGGCGTGAACCTGGGAGGCGGAGCTTGCAGTGAGCCAACATTATGCCACTGCACTCCAGTCTGGGCGACAGAGTGAGACTCCGTCTCAAAAAAAAAAAAAAAAAGATTAGAAGAAAACCAGTGGGTTCTGAACAAGGGCAAATGGTAGCAGGAGGGAGAAGCTGGAGCCAGACTGGACAAGGCTGCTGTGTTGATGATTATTATAATGATAGCGTTTAACATTCATTCTGCACCAGCTACTGTGAGAAACCCTTTAAGTCAATTTTCTCATTAAAAACTGACCAGCCAAGCGAGGTGGCTCACGCCTGTAATCCCAGCACTTTGGGAGGCCAAGGCGGGCAGATCACAAGGTCAGGAGTTCGAGACCAGTTTGGCCAACATGGTGAAACCCTGTCTCTACTAAAAAAATACAAAAATTAGCTGGGCATGGTGGCATGTGCCTCGGGAGGCTGAGGCAGGAGAATTGCTTGAAAGTGGGAGGTGGAGGTTGCAGTGAGCCGAGATCGCACCACTGCACTCCAGCCTGGGCAACACAGCAAGACTCTATCTCAAAACAAACAAACAAACAAAAAAAACTGACCACATTGGGCCAGGCGCGGTGGCGCACGCCTGTAATCCCAGCACTTTGGGAGGCTGAGGCAGGCAGATCACCAGGTCAGGAGTTCAAGACCAGCCTGGCCAACATAGTGAAACCCTGTCTCTACTAAAAATACAAAAATTAGCCGGGCGTGGTGGCGGGCGCCTGTAGTCCCAGCTACTTGGGAGGCTGAGGCAGGAGAATCGCTTGAACCCGGGAGGCAGAGGTTGCAGTGAGCGGAGATCGTGCCACTGCACTCCAGCCTGGGCGACACAGCAAGACTCTGTCTCAAAACAACAACAACAACAAACAAAAAAAAACCTGACCATACTGTATGATGTAGGTACTGGGGGAATTGGTTCCAGAATGGATATCAAAACCCACGGATGCTTAAGTCCCTTATATAAGATGGTATAGTCTTTGCATATGACCTATGCATATTCTCCCATATACTTTAAATCATCTCAAGATTACTTATAATACTTAATACAATGTAAATGCTATATAAATAATTGTTATATTGTGTTGTTTAGAGAATAATGACAAGGAAAAATCTCTGTACATGTTCAGTGCAGATGCAACCATCCTTTTAGGGGGAATTTTTTTTTCTTATCTTTTTCTATAATGATGTTGACATCATATTTTTGGAATATTTTCCATCCGTGGTCAGTTGAATCCACAAATGCAGAACCTGAACATATATATGGAGGACCAATTAGCTCCCATTTTATTTATCTTTATTTTTATTTATTTTTTATTATTTTATTTATTTATTTATTTATTTTGATTCAGAGTCTCACTCTGTCGCCCAGGCTGGGCTGCAGTGGCGCGATCTTGGCTCACTGCAAGCTCCACCTCCCAGGTTCACGCCATTCTCCTGCCTCAGCCTCCCGAGTAGCTGGGACTACAAGCGCCCACCACCACACCTGGCTAATTTTTCTTTGTATTTTTAGTAGAGACGGGGTTTCACCGTGTTAGCCAGGATGGTCTCAATCTCCTGACCTCATGATCCGCCTGCCTCGGCCTCCCAAAGTGCTGGGATTACAGGCGTGAGCCACCGCACCTGGCCGCTAGCCTGGCCTATTTTTTATTTTTATTTATATATTTTGTGAGACAGGGTCTCACTGTCACCCAGGCTGGAGTGCAATGATGCTATCATATCTCATCTCAGCCATGAACTCCTGGGTTCAAAGGATTCTCACGCCTCAGCCGTTCAAATAGCTAGGACTAAAGGCATGCACTACTACGCCCAGCTGTCTCCCATTTTATTTACCTAGGAGGAAACTAAGGAACAGAGAGGTCAAGCAGCTTGCCCAAGGTCACAGAGCCAGCAAGGATTTTGAATTTCATCCAAATGTAATGGGTTGTCACCAAAGGATCTAATGCAGGTCATGTTTAAGAGCTGGTCCCTGCCTTCCAGAAAAGAGAGAAAGGGCCGGGTGTGGTGGCTCACACCTGTACTCCCAGCACTTTCGGAGGCCGAGGCGGGTGGATCACCTGAGGTCAGGAGTTCAAGACCAGCCTGGCCAATGAAGTTTAGACTTAATTTTATAGAGAGTGGAAAACCACCAAAAGTTTTTCAACAGAGAAGTGACCTACTCAGATCTGTTATTTTTTAAATTTTTTTATTTTTTTTAAATAAGGTTAGTTTGATGTGGTGTGTAGAACTGGAGAGGGGAAACTAATTAGGAGGCTATGAGGTCCATGCTGCTAGTAATGTAGAAAACCCAAACCAAACCACACAAAAAGATCCTAACTTATAAAATAAAACAAATACAAGATTAAAGAATTAGTCCGGGTGTGGTGGCTCACGCCTGTAATCCCAGCACTTTGGGAGGCCGAGGTGGGTGGATCACCTGAGGTCAGCAGTTCAAAACCTGAGGTCAGGAGTTCAAGCCTGGCCAACATGGTGAAACCCTGTCTCTACTAAAAATACAAAAAAAAACTAGCCAGGTGTGGTAGCAGGTACCTGTAATCCCAGCTACGGGAGGCTGAGGCAGGAGAATTGCTTGACCTGGGAGGCTGAGGTTGTAGTAAGCTGAGATAGTGCCACTGCACTCCAGCCTGGGTGACAGAGAAGACTCCATCAAAAAAGAAAAAAAAAAAAAAAGAAAAACAAGATTAAAGAATTAAATGTAAGTAAATAAAGTTAGAAGAAAATGAGATTAAATAGTATTCATCAGCCTTGTAGGAATATGTGTGTGGGTGATAAACTTGCAAGCTTAAATACTATAGAAGAAATCAAAAAGGAAGAGAGTAAATTTTATCCCAATTAAAAAAAAAAAAAGGAAAGAATGACCAGTTTGACTACATACAAATTTACAACTTTGGTGTATATATGTATAAGTAAAAACGAAACCAAACCTCTAAAGAGAACAAACAAGAAAGCAATATGCTGAGAAATATATTTGCAGCAAATATGATAAAGAGTTAAAATGTTTTTGTATAAGTAGGGTGCAGTGTGGGACACCTGTAGTCCAAGCTACTGGGGAGGGTGAGGCAGGAGGATCCCTTTATAAAGCTTCGGAGTTTGAGGCCGGGCGCAGTGGCTCACACCTGTAATCCCAGCACTTTGGGAGGACGAGGCGGGCGGATCACAAGGTCAGAAGATCGAGACTATCCTAGCTAACACGGTGAAACCCCTTCTCTACTAAAAAATATAAAAAATTAGCCGGGCACGGTGGCGGGCGCCTGTAGTCCCAGCTACTCAGGAGGCTGAGGCAGGAGAATGGCATGAACCTGGGAGGCGGAGCTTGCAGTGAGCCAAGATTGCGCCACTGCACTCCAGCCTGGGTGAGAGCGAGACTCTATCTCAAAAAAAGAAAAAGAAAAAAAAGCTTCGGAGTTTGAGCCCAGCCTGGGCAGCATAGCAAGACTCTGATCCTAAAAATAAATAAATAAATAATTTTTGTATAATTAATTTATGCAAAATAGGTTTTGTTTTGTTTTTTAAAAGGCCCCTCAATAAATAAATGGGAGCCAGGCATGGTGGGTCATGCCTGTCGTCCCAGCCTTTTGAGGGGCTGAGGCAGGCGGATCACGTGAGGTCAGGAGTTCAAGACCAACCTGGCCAATATGATGAAACCCCGTCTCTAGTAAAAATAGAAAAAAATAGCTGGGCATGGTGGTACACACCTGTAATCCCAGCTACTCGGGAGGCTGAGGCAGGAGAATCGCTTGAACCCAGGAGGCAGAGGTTGCGGTGAGCTGAGATCACGTTACTGCACTCCAGCCTGGGCAACAGAGCGAGACTCCATCTCAACAATAACAACAAAAAATACAAAAATTAGCCGGACATGGTGGCAGGCGCTTGTAATCCCAGCTACTTGGGGGCTGAGACTGGAGATCGCTTGAACCCGGGACAGAGGTTGCAGTGAGCTGAGATTGTGCCACTGCACTTCAGCCTGAGCAACGGTGTGAGAATCTGTCTCAAAAACAAAACAAATAAAAATAAAAATGACAGCTGGGCGCAGTGGCTCACCCCTGTAATCCCAGCACTTTGGGAGGCTGAGGTGGGTGGATTACCTGAGGTCAGGAGTTCGAGACCAGCCTGGACAACATGGTGAAACCCCACCTCTACTAAAAATATAAAAACTAGCCGGGCATGGCCGGGCGTGGTGGCTCATGCCTGTAATCCCAGCACTTTGGGAGGCTGAGACGGGCAGATCACGAGGTCAGCAGATCGAGACCATCCTGGCTAACACAGTGAAACCCCGTCTCTACTAAAAATACAAAAAATTAGCCGGGCGTGGTGGTGGGCGCCTGTAGTCCCAGCTACTCGGGAGGCTGACACAGGAGAATGGCGTGAACTGGGGAGGCGGAGCTTGCAGTGAGCCGAGATGGCGCCACTGCACTCCAGCCTGGATAGAGCGAGACTCTGTCTCAAAAAAAGCACTAGCTGGGCATGGTGGTAGGTGCCTGTAATCCCAGCCACTCGGGAGGCTGAGGCACGAGAATTGCTTGAACCCAGGAGATGGAGGTTATAGTGAGCTGACACGGTGCCACTGCACTCCAGCCTCAGTGACAGAGTGAGACTCCATCTCAAAAAAGTAAAATGAAAATGACAATTCAGCTGGGCCAGGCAGCTCACGCCTGTAATCCCAGTACTTTGGGGAGTCTGAGGTGGTAGGATCACTTGAGTCCAGGAGCTGGGGGCCAGCCTGGGCAACATAATAAGACCCTGTCTCTACAAAAAAATACAACTATTAGACAAGCATGTAGTAATCAGCTACTCTAGAGGCTGAGGTGGGAGGATGCCTTGAGCCCAGGAGGTCAAGGTTGCAGTGAGCCAAGATCAGGCAAATGCACTCCAGCCTGGGCAACAGAGTGAGACCTTGTCAATAAATAAATAGATAAATAAAGTATACAATTCAGCAGCTTTTAGCGTATTCATAATGTTGTGCAACCATCACCACAATTGATTTTAAAACATTTTCATCACTTCCGAAAGAACACCTGTATCCGTTGGCAGTCATTCCACATTTTCCCCACTCTCTCAGCCCTAGGTAATCGTTAATCTATGTCTATAAGACATTTCATATACATGGAATCATACAATATATGACCTTTTGTGACTGGCCTCTATCTCTTAGCATGAGGTTTTCAAGACTCATCCATTTTGTAGCAAGTACCAGTATTTCTTTTCTTTTTTCTTTTTTTTTTTTTTTTTAAGGGGCAAGGTCTCACTATGTTGCCTAGGCTGGACTCAAACTCCTGGCACATGTCACTGCACCTGGCTTAATTTTTTTATTGCTCAATAATATTACATTATATGGATATACTACATTTTAGTTATCCTTTCTTTTTTTTTTTTTTTTTTTTTTTTTTTTTTTTTTTGAGACAGAGTCTTGCTGTCGCCCAGGCTGGAGTGCAGTGGCGCGATCTCGGCTCACTGCAAGCTCCGCCTCCCGGGTTCACGCCATTCTCTTGCCTCAGCCTCCCTAGTAGCTGGGACTACAGGCATCCACCACCACGGCCGGCTAATTTTTTGTATTTTTAGTAGAGACGGGGTTTCACTGTGTTTGCCAGGATGGTCTCGATCTCCTGACCTCGTGATCTGCCCGTCTCAGCCTCCCAAAGTGCTGGGATTACAGGCGTCAGCCACCGTGCCCGGCCCTATAGTTATCCTTTCATCAATTGATGGACATTTGTGTTACTTCCACTTTTTTGCTGTTATGAAATAGGCTGCTAGGTCAGGTGCAGTGGCTAGTGCCTGTAATGCCAGCACTTTGGAAGGCTGAGACAGGCAGATTACTTGAGACCAAGGAGATGGAGGTTGCGGTGAGCCGAGATCACACCATTGCACTCAAGCCTGGGCAACAAGAGTGAAACTCCATCTCAAAAAAAAAAAAAAAATCATACAAAGTGGCTTCAATTCTGTTAAAACTTGTGTGATAGGAAAAGGTGGATGGGTGGTAATAAGAAGATTGGTGGTAACAAGAAGATTGGGCTCTAGGCCGGGCGCGGTGGCTCACACCTGTAATCCCAGCACTTTCGGAGGCCAAGGTGGGCGGATCATGAGGTCAAGAGATCGAGACCATCCTGGCCAACATGGTGAAACCCCGTCTCTACTAAAAACACAAAAATTAGCTGGACGTGGTGGTGCCTGCCTATAGTCCCAGCTACTCCGGAGGCTGAGGCAGGGGAATCGCTTGAACCCGGGAGGCGGAGGTTGCAGTGAACTGAGATGGCGCCACTGTACTCCAGCCTGGCAACAGAGCGAGACTCCATCTCAAAAAAAAAGAGGATTGGGCTCTAGTTGGATTTTTGCCTATTTGTCAAGCTTCCTTTAATGCACTCATGCTACCTTTTTAAATATCATATTTGTCTGGGTGAGGTGGCTCACGCCTGTAATCCCAGAATTTGGAAGGTGGAGGTGGGCAGATCACTTGAGGCTGGGAGTTGGAGACCAGCCTGGCCAACATGGTGAAACCCCATCCCTACTAAAAAAAAAATTAAATTAGCCTGGTGTGGTGGCACGCACCTGTAATCCCAGCTATTCAGGAGGCTGAGGCAAGAGAATGGCTTGAACCCAGGAGGTGGAGGTTGCAGTGAGCTGAGATTGTACCACTGCACTCCAGCCTGGGCGACAGAGTGAGACTCCATCTCAATAAATAAATAAATACAATAAATATCATTTTTCCTTTTACTTTTTTTTTTCTTCGTCAGGGTCTTTTTCTGTCACCCAGGCTGGAGTGTAGTGGCACGATCACAGTTCACTGCAGCCTTGACCTCCCAGGCTCAATCAGTCCTCCAGCCTCGGCCTCCCTAGCAGCTGGAACTACAGGTGTAAGCCACCACACTTGGCTAATATATGTAAAATAGAGATGGGATCTCATTATGTTGCCCAAGCTGGCCTTGAACTCCTGGGCTGAAGCGATCCTCCTGCCTTGGCCTCCCAAAGTGCTGGGATTACAGGCATGAGCCACCGCTCCTGGCCCAGGCCATCTTTATAGTAACAAATAATAACCATAAAAGACCAAGAATCCTGATCGGGCCGGGCGCGGTGGCTCATGCCTGTAATCCCAGCACTTTAAGAGGCTGAGGTGCGTGGATCACTTGAGGTCAGGAGTTCGAGAACAGCCTGGCCAACAAGGTGAAACCTCGCCTCTACTAAAAATACAAAAATTAGCTGGGTGTGGTGGCATGAACCTGTAATCCCAGCTACTCAGAAGGCTGAGGTAGGAGAATCACTTGAACCTAGGAGGCAGAGGTTGCAGTGAGCCGAGATAGGGCCACTGCACTCCTGCCTGGCGACAGAGCAAGACTCCAACTCCATCTCAAAAAAAAAAGAATCCTGATAGGAAGTAAAAAAAGACCTGAATTAGGGCATTTGTGTTGGGCCTGGGGAAGAAAAGAGAGGAATGGATACAATTCTATTCCTTACTGAGTCATAGGTGGTGAGTGGTGGGAAGGATGGATGGCAATGCTGATGTTTGAAGGAACTGGAAGGATGCCAGTGCCATGAACTCAAATGGGGATCCCCAGAGGAATCACAGCACTGTGGTTCAGAGGACAGGCTCCTGCAATAGACACCCCTATTTTGAATCCTTGCCCAACCGGGATTATAGACGGCTAACCCTGAGCAAGTTATTTAACCTCTTTGACCTTACTTCCTTCTGTCTAAAGTGGAGATAATAATAGCATTTGTTTTAGAGGGTTGTTAGGAGGATGAACTGATATAGAGAATTTAGAAAGTGTCTGGCACAGAATAAACTTTCGATAAAAATTAGGTATTGTGATACGCCCAGCAGCCCTGGGAGATCTGGGGCTAGGACTTCTCTGTCCCCAGCCACCTATCAGACAAAAAATAGTTCCTCTACCTTTCCTGGGTCAGCCAGTTCACTGCCAGGAGGTGGCCCCAGGGGATGCTCTAAAACCCACAGGAGTGAGAATAGTTGGAAGCCTGAAGTGGGACAGGTGGGAGGACTGGAGGCAGGAAGAATCAGGAATGGGATGGAGTTATGATTTAGGAAATTGCAAGTTAGGTAGGCCAGGCTAGCAGTAAAGCAGAGATGCCCTGAAGCACCCCATTGAAGCCCTCCTATTCCATGTCAGTATATCAAGATACAACCTGGCATGAAGATGGGGTGCAGGAGGGGCTGTCCTTTGCCTAATAGGTGCTGGCTAATTGGGTACATTCTTCCTCCTCCTCCACCTGGACCTAGACTTACTGAGAGAATAAACCACAAGGAGAGGACTGGGTGCAGTGGCTCATGCCTGTAATCCCAGCACTTTGGGAGGCTGAGGCAGGAGGATCACTTGAGCCCAGGAGTTTGAGACCAGGCTAGGCAATATGGCGAGGCCTCATCTCCACTTAAAAAAATTAATAATAATAATAAATGTGATAAATGACTAGGTCATCATCTCTTCTATCATTCATTCCCAAATCTTCCAACATGGTTTTGATAGTCACGGATTGTTTGGCAATTTCCACCTCAACTTCAAATATCTCTCCATCAGAACTCTGCACCTTAATTGAAGGCACGCTGTTTGGTCCCAAGGAGACTGGCCAGCTTGAGGTGGCATCAACACAGAAGACAAAGGCAGAGGACAAGGCTACTTGAAGGCCGGTTTTTCTAACTCTATTTTACACAGGAGGAAATGGAGGCTCAGAGGTTAAACGACTGAGAAAAGGTCACAAAATAAAGCAGAATTATAATGTACAAAGAGATTAGGTTCTAATGTCAATACATAGGTCAAAAATGGAATATTTTCAAAACAAACCATGGCAATTTCTTAAATCATCCATAAAATAAGTAGAGCTGGCCTCTCAATAAATCCAACTCAGTCTGGTTTTTGTCCATCATTGGAACAAATTGCTCGTTTCAGTGGTTGAGCACCAGATTTGAAGTTGGCTTGCATTAAGGGTCCCTGTTATGTAAAAAATGCTCGAATCACTAAACTCACACTTAGTGTCTCTGAGATGCTGTCTCCCTTCTTACCCTGCCAGCTGTTTACAACGAAATTGCCCTTTACTGAATGCACATAGCTATCCTGGCCCTGAGTTAAATGTGCCAGTGATGTGACTCCATTGTGGTTAAAGTGAGATTTAAACCTAAAAGCTGTGCCTCCCTCCCAAGCATTTATTTTTCTAGCTAGAGGGTCCTGAATATGTCAGTGTGAGCTTCAAACTGCTCTTTACTGAGCCTGCTTTGGGTTGCTCCCCATGACCCCTACCCCTATCCACTCCCTCAAACCATCCTCATGGAGCCAGTCTTGTTGAGGCTCTTCTTGACTGCTTACTCCAACTCAGCTTGAACAAGCATCCCAGCGTGAACTTTTTTTTTTTTTTGTGACAGAGTCTCACTCTGTCGCCCAGGCTGGAGTGCAATGGTGCAATCTAGGCTCACTGCAACCTCCACTTCCCAGGTTCAAGCTATTCTCCTGCCTCAGCCTCCCTAGTAGCTGGGACTACAGGCACCTGTCACCACACCCGGCTAATTTTTTTGTATTTTTAGTAGAGACAGGGTTTCACCATGTTGGCCAGGCTGGTCTGGAACTCCTGATCTCAAGTGATCTGCCCGCCTTGGCCTCTCGAAGTGCCGGGATTACAGGCATGAGCCACCGTGCCCGGCCTAGCATGAACTTTTGAGGCCCATGGAGGACAATCCCATCTGTTGATCCTCGGTGAGGGCTAAAGTCTGGGGGAGACAGGATAAAGATGAACCATCAGAGAGCACCACCCTTTCTGGTCCCACTGAAGACTAGTTCCACCTCACCCAGCAGGTTGGATTGGATTTTTCTGATGGGCTTCCATCCAAAGATAGAAATGCCCAGAAATAATCCCCTAGGGAGAAGGGATAGAGAAATGAGATTGGGTGGGCTGGGGTCTGGTTCCTGGGACTGTGAAGCCTAGAATCTGACACTCCTGTGGGTGTGAACCCAGGCGCTCTGGGAGACCGGGATTCTGGAATAGGGGTATGAGTAGAGCTGAGCTGGGGGAAAAGAGGGAAATTCCCAGGGGTGGAGGAAGAGTCAAGTCCCCCTCTACACCTAGAGGATGAACTTAAGGAAGGAGTGAAGGTCATATGTGTTGTTCCTGAGGAAAAGGCCGCTGTAGAAAATGGCCTCATACAGCTCCCCATTGCTTATGAAGCAGCAGATGTTCCAGTCTATGGGGAAATAAGGCAGGAGGGAGGGGCTTAGGGAACTCAAGGCTGGGTCAGAATGGGGAGAAGAGTAGAGTCAGGAGAGGAAAATGGGGTAAGGGACAAGTGGAGGGCGGGAAGTTAGGAGAGGATGATGGAGGTGAAGGAGTCAAGGATGGGAGAGAGGAAAATGGAAGAGGGATCGGGGCAGATGAGAGAGGAGGCAGAGTATGGGCAGGATTGGATTTGGGGAGTACTGGGTAATGAAAGGGAATGGTTCTCAGAGGAATGGGGCAAGGATAGCCCAGGCGGGGAACAAGACTCACAAGGTATGGAGGGGTTACAGGTTAGGATCTTCCTGAGGAGACCAGAGGTGGCTCTTGGCCTGAGGGATCAGTTTTTAGAGAGGAGGGGTGGGCTCTGGGTAGGGGAAGGCTAATGTATAGCAGGAGCCCAGTCATGACCAGCAGGAAGCAAGCAGGCAGGTGGTGCTGGGAAATGGGCTGAGGGAACACACAGCCCCTGCAGAACCTGCACAGGTAGCAGCCAGACAGCTGAGGCTGGACAGGAAGAGCAGCAGAGCAAAGGCCGGCCGCAGTACCTCACGTCTATAATTCCAGCATTTTGAAAGGTGAGGCAGGAGGATCTCTTGAGCCCAGGAATTCAAGACAGCCTGGGCAACATAGTGAGACCTCATCTCTACAAAAAATAAATAAATAAATACATTGTTTTAATAAGCAGGGCAAGGGATGGGC
The DNA here is from genome assembly GCF_000001405.40 of Homo sapiens. Lineage (NCBI taxonomy): Eukaryota > Metazoa > Chordata > Mammalia > Primates > Hominidae > Homo > Homo sapiens. The sequence continues at coordinate 102,087,609 of NC_000010.11, read as the reverse complement.
ACAGTGGCTCACGCCTGTAATCCCAGCACTTTGGGAGGCCGAGGCAGGCGGATCACCAGAGGTCAGGAGTTCGAGACCAGCCTGGCCAACATGGTGAAACCCCATCTCTACTAAAAATACAAAAATTAGCTGGGCGTGGTGGCATGCGCCTGTAATCCCAGCTACCCAGGAGGCTGAGGCAGGAGAATTGCTGGAACCCGGGACGCGGAGGCTGCAGTGAGCCGAAATCGTGCCACTGCACTCCAGCCTGCGAGACAGAGCAAGACTCCGTCTCAATAAATAAATAAATAAATAAATAAATAAATAAGCAGAGCACAGTGGTGCATGCCTGTAGTCCCAGCTACTCTAGAGGCTGAAGTGGGAGGATCGCTTGAGCCCAGGAGGTCAAGGCTGCAGTGAGCCTTGATCACACCCTGCACTCCAGCTTGGGCAACAGAATGATACTTGTCTCAAAAAAAAAAAAAGAAAGGCCGGCACGGTGGCTCACGCCTGTAATCCCAGCACTTTGGGAGGCTGAGGGGGGCAGATCACGAGGTCAGGAGATCGAGACCCTACTGGCTAACACGGTGAAACTCCGTCTCTACCAAAAATACAAAAAAAAGAAATTAGCCGGGCGTGGTGGCGGGCGCCTGTAGTCCCAGCTACTCGGGAGGCTGAGGCAGGAGAATGGCGTGAACCCGGGAGGCGGAGCTGCAGTGAGCCAAGATCGCGCCACTGCACTCCACCCTGGGCGACAGAGCGAGACTCCGTCTCAAAAAAAAAAAAAGAGCACTGGCCGGGTGCGGTGGCTCACGCCTGTAATCCCAGCACTTTGGGAGGCCTAGGCGGGCTGATCACGAGGTCAGGAGATCGAGACCATCCTGGCCAACATGGTGAAACCCCGTCTCTACTAAAAATACAAAAAAAAATTAGCTGGGCATGGTGGCGGCGCCTGTAGTCCCAGCTACTTGGGAGGCTGAGGCAGGAGAATGGAGTGAACCGGAAAGGTGGAGCTTGCAGTGAGCCGAGATCACACCACTGCACTCCAGCCTGGACGACACAGCGAGACTCCGTCTCAAAAAAAAAAAAAAAATAAAAATAAAAAAATAAAAAAAGAGCACCAAAGGAACAATGAAGGCGAGCACCAAAGGAACAATGAAGGCAAACACCAGGCACATCAGCACATCAGGTAGCCAGCCTTATCTTTCAAGACCTGGGAGCGGCGCAGTGGGGAATGTTGCCTTGGGCTTCAGTTAGACATCTGGGTAACTGCTCATATGTCCTCCTTCCTGGGTGTGCAGGGTAGGGAGGGGAAGTGGCAGCCGTGGCCTCTAGAAGCCGGACCTGCAAACAGAGCTCTCCTTATCTTCTTGTAGATGTTCCACCTGTTGTTCTCCTTGTTTTGTTTTTGGTTGCAGGGGTGGGGTGGCATTATGTTGCCCAAGCTGGTCTTGAACTACTGTCCTCAAAGGATTTTCCTGTCTTGGCCTCCCAAAGTGCTGGGATTACAGGAGTGAGCCACCACACCCAGCCTCACTTTGTTTTTTTTTTTTGTTATTGTTGTTTTTGAAACAGGGTCTCACTCCATCACCAGGCTGGAGTCCAGTGGCACGTTCACAGCTCACTGCAGCCTCGACCTCCTGAGCTCAAGTGATCCTCCTACCTCAGCCTCCCAAGTAGCTGGGTCTACAGGCGTGTGCCACCATACCTGGCTAATTTTTGTATTTTTTTGTAGAGACGGAGTTTTGTCATGTTGCCCAGGCTGGTCCCCAACTCCTAGGCTCAAGAGATCCTCCCTCCTCAACCCACCAAAGTGCTGGGATTACAGGCATGAGCGATTGCACTGGCCCTCTGCACATGACAAGGACGGCCCTCCTCCTTCTGAGGATAATGAGAATAAAGAAAAGCGAACAGATGATATCTCTGTTTGGGACCAGGAATTCCTGAAAGTTGACCAAGGAACACTTTTTGAATTTATTCTGGCTGCAAACTCCTGAGACATCAAAGGTTTGCTTGGTATTACATGCAAGACCATTGCCAATACTATCAAGGGGAAAGCTCCTGAGGAGATTTGCAAGAATTTCAACATCAAAAATGACATTACTGAAAAGCAGGAAGCCCAGGCACACAAAGAGAACCAGTGATGTGAAGAGAAGTCAGATGTTGCGCCTGACTCTGTAGCACTGCAAGGATTGTTTCAAATACGAGTTGCACTGCTGTTTATAATCATGAATATTAGACAAACAGTAGACAAATGCAACTGCAAATCAATTATACCAGCAGAATATTGTGCTCATTGCATGCATCGTTTGAGTACAGATTCCAAACCTATGGCTGAGTTTCTTCCAGTGTGATAGAAAGTTCCTGTCTTCTTTGCTATACATAAAACTGAAATGTGGGTTCTCTAAAGAAAGTGGCATTTTGGGCTTTCCCCCTTTTTTGTAAAGTGATGTCTGCCTAGTTTATTGTCCAGTTAACTTTAGTCACCTTTTTAAAAGTTGGCATTGTAGGCCGGGCGTGGTGGCTCACGCCTGTAATCCCAGCACTTTGGGAGGCCAAGGCCGGCTTATCACCTGAGCTCAGGAGTTTGAGACCAGGTGGGCTAACATGGTAAAACCCCGTTTCTACTAAAAATACAAAAAATTAGCCAGGCGTGGTGGCATGCACCTGTAATCCCAGCTACACGGGAGGCTGAGGCAGGAGAATTGCTTGAACCTGGGAGGTGGAGGTTGCAGTGAGCCAAGATCACGCCATTGTACTCCAGCTTGGGCAACAAGAGCGAAACTCCATCTCAAAAAAAAAAAAAAAAAAGTTGGGATTGTAAGTAAAACAACTTGCAAAACATTTTCTGAAATAGAATTTAAAACAATTATCTTTTTTTTTTTTTTTTTTGAGACAGAGTCTCGCTCTGTCGCCCAGGCTGGAGTGCCGTGGCGCAATCTCGGCTCACTGCAAGCTCTGCCTCCCGAGTTCATGCCATTCTCCTGCCTCAGCCTCCTGAGTAGCTGGGACTACAGGCACCCGCCACTATGCCTGGCTAATTTTTGTATTTTTTTAGTAGAGACGGGGTTTCACTGCATTAGCCAAGATGGTCTCGATCTCCTGACCTCGTGATCCGCCCGCCTCAGCCTCCCAAAGTGCTGGGATTACAGGTGTGAGCCACCTGGCCTTTTTTTTTTTTTTTTTTTCGAGACAGGGACTCACTCTGTCACTCAGGCTGGAGTGTAATGGCACCATCTTGGCTCACTGTAGCCTCGACCTCCTGGGCTCAGATGATCCTCCCACCTCATCCTCCCGAGTAGCTGGGACTACAGGTGCACACCACCACAACTGCCGAAATTTTGTAATTTTTGTTCAGATAGGGTTTTGCCATGTTGCCCAGGCTGGTCTTGAACTCCTGGGCTCAAGTGATCTGCCCACTTTCACCTCCCAAAGTGCTAAGATGACAGGTGTGAGCCACCACACCTAGCCACAAAATATTATCTTTACTCATGAGTTGGAAACTGGAAAAAGGCTACTTGAAACAATTGATGTGAGTGGGGTTACTAGGATATCTTCCAGCCTCCTAGAGTCAAGGGGTATTACTGATATTGATTAACCTGTATGTAGCAGGGCTTTCCTTAACTGCATCTGAGGACTTTAAAAAAAAATCCTCTTAGCTTTGAGTATATTGCTGAGAGACTCAGTTACTACACAGTTTGTGGGTTTTTTTGGAGAAATGGACTTGGAAAATTTGTTAGCTTTTCAATTAAAAAAGACACCCCACCCCCACCAAAAAAAAAAAAAAAAAAAAAAAAAAAAAAGCCGCGTGTGGTCACCCATGCCTATAATCCCAGCACTTTGGGAGGCTGAGGTGGAAGGATCATTTGAAGCCAGATGTTTGAGAGCAGCCTGGGCAACATGATAAGATCCTGTTTCTACACAAAATAAAAATTAGCTTGGCATAGTGGCAAGTGCTTATAGTCCCAGCTACTTGGGAGGCTGAAGCAGGAGAATTGCTTGAGCCTAGGAGTTCGAGGTTGCAATGAGCTATCATCACACCACTGCACCATAGCCTAGGTGACAGAGCAAGACCCTGTCTCTAAAATAACTAACTAAAATAAAAATAAAGAGACTGATTTTAGCAACCCCTAAAAATCCTATTAGTGTCTCCAACTGATATGTAAAGAACTTATAAGCTTACAAATAATTTTCTCCACATTTATTCTCTCTTTTAATCCTTAAGACTGTCCTGTAAAATACTATTCTTATCTTTCATTTTTTGTGGCTGAGGAAATTGAAGCTCAGGTGTCACTGAACCAAACTGGGTTCATTTGCCCACGTGCAATGGAAAGCCAAACACCAAAGCATCAAGTTTTTGCAGTGAGAAAAGTTAATTGCAAGTCAACTGGAAAGGAGACAGGAGGAAACTCTCAAATCTGTCTCCCTGAGCTGGGGGATGGGTCAGGTTTTATAAACATAGGATAAGAAGGTGAGAACTGATTGGATCTTTTGATGAGGAGATGCCAGGAGGCAGGATCTGACTGGATCCTGCCATGGGGTGATGCCAGGGCTCCATCTTACTGAATCTTGGATCCCGCCATGGTGTCCACCTCTTAATTCAGTCCCTGCTCCTTGATCTGAGCACTTAGGTTCCATCATTGGCTGCATGCTTGGATCATCTGGTCATGCTCAGTTTACATGATCTTCAACCTGGGGTCCGTGGCAACTGAAAAACAACTCGCAACTTTGTTACATAAAAGTTGGACCAGGCTAGGTGCAGTGGGAGTGGTGGCTCCCGCCTGTAATCTCAGAACTTTGGGAGGCCAAGGCAAATGGATTGCTTGAGCCCAGGAGTTCCAGACTAGCCTGGGCAACATGGCGAAACCCTGTCTCTACAAAAACTGGCCAGGTATGGTGGTGTGCATCTGTAGTCCCAGCTACTTGGGGGGCTGAGGCAGGAGGATCGCCTGAGATGAGAAAGTCGAGGCTGCAGTGAGCAGTGATCGAGCCACTGCACTCCAGCCTGGGCGACAAGTGAGATCCTGTCTCATAAAAAATAAAGTTGGCCAGGCGCAGTGGCTCATGCTTGTAATCCCAGCACTTTGGGAGGCCGAGGCGGGTGGATCATGAGGTCAGGAGATCGAGACCATCCTGGCTAATATGGTGAAACCCCATCTCTACTAAAAAATACAAAAAATTAGCTGGGCGTGGTGGCGGGCACCTGTAGTCCCAGCTACTTGGGAGGCTGAGGCAGGAGAATGGCATGAACCTGGGAGGCAGAGGTTGCAGCGAGTGGAGATCATGCCACTGCACTCCAGCCTGGGCGACAGCAAGACTCCATCTCAAAAAATAAATAAATAAATAAAAATAAAAATTAATTAATTAATTAAGTTGGACGAGATTGGTCTGATGTGGTTATACAGAGAGGTTAAGAAAATTACCTAAGGTTACACAGCCAATAGGTGGTGAAGGAGGGATTAAATTCTCATGAATTCTTATCCAGTGAGCCTCTAGGTACACTACTAACAGTTCAGAATGCAATCCAAACAGGTCAGCAGCATGCAGAAATGCCCCAGGCCTGAGTGGGCAGCTGAGCTTCCTTCAAGAAGCAAAGACAGTCATAAAATGGAAGGATATAATTTTACATACACCTCCTTTGCTTTCTAACTTGTAAAGCTCTCGGTCCTTTGGTCACACATCTGCTTTCCCCAAGTCCAAAGTTAAAATTATGCAGCTAGGCTGGGCACAGTGGCTCATGCCTATAATCCCAGCACTTTGGGAGGCCAAGGCGGGTGGATCACCTAAGGTCAGGAGTTCGAGACCAGCCTGACCAATATGGAGAAACCCCGTCTCTACTGAAAATACAAAATTAGCTGGGCGTGGTGGCACATGCCTGTAATCCCAGCTACTCAGGAGGCTGAGGCAGGAGTCTTGCTTGAACCAGGAAGCGGAGGTTGCAGTGAGCCGAGATCGTGCCATTGCACTCCAGCCTGGGCAACAAGAGTGAAACTCTGTCTCAAAAAAAACAAAAAAAAAATTTTGCAGCTATGGCAGTCCAGCCATGGCTGGGGTCCTACTCTGCAGCTGAGAGGAGTCCATGGGGAAAGGTTCTGGCCTTAAGCCTGCAGACCCATCTTCTTTCTAGTCCCAGCTCTCTCATCTGCTAGCCAAGGAGCCAGTGTGCTGTTTGTAGCTTAGTTTTCTCATCTGTAATCTGAGCATCATAACCCCTGCCCTGTGGGCTTCAGGGATAGGAGGATCAGATGAAGTGACTGACAGGGAGGTGCTTTGAGGTATGAAATGCTCTTCAGTGTGTTAGTGGGGAGGATGGAAGTTATCCAAAGAGTCTCCAGGATTGTGGCTCCAGCTTGGCCTGGCAGAGCAGTGCCTCCTTGGGCTGGGGTCAAAGCCAAGTCATCTTTCCACTGTCAATGCCAGGATCTATATTCCATTTATTGTTCTTGACTCCTTTCCTAGCAACCAAAGCTTTGAAAAGGTTCTGCAGAGCATCAGGGACCTTGCCCTTCAGCTCACTATGGAGAGGGACCAGCTGGACCAAGAGCTTCAGACACAGGGCAGCAACATCCAGGCTACCCTGGGCAAGTAAGGGAGCTCGGCCAGGAACTGCAAATTCACAGCCTAAAGCTCAACCTCAGTCTGAGCCTGGTGAAGCCTCTCCTGAGACTCTCAGCCTTTCCCTGGCATCCTGAGTCTGACCCACAAAAGACAGCCTTTACCCAAGATATAATATCCATCCCTCCTTAGGGAGCTGCAGTTATGAGGGAGACCTCACTCTTGTACAGTAGATGCATTTATTTGGGCTGCTATAACAAATTACCACACACTTGGTTTATAGCAACAGAAATTTTCTCACAGTTCTGGAGGCCAGAAGTCCCAAACCAAGGTGTCAGTAGTGCAGGTTTGTTCGGGAGGCTCCAGGAGAGAATCTGCCTCATGCCACTTTCCCAGCTTCTGGTGGCTGTCAGCAATTCTTGGTGTTTTTGGCTTGTAGACCCATCGCTCCAGTCTCTGTCTCTGCCTCTGCCTTCACATGGCTTTCTCCTTCTGTGTCTTTGTGTTTTCTTCTTTTCTGTCTTATTAGAAATATTCATTATTGGGGCTGGGCACAGTGGCTCACACCTGTAATCCCAGCAGTTTGGGAGGCTGAGGTAGGCAGATCACTTGAGTTTAGGAGTTCAAGACCAGCCTGGCCAACAAGGTGAAACCCCATCTCTACTAAAAATACAAAAACTAGGCTGGGCACAGTGGCTCACACCTGTAATCCCAGCACTTTGGGAGGCCCAGGAGGGCAGATCACCAGGTCAGGAGATCAAGACCATCCTGGCCAACATTGTGAAACCCCATCTCTACTAAAAATACAAAAATTAGCTGGGTGTGGTAGTGCGTGCCTATCATTCCAGCATTCCAGCTACTCAGGAGGCTGAGGCAGGAGAATCTCTTGAACCCAGGAGGCGGAGGTTGCAGTGAGCCGAGATTGCGCCAGTGCACTCCAGCCTGGTGACAGGGTGAGACACTGCCAAAAAAAAAAAAAAATTAGCTGGATGTGGTGGCCGGCGCCTGTAATTCCACCTACTCAGGAGACTGAAGCAGGAGAATTGCTTGACCCTGGGAGGCGGAGGTTGCAGTGAGCTGAGATCGTGCCACTGCACTACTCCAGCCTGGGCAACAGAGCAAGACTCCATCTCCAAAAAGAAGAAATTAAAAAAAAAAGAAAAGAAATACTCATTATTGGATTTAGGGCTCTTCTTAATCTAGAATGATCTTCTCTTGAGATCCTCACTTTAATTACATCTGCAAATACCCTTTTTCCAAATAAAGTCACATTCTGAGGTTCTAGGTGGATGCCTTTTGGGAGTCACAACTTGGTTTGTAACAAGGAGCCTCCAGTTTGATGGGAGAGACCTAACCCCACTCTTGGAGAGTCCTCTAGTCTTAGAGGTGAAATCTGCTCCTACTTTAAGAAGCCCTTGTATGACAAGGAAGACCTTGATTCGCAGCCTGGTCCTCAGGAGCCTTTAAATTGAGATAGGGCTGGGTGTGGTGGCTCACACCTGTAATCCCAGTGGAGGACTGCTTGAGCCCAGGAGTTGGAGACCAGCCTGGGCAACATGGTGAAACCCTATCTCTATTTAAAAAAAAAAAAAAAAAGAGACAGGCCCACAAATGTTGATGACAAGGAACGGTCAGCACTGGCAAACATCCAGACCACTATTCTCTACAGAACAATGCGAGGACATTGGTCAGGATTTGGAAGAGTAAGGGCATTCATGTCAGAATTTGGAGGGGTTGGTTCTGCCTTGACAAGGCAAGTGAGGCAAGCCAGACATCTAGTCCTAATATATATATATTTGTGTGTGTGTGTGTGTGTGTGTGGAGATGGAGTCTTGCTCTGTCGCCCAGGCTGGAGTGCAGTGGCGTGATCTCGGTTCACTGCAACCTCTGCCTCCCTGGTTCAAGTGATTTTCCTGCCTCCCAAAGTGCTGAGATTACAGGTGTGAGCCACCGCACCCAGCCTTGTCCATCTTTTTTTTTTTTTTTTTTTTTTTTTTTTACTTTCCTCAGCTCCCAGATGTAAAAGAACAGGTATCATTGTTGAATACCTTTTTGAAAATGAACCTCCATGTGATCAACAACAAAATGGGACTGTTCTCTAGGATGGGAGGTGTCCCAATATGGGTGGGGAAGCCATCAGGGTTAAACCCCTAGGAAGATCCTTCTGTCAATTCAAGCTAGCTCCCTGAACACTGTTTTGTCCTATCTTACAAGGACAAGACCATTCAGCTGGGTTCCTTTTCTTTCCACTCTGGCGATTCCTCTCCCCTCCCCTCCCCTTCCCTTTTCTTTCTTTCTTTTTTTTTGAGGCAGGGTCTCTCCCTGTCACCCAGGCCGGAGTACAGTGGTGCAATCACAGCTCACTGTAGCCTTGACCTCCTGGGCTCAAGCAGTCCACCTCAGCCTCCCGAGTAGCTGGGACTATAGGTGTGCACCACCATGCCCGGCTAATTTTTTTTTACTTTTCATAGAGACAAGGTCTCACTATGTTGCCCAGGCTGGTCTCGTACTCCTGAGCTTAAGTGATCTTCCTGCCTCGACCTCCCAAACTGCTGAGATTACAAGTATGAGCCACTGTGCCCAACGACTCTGGGGATTTTTTTCCTGAACTGGGAGCCATATAATATCCAAATTGATAATCTGCACCCTCTTTCTTCCTTCCTACAAGCTGCAAGAGCCTCAGCCTGCTTACTGTCTACTTACTCAATCCCTGGGACTCCTCATTCCTCTAGATTGGAAGCTGAGGGGGGTACCATCTCCTCAGCTCTCCCCACACTTATTTGCCTCCCTGTTCACATCTCCCTAAAGAAAACTACATGGTACCTTTTCCTTTGAAGGATTTTACAGTTGATCATTGTGGGGAAAGAGACCCAAGGTTACCAAGTCGCTAGTCTGGGGGAAGGTGTGAAAATTTAGGAAATCTAGGAAACTTCTGCCAGCCCTGGTCTCTAGAATGAAAGGGCAGCCAGTAGTGTGGCTCTTTCTCCTCTCCTCTTAGTCCTGGCTTGAAGACACCAAGCAGGGCAACTGTTCATGTCCTCCTTGCCTCAGACATGACTGCATTTGAGCTTCTTCCAATTGGTTATTTATTTATTTATTTATTTATTTTTCTTGAGACGGAATCTTGCTCTGTCGCCCAGGCTGGAGTGCAGTGGCGCGATCTCGGCTCACTGCAATCTCTGCCTCCTGGGTTCAAGGGATTCTCCTGGCTCAGCCTCCCAAGTAGCTGGGATTACAGGCACCCGCCACCACACCTGGCTAATTTTTGTATTTTTAGTAGAGAGGGGGTTTCATCATGTTGGTCAGGCTGGTCTCAAACTCCTGACCTCAGGTGATCTGCCTGCCTCAGCCTCCCAAAGTGCTGGGATTACAGGCGTGAGCCTCCGTGCCTGGTCCTAATTTGTTATTCTCACCTCTGTATTTCCTCAGCCCCATGCGGGAACAGACCCCTTAAGGAAATATTTCTAGGAGAGCCACAAAGACTAAAGAATCTCAGTCCAAGGAGGTCTTAGTAGGGCTGACCTCCAATCTCCCTTTTCCTATAATCAGTCCCATGGAGTTGGGGTTAGAGAAAATTGCGATATTATCAGGGGACCCGTAGTCTCTCTATGGTACCCCAAAAATAGTGAACAAGAAGGCACAGATGTTGTAGTAGGTATGGGATGGGGGTATCTTCTGAGCTCCAGATCCCACTTTTACATTACCATCCCATTTCTACCATCTGCCCCCATCATTGTGAATACGCAGCTGGAAGACATTGGGATGTCAACAGAATTGATGAAACAGAAGATTTGCTGAATTCAAATTTTAAGAAATTTGGCCAGGCATGGTGGCTCACTCCTGTAATCCCAGCACTTTGGGAGGCCAAGGCAGAAGGATCACAAGGTCATGAGATGGAGACCATCTTGGCCAACATGGTGAAACCCCATCCATACTAAAATACAAAAAAAATTAGCGGGTATGGTGGCACACACCTGTAGTTCCAGCTACTCGGGAGGCTGAGGCAGGGGAATTGCTTGAACCCAGGAGGTGGAGGTTGCAGTGAGCCAAGATCACGCCACTGCACTCCAGCCTGGTGACAAAGCGAGGCTCCATATCATTTAAAAAAAAAAAAATTGGGGCCAGATGTGGTGGCTCATCCCTGTAATTCCAGCACTTTGGGAGGCCAAGGAGGGTGGATCACCCGAGGTAAGGAGTTCGAGACCAGCCTCGCCAACATAGAGAAACCCTGTCTCTACTAAAAATACAAAAATTAGCCAGGCGTGGTGGCTGCGCGCCTGTAATCCCAGCTACTTTGGAGGCTGAGGCAGGAGAATCACTTGAACCCGGGAGGCGGAGGTTGCAGTGAGCTGAGATCGCGCCACTGCACTCTAGCCTGAGTGACAGCAAGATTCCATCTCAAAAAAAAAAAAAAAAAGAAATTTGGTGTACTGATAGACTCTGTGGATTTGACTATTAATATGCACAAGTTCAGAATCCATCCCTTTGAGAGACAGGGATATGAGCACTGACCTGGGATAGATGTGAGGAAAGAAAAGGGGTGACCAGGGCTTGACAGGGTATGATGGGCAACTGAAGCTGGGCGACAGAGCTGGGAGGCACAGGGCAGACTTGCAACTGACTGAGATCTGCTGCTCTTTTGTTTTCTTTTTCTTTTCTTTTTTTATTTTTATTTTTATTTTATTTTTTGAGATGGAGTCTCATTCTGTTGCCCATGCTGGAGTGCAGTTGTATAGTCTCTGGTCACTGCAACCTCTCATTCCAGGTTCAAGCGATTCTCCTACCTCAGCCTCCCAAGTAGTTGGGATTACAGGCACATGCCACCACGCCCAGCTAATTTTTGTATTTTTAGTAGAGATGGGGTTTCACCGTGTTGGCCAGGATGGTGTCGATCTCCTGACCTTGTGATCCCCCCGCCTCGGCCTCTCAAAGTGCTGGGATTACAGGCATGAGCCACCACTCCCGGCCAGCCTTTTTTTTTTTAATAGATGAGGTCTTGCTCTATCACTCAGGCTGAGTAGCAAGATCATAGCTCTCTGCAGCCTCAAACTCCTGGGCTCAAGTGATCCTCCTGCCTTAGCCTCTTGGTAGCTAGGATTACACTGCTCCCAGACCTTTTGTTTTATTGATGACTCCTCAGCTGTCCCCTGCCTCCTTGACCCCTTGGAGCTTAGATTCCAAAACACTATTCAGAAGAGAAAAATGGATGGACCTCAAGTTCTCTTCTGGTGTTCCCTCATGCCAAGCACTGAGGTCTCTACCCCTTGTGGGTCTGACTGCTGATATTAAGGGGATGATGAACAGGCTAACAGAGTGAGAAACATGGGATCAAGAGCCCATTCCCAGCTCCAGTTAGATTTGCCATGAAAACAAAACCACAACCCTTCAACGTTTTCTGGGGCCACCTGGGAAGGTGCTGCATTCTACAAAGAGAAACTCTATCATTTATTAGAGAAGCCACAGAGGTTTAGGAAATCCAGTGTTCCCTCCCTCCTTTCCTCCCTCCCTCTCTCTCTCTCTCTCTCTTTCTGACAAGGTCCTGCTCTGTCACCCAGGCTGCAGTGGCATGATCTCGATTCAGTGCAGCCTCAACCTGCCAGGCCCAAGTGATCCTCCTACCTCAACCTCCCGAGTAGCTGGGACTACAGGTGCATACCACCATGCCTGGCTGATTTTTTGTATTTTTTATGGAGACGGGGGTCTTACTATGTTTCCCAGCTGGTCTTGAACTCCTGACCTCAAGCGATCCACCCACCTCGGCCTCCCAAAGTGTTAGGATTACAGGCGTGAGCCACCATGCCTGATCCTCGCTCTCTTTCTGACTCCCCTTTTCTGGTTTGATGCTTCCTGGCTATCCACTTCCAACCTTCCACTTTGGAGCCATTTCCATCTCTTCTTCCCAAGCAACTCTTTTTTTTTTTTTTGAGATGGAGTCTCGCTCTGTCGCCCAGACTGGAGTGCAGTGGCACGATCTCGGCTCACTGCAGGCTCCGCCTCCTGGGTTCAGGCCATTCTTCTGCCTCAGCCTCCCAAGTAGCTGGGACTACAGGCGCCCACCAACACGCCTGGCTAATTTTTGTATTTTTAGTAGAGATGGGGTTTCACCGTGTTAGCCAGGATGGTCTCCATCTCCTGACCTCATGATCCACCTGCCTCGGCCTCCCAAAGTGCTGGGATTACAGGTGTGAGCCACCACGCCTGGCTGCAATCCTTTCTTTATTCCCAGAAAAGCCACATTATGTCCTTCCCTTTCCCAATATTCACAGGGGAGACCTACTCACTAGGGAATTCACTATGGTCTGACCAGTATGGTGGAGGGAAGAAGTGGTTGCTGATGTGTCCCTCCCCACTCCTTAGGCTCCCTGTAAATTCCATACCCCACACTGACCCTCCACTATCCCAAAGAAGCTATGAGAACAACGAGCTTATCTAGTCAGTCATAAGCAGTCACTTGATTTCCCATCTGGACAACTATCTCAGTGATACCTAGATCAGCATCCCCCCTGCCCTGTCCTAGGACCTGGCCTAGGATCTCTGTGTCCCCCTGACCCAATACCTCCCCTCAGTCTACCCTTCCTTCCCTTTCTCTACTGTGGCTCCCAATAGCCTTCCCACCCCAGCAACAGGGCTCTGTAGGAAAGGCCTGCCCCTCAATTCTGAGGCTCCGGGCTGTTCCTAGAGCTTGCCTGGGGCTGTTAGGGATAAGGGCAATGCCCACCTTCCCTACTTTTCTCCAGAATAAAACAAAAATAATAGAATTTGAGATGACTGCATATCACCTTGGAATCCAAATGGCTGCCAAAGCCTGAGGACCTGAAATCTATGTAAAGCCTGAACAGTTTGCTCCTCCAGGGCCTCCAGGAGGCCCAGGATGAGATGGGTCTTCCACTTTCTTGGTGGAGGTCACCATTCCCCTTTCCTCAGCCAATCACAGCTCCTTCCCTTTTCCTCTATTCTCTAGATAATGGAAACTTCTGGAAGACCAGATCTAGCTCAGCTGCCCCATTGGCTTTATGCATTGGCCATAATTCTGGTGACAGGCCCCAAAGGACCTTCTCTCTGTGCCTTCCTTCATCCTCCCAGCATTCATACCTGAGAGCCTCCTCTGCTCCCCAGAGTGAGCAAATGTCCCTGTTTCTCCCTCCTAGGCCCCTCTCCCCATGCCCATCTGTTGTCTCTCCTTTTCATTCTCTGCATCCAGTCCAGCCCCATCTTCTTCCTCATCTCTCTGATTCTGTCTCTCCTCGCCTTTGTTCTTGCTCCTGTCCTGTCTTGCTCTTGTGCAGAGACCTTCAGAGCCAGGCCCAGGCCCTCTGTTTGGGAATTACAGGAGAAAGCACTCTAAGTCTTCTATCCACCACTGGGAGTGACCCTAGGCACTCAGTCCTGACCTCACAGCCCGATTCATTCTCTCTCCCCACCTGAATTTTTATTTAAAGCAGAAATGGGAACCCATGCAGTAATAGTGTAAGCAAAGCTTATAATTCTCATGGTCTGTGAGCCCTGAAATTGTGATTCTGGAAAATATTTTTATTGGGGGGGCTCACCTCTATTTCACATTTCGTGCATTAAGTGAGACTTTATTTATTTTGAAAAAGTCCCAGCATCTTCCTGTACTTCAAATTCATATAAAATGTGAACTTGCTATGCCCTCCCAGGAAACTCTGCTGTGTGCCCTCAACTTCCTCCCCAGTTGGACCAAATTATCTAAGTCAGGTTGGTAGCTGGAATAGACTTCCAATCCTGGAGACGAAGAATCCTGCCAGCCCAGGTCCCCTTTCTTCTGGGTGATAACCATCCTAGTACAAGTCCAGGGCCCTTTCCCTTCTCCATAATTCTGTTCCTTGAATCTCTCCTTCCCTCTTCTCCTCTCTTGCTCTAAGAGAAGCTCCATTTACTACATCCAGAGGCTTCCTCAGTTCTTAGTTAAAAATGGGCAAGTGTGCATGTTTGAGGGCAATGGGTGGAGTTGGCAGTGACAAGAGTAACCACCAGGGGGAGCCTGTGCCTAAGAAGAGACTGAGGTGGCATAGTGGAGCCACTCAGGACTTTTTCCCCTTCATTCTGGGGCAGTAAGGCTGCCAAGCATTCCAGCCCAGGGTGGCTCCTTATAGACCTGGGAATCTAGAGCTCCTTCCTCCCCCCTTTCTGGCTCTCCTCTTTTCCTGATTACCCGGGTCAGTGTGAACCAAACTGCTACATCTACACAATGTGAACACTTCCTAAGGACAGGTTAGGAAGAACATGGCCCCTGGAGGGCCTTATTATTTATTTATTTATTTATTTATTTAGACAGGGTCTCACTCTATTACTGGAGTGCAGTAGTGTGATCACAGCTCACTGCAGCCTGGACCTCCTGGGCTCAAGCAATCCTCCCACCTCAACCTCCCGAGAAGCTGGGACGACAGGCGTGTGCCACCATACCTGGCTAATTTTTTTGTTTTTTTGTAGAGACAGGATTTTGCCATGTTGCCCAGGCTGGTTTTGAACTCCTGGGCTCAATCTATTTGCCTGCCTCAGCCTCCCAAAGTGCTGGGATTATAGGCGTGAGCCACAGTGCCCAGCCTGGATGGCCATATTCAACGTAGGGATCGATCTTCCAGACCTTTGACCTCAACCCACAATTTCCACTAGCCCCTGTCACCAGTCTCTTCCTTGGAACCTCATTGACTCAGGCTTTCCTATCCCTTCTCAAACTCTCCTGGTTTGGGGATCGGGGGCACTGGGTAGTACCAGTTATGTCCATTGCTTTCACCTCCACCTCAACTCCCAAGATGGTCCGAGCTCAGTGGCTTCTTCACCCCTGCCACTGTCCTTGGTGGCTAGGTTCTGCCTTCAGATCCACCTGACTTACTGCCATCAATTTCAGGGCTGGATCAACCAAAGAGTCAGTCTGGCTTATGAAAAGAAAGGAAGAGAGCCAGAGAATCTCTACAGGCCAGAGCTTAATCCCTTCTTTTCACCCCAGGTCATAGGGCCTTGTCAGTTCCTGCATTCACAATAATAATTAGGCTGGTCGCAGTGGCTCACACCTGTAATCCCAGCACTCTGGGAGGCCGAGGCAGGCAGATCACCTGAGGTCAGGAGTTCGAGACCAGCCTGACCAACATGGAGAAACCCCGTCTCTACTAAAAATACAAAATTAGCCAGGCATGGTTGTGCATGAGTGTAATCCCAGCTACTTGGGAGGCTGAGGCAGGAGAATCGCTTGAACCCGGGAGGCAGAGGTTGCGACGAGCCAAGATCACACCATTGCCCTCCAGCCTGGGTAACAAAAGCAAAACTCTGTCTCAAAAATAATAATAATAACAATAATAATTAAACCTACTATGAACCTGGCACTGTGATACATGCTGAGGATACCAAAATACAAATAACCATGGTCTGTGTCTTCAAGGGACTTGTATACTAATCAGGGAAATGAACAAATAACTAGGCAATCACAGTATAAAAAAAGAGAAGACTGGAAGAGAAGACTGGAGAGGCAGGGCCAGACACAAAGGAAGGGATGGCTTTCTTAGGAGTTTGGCCTTTACCCTGAATGTTGGGGTAGGTGATGAACTTGATCAGATTTGCTGTAGTATACAATACTCTCGGTAACCAAGGTTAGATTTGAGGAGACAGGGATGCCAATTAGAAAGCCAGTATAGGCCGGGTGCGGTGGCTCACGCCTGTAATCCCAGCACTTTGGGAGGCCAAGGCGGGCGGATCACAAGGTCAGGAGTTCAAGACCAGCCTGGGCAACATAGTGAAAATCCATCTCTACTAAAAATACAAAGATTAACCGGGCATGGTGGTGCACGTCTGTAGTCCCAGCTACTCGGAAGGAAGGAGAATCGCTTGAACCCGGGAGGCGGAGGTTGCAGTGAGCTAAGATTGCGCCATTGCACTCCAGCCTGGGTGACAGAGCAAGACTCCATCCCCTCCCCCCAAAAAAAAAAAAAGAAAAGAAAAGAAAGGCCGGGCGCAGTGGCTCATGCCTGTAATCCCAGCACTTTGGGAGGCCAGGGTGGGCGGATCACGAGGTCAGGAGATCCAGACCACCCTGGCTAACATGTGAAACCCCATCTCTACTAAAAATACAAAATAAAATAAAATAAAATAAAAAGCCAGAGTGATGGCAGGCACCTGTGGTCCTAGCTACTCAGGAGGCTGAGGTAGGAGAATGGTGTGAACCTGGGAGGCGGAGCTTGCAGTGAGGTGAGATAGCGCCACTGCACTCCAGCCTGGGAGACAGAGCGAGACTCTGTCTCAAAAAAAAAAAAAAAAAAAAAAAATTAAAAAAAGAAAGAAAAAGGGAGGCTTGGGTCCCTGAGGCCACATAGGCAGTTGAAGGAGCCTTGCGCCCTGCTTCCTCGCCTTCACCCAGGATGCTTGCTGGGACTACTGTGCAGTACTCCTTGTGCCTAGCTTTACTGCCATGTGAACCTGAGAGAGCTCCTGAGGTGAGGCACACCTATGGAAATGCTCCTGCCCACTGGCTTAGGATCCTCCCCTCACCTTCCCAGGGACTTCAGACCCCCCTACTCCAGTCCTGCCTGTGGACCTTGGATCTGAGACCTTGTTCACCACTCAAAACCTTCAGCAGCTGGGTGCGGTGGCATGTTCCTAAAATCCCAGCTACTTGAGAGGCTGAGGTAGGAGGAGTGCTCGAGTCCAGGGGTTCAAGTCCAGCCTGGGCAACATAGCAAGAAATTGTCTCAAAAAAAAGAAAAGAAAAAAGGCAACCAAGCCAGGCATAGTGGCCTGTGTCTGTAGTTCCAGCTACTTAGGAGGCTGAGGCAGGAGGATGGCTTGAGCCCATAAGCCATTGCACTCCAGGCTGGGCAACATAGCAAGATCCTGTCTCTTAAAAACAGAAGCAAAAAGCTGGGCATGGTGGCTCATGCCTGTAATCCCAGCACTTTGGGAGGCCAAGGTGGACGGATCACCTGAGGTCAGGAGTTCGAGAGCAGCCTGACCAACATGGAGAAACCCCATCTCTACCAAAAATACAAAATTAGCTGGGTGTGGTGGTGCATGCCTGTAATCCCAGCTACTCAGGAGGCTGAGGCAGGAGAATCGCTTGAACCCGGGAGGTGGAGATTGTGGTGAGTCAAGATCGCACCATTGCACTCCAGCCTGGACAAGAGTGAAGCTTCGTCTCAAAAAAAAAAAATAGAATTAAATTAAATAAATAAATAAATAAATAAGAAACCCATCAATGCCAGAACTTACCCCTTTCTCAGGTACTCAAGGCCAAGGACTTTGGCTTAAGATCTCCACCCTCCTATTCAGAGACCTCTGTCTGATAACCCTCTCAGGAACTCCATTAAAACTCAGTCACACGGTGATCCCTGTGCTGTTTCCAAAGTCCTGCATCCCTGAGCTGTCTTCCAAAGTCCTGAGATGCAGCTGGGATCACTTGCACCCTCCACATTGAAAGGAAGGATAAGGCTAGTGTGATCAAGCACTGAGCCTGTAAAAGCAGGTAAAAGTCACCATCTAAGCCCACCTGCTCTGCTCAGAGCTGCTGGGCTGGGTGGCCTTCATCTGGAGGCCCTACTAGTGGGTGGTCCCAGGGAACTTCCTTAAGCCATACAACCTTAATGAAAAACCTGGCTTCCTTCTCTTACCCATGCCCCAGGGGCCCACTGAGTAGAATTCCTTCTCTCCTGGGCACAGGAGGACCAAGCCAAATCTCAGGCTTGGGAGATTTGAGAAGCAACAATGATTAAGCAGGATCATGAACAGGAAGCAGCCTCCCATTGAGGAGCCATGATGAGCCCAGTTTCAAGACCAAGAAGAGGAACTCCTTCCAGACCAGGAAGGGGCTGAGGTGGAGGCCAAGACTGGAACTGTCCCTACCCCTGGGCCTCTGGCAAGAACAGTAGCTTGACTCCAGGTATTGGTAGGCAGCCTGGCTTGAGGGCCAGGACAAGGGCCATCCAAGTTCTGGAGGAGGCCAAGATGGTACCTCAGGACTTGGCCATGTAGATGAGCCACCTCAGGACCTCTATGAGGCTGAAGAGTTAACACCAGCCACAGATAAGACTAAGTAAGCTACTTCTCTCCCCTGAGAGACAGGAACTGTCCCTAGTCTCACTAGTCCTAGCCTGAGTCCACCTTAAGCCCAGGTTAAGGCTACCAGAATCTAAGCTGCAGGTCCCAGCTGAGGACAAAGCTGAGCAGCAGCCCTAACCTTGGCCCCAACCCTGGACAAGGGGTATCTGGGACTGCGGATGATGCTGAGTAGCTGCATCCAGGGTCCTAACCTAAGCTAGAACCAGGGGTCTATCCTACGCTAGGCTGAGGGGTTACTTGGGTAGAAGTGAGCATGGGGCAAAGGCCTCTTCAGAGTTGAGCCTGTTGAATACATCCAGACAAGCAGAGATCTGTGTTGCAGACGCTCTTATTTCTTGACTTGGGAGAGTCAGCAGGAATATGGGGCTCTCCAGATAGCTCTGCTCCCAGTGAATTTTGTTACTGAGCCAGAGAGCTCTGCAGGCAGCTCTCCTGTCTGTGGCAAATCTTCCCCTAAACTAGAAGCTGCTTCAGAAATCCTGGTGGAGACAGGCAAGGACCCAGGGCCCAGTAAAGTTCCTACTCCGGAGCAGAGGAGTCCTGGGGAAAGGAAGGGTGGAGCTCTGTAGTCCTCCTCCTCTTAGCAGGCCAGGGAAGCTGGCATGGAGCCAGGGATGGGGAGTACATCCAAGCCCAAGCAGGTGGGAGCTACTGGGCTGTTCAGTGAGGTGGCTCCAATCTTTGAGGTGCTACTTTCTAGCCAAATGAACTTGGTCAAGTCATTTAATTTTTCTAAACTTCTATTTCCTGTAAAATGGGAATAACATCAGTACTTTCCCCACTGGGGTTATGAGAAGCTAGCTGAGGGATTATATAAAGATGAGTAGAATGCCTGGCTTCTATTAAATGCTCATAAATGTTAACTATTTTCATGATTGGAAGTGGGGACTTTAGCCAAAAGATCCAGATCCAACCACTCCCTCTATAACCTGCATCCTCTGAGACCTGTACCTGTTTAAAAACACACAACTGTGTATATATTAAACTATGTATATATTTAACACACACATCTTAAAAATAGCTCCAGATGACAGAACAGTATTGCATACACAGGTCCATACATGGGACCCTCCAAGTCCCAGGCACCCTTCCCTGATCACTGTGTCCTAGAAATGATTTCCTGTGTCAGTGACACAGAGGAACTGTCCAAGCAAGCCTCCAGTCCCAAGCAAGCCTCCAGGCCCTGAGTGTTCTGATGCCTGAAGGGTAGTCATAGGTCCCGAGGTGGAGTCGGGGGTGGAGTGCTGGGGTCCCATAGGATGTCCTCATATGGGCTTAGAACTGGGCCCGACAGCCATCCTTGAGCCCCAGTCTGCTCCAGCAGGGCTTTGAGCAAGCCCACAGTGAGAGGGGGCTCTGCTCCAGGCTCAGGGAATGGGGTTGGGGGCCCCACCTCATCTGGGAGGTATGTCCTCAGTAGAAGCAGGAGCTCAGCTGGAGCCAGTTCTGGTGGGCACAGGCGGCAAAGGAGGGGGAGGTGAGCATCAAGCCGGCGGTGCTGGGCAAACTCGGCCAGCAGCAGTTTGAAGATTTCACTTCGAAGCAGGGGACTGGAGGGGCCGAGGGCCAGGCCAGCATCCAGAGCCCGATCCCATTGTTCCTTTTGCACCAGCTGCCCGACAGCTTGGAGCACAGCTTTAGGCCGCCCACTGCTCAAGAGCAGCTCTAGCTCCAGAGCCTCAGGCCTGGTCCCCTCCTCACCTAGCACTGCCAGAGCTCGGCGATACAGGGGCAGTCCTGGGCCCCCTGCCCCCCAGCCCGGCCCGCCCTGCTGCTGTGCCAGCTCCACAAAGGGTGGCAGCCATCGAGGCTCCAGCTGGCACAGACACTGGCACAGGAGTTCAAAGGGGGGCAGTATTCCATTGGGGGGTTCCTTTCCAGCGGTTATTCCCCCTAACACTTTCTTCCACACATCAGGGGGTGCTTGGGACCTCAGCTTGCCATTCCCATCTAGCTGGAGCTGCAGGGCCCTGAGGGTGGCACCCCAGGCTGCTGTAGGAAGGGCTTGGAAAACGGTGTTGAGCTGGGCTAGCTGGTCTCCTATCAACTCAGTCCTCAGCAGGCGTGCCACTTCCTGCTCCGCCAGCTCAGTCCAACCAGCCTCCTCATCATCCCCAGCCACCAGCTGGGCCTTCAGCTGTTCTAAGCCTCGGTAATCCCGAAGCTCGGTCCTCAACATGGTCAGCAGTGCAGATGGGGGCAGGTGGCCCTGGAGGATGGAGGCCAGAGCCTGAGGTGCCCGGAATGTGCTGCTGTGTCTCAGTTCTTCTGGAGTGAGCTGGGCACCCCGCAGGCTCCGCCGCTGGTAGTACCCGCAGGCCTCCTCAAACACCAGATCCTTGGCTGAAGGCAACTCAACACCCTGTGGGGCTTCCCAGCCCACACAAAACAGACCCAAGGCTGAAAGCAGACGAAGATTCCCTCGGGTCTCCAGCTCTTCCTCATCCTCCATGCCGGGGGCTGGCGGTTCTAGCAGATGTACCCTGTCTGTACTTAGGACCTTCCTCTCCAGCAGCTGCCCACTGCCCATGTCCAGCAGTTCCAATGTGGAGCCCAGCACACAGGCCAGAGTGCCCTGAAATGTGCCTAGGGCTGCAGACCCCCACGGGCCTACAGGTGCCTCCTGCAGGGTGCCCACAGCCCGCGTACCACCGTGGGACTGCAATAGGCTCACAGTGCCCCCGAAGTCAAGCAACAGCAGGCCCTGGGGAGTTGGGGCCCAGGTGTGTACAGCCAGTGGCTCCCTGGGGGACAGCAACCCAGGAAGGCCTCGGAGCAGGGTCCGGAAGTCCCATGTGTCCCCTCGTCCAGGATTCAGACTCTTACTGTAGGAGAGACCAAGCCGTGGGGCAGCCACCATCACTTTGCCCTTGCCTGGGCTCCAGATGAGTAGAACGTGGGCCACGCCAGGCCAGGTGGTGGCAGTGGGCACCAGGAAGAGTTGTCTGCAGGAGGCCAGCAGCCCGAAGGCAGGGCAGTGGTGCAGCAGGACGTGTGTGCGGCCCAGGCTGGTGCTAGCTTCCCCGCTGGGCTCCAGAGTCCGGACGCACACACAGTGGCTGAAAGCGGCTGCTGGCGACCCTGACGGGCCCTCGGCCCGGGCCTGCCGCTCCTCGCACCACACCAGGCGGCCTCGGAGCGCCGCCACTGCCACAACGCGGGCTCCCCCGCCCGGACACAGCTCGGTGCTCTGCAGCGGCCGCCAGCCAGGCCCCACGCCCGCGCCCCACACCTCGGCCAGGCCACTCTCCCACACCAGCACCAGCGCCGGCCGCGCTGGCCACGGCAGGAAGAAGGCGTCCAGCGGGGAGGGCTGGCCGGCCGGCCAGGCCCGCTCTAGCTCCGCGCCGGGCCCTCGCGACGCGACTAGCAGCTGTGGGGCTACCGCCCCAGGGGGTCGCAGGAGCAGCAAGTGGCGGCCGTCCGGACTGCCACGGACTCGGACCGCTGAGTCCCCGGCCACCAGCTCCCGGAGCCGCGCCGCGCCGCCGAAGGCGCTCAGGTCCGAGAGCAGCCGCAGAGTCCCCGAGCGCTTCATGGCGCCGCTGCGCGGGAGCGCGCCCAGGCTTTGCCCAGGTCCAGCCGCCCAGCAGGGCGAGGCCCGATTCTCGGGGGAGCGGAGCAGGGCCAAGACTTCCGTCTCCCGTGGATGAGGTGAGCAGAGGCCGGGCCGAGCGTCGACTCCGCCCCGCCCGGCCGGCTCCGGGATGCCTCCCGCAGTCGCTGGGCCGACACTACACGCCCGCCGGGGGAGGAGCCACGGGAGCGCCCCAGGGGCTCAGCGCCTGGACCGCGCCCGCCCGGGCACGCTCTCGGCGCAGGGGGAGGCCCTTCCCCAGACCCCAGGACGCCGCCCAGTGGCCCGGAGTCCCACGCAGGAATAGGGATTCCAGCCCCCTGAGCCCCTCTCCCAAGAATTTCACCCCAATTTACTCATTCAGGAAATTTTCGTTGAGCACATGCTTTGTGCCAGGCTCTGAGTAGACAGCCCTAAACAAAATAGAAAACCTCAACCTCATGGAGATGACAATCTAGTGGAAATAGTAAACATGGCTGGGCGCGGTGGCTCACGCCTATAATCTTAGCACTTTGGGAGGCTGAGGTGGGAGGATTGCTTGAGGCCAGGCGTTCGAGACCAGCCTGAGCAACATAGGCAGACCTTGTCTCTATAAAAATTTTAAAAAGACAGAAAGAAAGAAAGAGAGAGAGAGAGAAGGAAGGAAGGAAAGAAAACCACTTCCATATCACTATGTGACAGCCTTCTCTATCCCCTAGTCCCTTTTACAGATAAGGAGGATGAAGCACAGAGAGATTACGTAACTTAACTAAGATCAAGCAGGTATTAAGTGGTGGAGGTGGGATTTCAACCACAGGCACTCTGGCTCCAGAGTCAGTGCAACAAATCACTTTATCATATCAACAACTCATCACCCAAACCAAAACAGAGAAACATAATTTAGAAGCACTGAGCCTGTGTACCGACTCTTCAGTAACACCTACAAATTTGTATGCAGGGGTCCTTCCACCCCTTGACTGCCTTTTCAGGTGAGCAGTTTTCCTCCTCTCTCCAAGGCCAATCCCTCTTTATGAGCCCTGCCTCTCCTCCCCGGCCCCTACCTTCCTTGAGAACTTGCATCCATTTCTGTTTCACTGCCCTCATTCCGTCCTCAGCATAGAAATACCCTGTCATCTCTCCTGTCTTGGAATTCGTTCTTTCATCCTCATCTCCCCACTTCCACCTCCATCACTCCCTCCCCTTTTCCTTTCTCAGTCAATTTTCTTGCAAGGATGCTACATTTGCCACCTCCACTTTCTTTCCTTCTATCCTCAACCCACTACTTCCCTGAAGTAGCTTTTGCTGAGGTCTTCAAGGACATTTTTATTTGACAGCCTTCTCATTGAAAGTCCCTCCTGTGGTTTGCACTGCATCTTTCCTGGCTGGTTTTCCTTTCCTTTTATTTTATTTTATTTTTTTATTTTTATTTTTAGATAGCACTGCCTTCAGAGTTTTATTTGCCTTTGGTTCATCTTCCTCCATCCTTTATTGATTGATTGATTGAGATAGAGTCTCACTCTGTCGCCCACGTTTGAGTGAAGTGGCACCATCTTGGCTCAGTGCAACCTCTGCCTCCTGGGTTCAAGCGATTCTCCTGCCCAGCCTCCCGAGTAGCTGGGATTAGAGGCACCCACCACCACGCCCACCTAATTTTTGTATTTTCAGTAGAGACAGGGTTTCACCTTGCTGGCCGGGATGGTCTTGATCTCTTGACCTCGTGATCCACATGCCTTGGCCTCCCAAAGTGCTGGGATTACAGGCATGAGCCACCGTGCCTGGCCTATTTATTTATTTATTGAGACAGAGTCTTGCTCCGTTGCCCAGGTTGAAGTGCAGTGGCGCAATCTCGGCTCACTGCTATCTCCATGTCCCAGGTTCAAGCGATTCTCCTGCCTAAGCCTCCCTCCCTAGTAGCTGGGATTTCAGAAGTGCACCACCATGCCCAGCTACTTTTTATATTTTTAGTAGAGGTCGGGTTTTGCTATGTTGGTTGGCCAGGCTGGTCTCGAACTCCAGGCCTCAAGTGATCTGCCCGCCTTAGCCTCTCAAAATGTTAGAATTACAGGTGTGAGCCACTGTACCCGGCCCCTCCATCATCCTTTAAATGTGCTCTTCCTCCTATATCCTGATTCCACTTTGAGCCCCTTTATTTTTTTCTTTTGCCTACAGCTCAGACGTCTCTGCTAAGCTCCACACAAAAAAAGAGCATCCAAATGTCTACTAAATATTTATTTCTGCCTAAGATGTCTCATCTCACAGACATTTCATTCTCAACATGTCCTAAACATCATCTTCCTGCCCCAAACTGCTCCTCCTTCAGTTGCTCTTAGTTGACATAGATTTCTTTTGTTTTTGTATCCTATCCTCATATTTAGAGTAGAGCCTGACACAAAGTCTCCACAGATGTTTGGTGAAGGAATCATTACGTTTTCATGGGCACATGTTTGTGTGTGTGATATCACTTAGAAAACTTTTCCTTAAAAATTACAGAAGTAGGCCAGGCACGGTGGTTCACGCATGCAGTTCCAGCTACTCAGGAGGCTGAGGCAAGAGGATTACTTGAGGCCAGGAGTTGGAGTCTGTGGTGTGCAATGATTGTGCCTGTGAATAGCCACTGCACTACAGCCTGGGCAACATGGCAAGCATCCTGTCTCTTTAAAAAAAAAAATTACAGAAACAGACCATGGCTGTCTTAAGCAAAAATGAAGTTATTTAGAAGAACATAGGGGACTCACAGAATCTTCAGGAGAAAGGAAGAACAGGTGTGGCAAATGGTCATGAACCAAGACACCCACACCCACCAAATACTAAGAAGTAGGAAGCACGACTTTTTTTTTTTTTTTTTTAGACAGAGTCTTGCTGTCTCCCCAGGCTGGAGTGCAGTGGCACAATCTTGGCTCACTGCAACCTCTGCCTCCTGGGATCAAGCAATTCTTCCACCTCAGCCTCCCGAGTAGCTGGTATCACAGGTGCACACCACCATGCCCTGCTAATTTTTGTATTTTTTGTAGAGACGGGGTTTTGCCATGTTGGCCAGGCTGGTCTTGAAGGTCCTGGCCTCAGGTGATCCACCTGCCTCGGCCTCCCAAAGTGCTGGGATTACAGGTATGAGCCACTGTGCCTGGCCAC
Organism: Homo sapiens; assembly: GCF_000001405.40. Taxonomy (NCBI): domain Eukaryota; kingdom Metazoa; phylum Chordata; class Mammalia; order Primates; family Hominidae; genus Homo; species Homo sapiens. The sequence goes on along the minus strand of NC_000010.11, from coordinate 102,062,327 downwards.
AACTGTTTTTTTAGCCGGAACAATTTGTTAAAGATACCATGATCTCTGGTGCTATACAAGCTGATCACTGCACTGGAAGACAGCACCTGTTATGAATAAATTCTGATCATACCTTCTATTGGGGTTCACCTCATTACACCTTTCTCTTACACCTGCCTACTTTTTTATATTCTATTAGGGTACAACTTTGATTTTTTTAAAAAACTGCAAATTGGCTGGGTGCGGTAGCTCACACCTGTAGTCCCAGCACTTTGGGGGGCTGAGGCAGGCGGATCACCTGAGTTCGGGAGTTCTAGACCAGCCTGACTAACATGGAGAAACCCTGTCTCCACTAAAAGTACAAAATTAGCCCAGCGTGGTGGTGCATGCCCGTAATCCTAGCTACTCAGGAGGCTGAGGCAGGAGAATCGCTTGAACCCAGGAGGCGGAGGTTGCCGTGAGCCGAAGTCACGCCATTGCACTCCAGCCTGGACAACAAGAGCGAAATTGTGTCTCAGAAAAAAAAAAAAACAAACCAAAAAAACCCCTGCTAATCATGTCTTTCTTTTTCTTTTTTTTTTTTTTTTTTGAGACGGAGTCTTGCTCTGTCACCCAGGCTAGAGTGCAGTGGTGCGATGTCAGCTCACTGCAACCTCCGCCTCCCAGGTTCAAGCGATTCTCCTGCCTTAGCCTCCCAAGTAGCTGGGATTACAGGCGCCCACCACTGTGCCTGGCTAATTTTTGTAGTTTTAGTAGAGACAGGGTTTCACCATCTTGGCCAGGCTGGTCTCGAACTCCTGACCTCAGGTGATCCACCCGCCTCGGCTTCCCAAAGTGCTGGGATTACAGGCATAAGCCCCCGCCCCAGGCCAATCATGTCTTATACTATTGTGTAAGTAGACAAGAAAAATAAAACTCTACCAAGGAAGAACCTGAACTTCTGTGTTAAGAGGTGTTTCCTAATAGATCTGGATTCAAACCCTTCTCCACTTCTCACTAACTTTACATCTCTCTCTCTCTGTCTTTTTTTTTTTTTTTTTGAGATGGGCTCTTGCTCTGTTGCCTAGGCTGGAGTGCAGTGGCACGATCTCTACTCACTGCAACCTCCGCCTCCTGGGTTCAAGCGACTCTCCTGCCTCAGCTTCCCGAGTACAGGCACCTGCCACCATGCCCGGCTAATTTTTGTATATGTATATTTTTTTAGTAGAGAGAGGGTTTCCCCATGTTGGCCAGGCTGGCCTCGAACTCCTGACCTCAAGTAATCCACCGGTCTTGGCCTCCCAAAGTGCTAGGATTACAGGCGTGGGCCACTGCACTCTCTCTCTCTCTCATTCTCTTTCTCTCTCTTTTTTTTTTTTTGACAGGGAGTCTCATTGTCACCCAGGCTGGAGTGCAGTGGCGCGATTTTGGCTCACTGCAACCTCTGCCTCCCGGGTTCAAGCTATTCTCCTGCCTCAGCCTCCCGAGTAGCTGGGACTACAGTTGCATGCCACCACACCTGGCTAATTTTTTGTATTTTTAGTAGAGACGGAGTTTCACCGTGTTTGCCAGGATGGGCTCGATCTCCTGACCTGGTGATCCACCTGCCTTGGCCTCCCACAGTGCTGGGATTACAGTCGTGAGCCACCGCACCCAGCCCACATCTCTTGATGAAGAACTAAGTGCCAGGTGCATTGGCTCATACCTGTAATCCCAGCACTTTGGGAGGCCGAGGCAGGTGGATCACGAGGTCAGGAGATTGAGACCATCCTGGCTAACATGGTGAAACCCCGTCTCTACTAAAAATACAAAAAATTAGCCAGGCGTGGTGGTGGGTGCCTGTAGTCCCAGCTACTCGGGAGGCTGAGGCAGGAGAATGGTGTGAACTGAGGAGGTGGAGCTTGCAGTGAGTTGAAATTGTGCCACTGCACTCCAGCCTGGGTGACAGAGCAAGACTCCGTCTCAAAAAAAAAAAAGAAAAAAAAAAGAAAAAAGAAATAAAGCCCTTGAAAGCTGCACCTAGTGTCTGAACCCAGGTCACATGCCCTCACTTATCTTGGTTGCCCAGGGCATAGTTTTCCATTGAGACTATGCCCAAGGAGGAATCTTCCAGAATAAAGGAGGAAGAATTCAATGCTGAATAACCTAAACAATATGACATAGGGTTTTTGTTATCCCCATTTTCTAGATGAGGAAACTAAGTCTCAGAGAGCTCAAGTAATTGCTCAGTCTTAGAGTTAGTGGGTAGCAGATCTGGGATCCCTTCTCATAGTTTTCCAGAGGTAGTGCTCTTACCTACTCAGTATATGGCCTTCTATATTTATTCTAGTCTGCATCTGTATGAAATTGACTTCCCTGGCATAGATGTGGGCAATGTATTGTGCTGCTTCATTCTCATACCTTCTTTCTTTTTCTCCTCTCCTCTAACGCTTGACTCAATCTTCACCTTTCTCAGAAAGCCTCTGGAGATTCACATGACATTTTCCCTTCTCTGAATTTTCAAGGCATTTACAACTTCAGCCTTTGTATTCCAGCTTGTATTCATTGAGATTTAAAACATTTAATTGTGTATATCTCTATCTCTGTACCTATCACTTTGTTACAATATACTCTCAGAATTGCTATTTTTCTTTTTACTGCTCCCAGGATTGGATATTCAGTAGGTGCCACGGGGAAAAGTGTTGTTTATTTTATTTTATTTTATTTGAGACAGGGTCTCACTCAGTTGCCCAGGCTGGAGTGCAGTGGTTCACTCTAGCCTCTACCTCCCAGGCTCAAGCGATCCTCCAACCTCAGCCTCCCAAGTAGCTGGGACTATAGGTGCACTCAGCTAATTTTTTAAATTTTTAGTAGAGATGAGATCTCATTATATTTCCCGAGCTGGTCTCAAACTCCTGAGCTCAAGCAGTCCTCCTGCCTTGACCTCCCAAAGATTACAGGCATGTAATTGCTGTAATTACAGCTGGGATTACAGGCATGAGCCACGGCAGCATGCCAGAAAAATAATTTTGTTAAAAAGAAATCAGATACGCCCGGGCATGGTGGCCCGGGCCTGTAACCCCAGCACTTTGGGAGGCCGAGATGGGTGGATCACCTGAAGTCAGGAGTTCGAGACTAGCCTGACCAACATGAAGAAACCCCGCCTCTACTAAAAATACAAAAACTAGCTGGGCGTGGTGGCACATGCCTATAATGCCAGCTACTTGGGAGGCTGAGGGAGAATTGCTTGAACCTAGGAGGCGGAGGTTGCAGTGAGCCAAGATGGTGCCATTGCGCTTCAGCTTGGGCAATAGAGTGAGGCTCCATCTCAAAACAAAAAATCAGGTATAGAACAGGGTTCTTTTAGCTGAACACAGGCTTCTAACTGGTATTCAAGAACTATTGGGGTTCACCTCATGATACCTTTCTCTTGCCCCTGCCCACTCTTTTATATTCTATTAGAGTACAGCTTTAATTTTTTTTTTTTTTTTTTGAGAGGGAGTCTCGCTCTGTTGCCCAGGTTGGAGTGCAGTGGCACCATCTCGGCTCACTGCAAGCTCCGCCTCCTGGGTTCACGCCATTCTCCTGCCTCAGCCTCCCAAGTAGCTGGGACTACAGGCGCCCACCACCACGCCCGGCTAATTTTTTGTATTTTTAGTAGAGATGGGGTTTCACCGTTTTAGCCAGGATGGTCTCGATCTCCTGGCCTCGTGATCCGCCCGCCTCGGCCTCCCAAAGTGCTGGGATTACAGGCGTGAGCCACCGCGCCCGGCCCGCTTTAATTTTTTTAACAGCCAATCATGTCTTACACTGCTGTGTAAGTAGACGAGAAAAATAAAACTCTACCAAGGTAGAACCTGAACTTCTGGATTGAGAGGTCTTTCCTGACAGATCTGGGTTTGAACTCTGTAGGGTCTAGCCCTACAGGGCCTGTGGGTTTTCTCTTCGTGTGTGGAGACGAGAGATGGTAGAAATAAAGACACAAGACAAAGAGAAGAAAAGACAGCTGGGCCCGGGGGACCACTACCACCAAGACGCAGAGACTGGTAGTGGCCCCGAATGCCTGGCCACGCTGCTATTTATTGTGTACAAGGCAAGGGGGCAGGGTAAGGAGTGTGAGTCATCTCCAATGATAGGTAAGGTTACACAAGTCACGTGTCTGCCGGACAGGGGGCCCTTCCCTATTTGGTAGCCGAAGCAGAGAGAGAGGGGACAGCTTACGTCATTATTTCTTCTGTGCATTTCTCAGAAAGATCAAAGACTTTAATACTTTTACTAGTTCTGCTACTGCTATCTAGGTACAGAGCGGAACAGGAAAGTGAACCAGGAGCGTGACCGCTGAAGCACAGCATCTCGGAGAGGTTTAAGCCTCCGGTTGGCTGCGGGTAGGCCTGGCTGATGTCAGGCTTCCAACAAGAGGTGGTGAAGCAGAGTGTTCTCTAACTTCCTCAGGGAAAGGCCCGTCTGCTAAGTAACAGGTGCCTTCCCAGGCACTGGCGCTATGGCTAGTCCAAGGTCTGCTAAGTAACGGGTGCCTTCTTAGGCACTGGCATTACCGCTAGACCAAGGAGTCCTCTAGTGGCCCTGTCTGGGCGTGACAGAGGGCTCACACTCTTGCCTTCTGGTCACTTCTCACCGTGTCCCTTCAGCTCCTAACTCTGTATGGCCTGGTTTTCCTAAATTATAATTGTAAAATATAAGTTATTAATAAAAGTAATGCTACAAACTAATGATTACTAATATTCATATATAATCACATCTATATTCTATTTCTAATATAGCTATTCTTATTTTAATTATTTTCTTTATTATACTGGAACAGCTTGTGTCTTCGGTCTCTTGACTCGGCACCTGGGTGGCTTGCCGCCCACAGAACTCTTCTCCACTTCTTTTTTGTTTTGAGACGGAGTCTCGCTCTGTCGCCCAGGTTGGAGTGCGATGGCGCGATCTTGGCTCACTGCAACCTTCGCCTCCCAGGTTCAAGCGATTCTCCTGCCTCAGCCTCCCGAGTAGCTGGGATTACAGAGGACTGCCAACACGCCCGGCCATTTTTTGTATTTTTAGTAGAGATGGGGTTTCACCATGTTGGCCAGGCTGGTCTCGAACTCCTGACCTCAGGTGATCCACCCGCCTTTGCCTTCCAAAGTGTTGGGATTACAGGTGTGAGCCACCGCGCCTGGCTTATTTTATTTTTTTTACTTGTTTTTTCTTTTTAATAGTATTCTTGCTGTTATAGCACATCTTTTTAAACCTTCCATTTGTGTATAAAAAAACAGAGACTCAGGCTGGGTGCGGTGGCTCACGCCTGTAATCCCAGCATTTTGGGAGGCAGAGGCGGGTGGATCACCTGAGGCCAGGAGCTTGAGACCAGCCTGGCAACATGGTGAAACCTTGTCTCTACTAAAAAATACAAAAATTAGCCGGGCGTGGTGGTACACTCCTGTAATCCCAGCTACTGGGGAGGCTGAGGCAGGAGACTCTCTTGAACCCGGGAGGCAGAGGTTGCAGTGAGCCGAGATCGCACCACTGCACTCCAGCCTGGGCAATAGAGTGAGACACCATCTCGAAAAAAAAAAAAAAAAAGAAAACAAAGACTCAGAGGCAGGGAGTGGTGGCACGTGCCTGTAATCCCAGCTACCAGAGGCAGAGGCAGGAGGACTGCTTGAGCCTAGGAGGTGGAGGCTGCACTGAGCTGTAATTGTGCCACTGCGGCACTCCAGCCTGGGCAAGGGCAAGATCCTGTCTCAAAAAAAAAAAAAAGGAAAAGAAAAGAAAATAGATTTCTGGCCAAGTTAATAGAGCTTTACACGCTACTTTGCACTTATCAGGCACACACGTATTTGTTGAAAGAATGAGTTTGTTTTCAATCTTTCACGTACAAAGTTGTAATACACATTTGGAAAATATATCTTTCCAAACTTCGCCAGTATTTCTAGAGGATACATGTATTCCTAGAAGTAAAATTGCTGAGGTCAAAGAGTCGGCCATGTTTCGGAAAACTGCTATTGCGACCCAGTAGGCCCTCAATAGACAAGTCCACTGCGAATTTATTTCTCGCGATGCCTTTCGGGAGTTGTAGTCTTTGCGATGCTTGCTGGGAATCGTGGTCTGAGCCGGTCTCAGGAAGCGGGCGTGGACTAACCCATTGCGCGCCGGGCTTTAGGACCCGGCGGGGCGCGGGGACACGGGAAGGGTCGGGGAGGTCGGGAGCGCGCCCGTGAGCCCGGAGCAGCGGCAGCGTCGGTGGCGTCGAGAGCGAGCGGGCCCGGGAACGGCGCGGGTGGTAGAGGAGGAGCCGCGGGCTCGGTAAGCGGCGGCGGCCAGGCCCGGCCCGGTCCTCGAACCTGACCAACCCTGCGGGTCCTGCCATACTAGGCCTTGGCCCCGAGGCGGTTCTGGGGGCGGGGCCTGCGCTGGCCGCGGGGACGACGAGGACGCGAGGGGAGAGGGAGGGAGGACGGCTGCTGAAGCTGCGTATGCCGGGGAGGGCTGGGCCTGGGGGCGGCCGAGCCTAGAGAGAAACGGCTTCGCTCTTCCAGCGGCCGGTCCCTCGGACCACACGGTCCCGGTCACGTCCCTCTCCCGCATCCCTGCGGGGCCTTCTGGCTTCCGAGGTGCTGACCTTTGACCCCGCCAGCTGCCCCGAGAGCTTCCTCTCCTGCTGTTCTTGGTCCTGGGGTGCGGGCGTAGGGCAAGGCACCTCTGAGAATCTCAGGGATAGAGGAAAGCGGGTTTGTGCGAAGTCTTCAGGTGTCCCGGAAGGGCTCCAGTCCTGTCCCTCTCCAGGCTCTGACAGGCTTTAACCCACTCTTCACACGGAATCAGTGAAGCTACTGTGTTTTCTTTGGGTTACTCGGCGAGAGCCCAGGAAAGGAACCTGTTCCCAGGAGGGTATAGGGAAGGAAAAAGTAGAGAGAAACCTGGTCCCCTGGAGAAGGAGAAGCTGAGGCGTGCTGCCCCTGGCGAATGGGGAAGCAGAAACTTGGGCCATACCCAAATGTATGTCACTGGATCATCCGACCCTCCGCAGTTCTTCCTCTCCAGAAAGTTTTTTATTTTATTTTATTTATTTATTTATTTATTTATTTATTTTGAGATGGAGTTTCGCTGTTGTCGCCCAGTCTGGAGTGCAGTTGCCCGATCTCGGCTTACCACAACCTCTGCCTCCGGGGTTCAAGCGATTCTCCTGCCTCAGCCTTGCGCTACCACGCCCAGCTAATTTTATATTTTTGATAGAGACGGGATTTCTCCATGTTGGTCAGGCTGGTCTCGAACTCCCAACCTCAGGTGATCCGCCCGCCTCGGCCTCCCAAAGTGCTGTGATTAAAGGCGTGAGCCACCGCGCCCGGCCTTTTTTTTTTTGTTTGTTTGTTTGTTTTGTTTTTTGTTTTTTTGAGACGGAGTTTCGCTCTCGTTGCCCAGGCTGGAGTGCAATGGCGTGATCTCGGCTCACTGCAACCTCCGCCTTCCAGGTTCGAGCGATTCTTCCCCGTCAGCCCCCCAAGCAGCTGGGATTACAGACGTGAGCTACCACGCCCGGCTAATTTTTGTATTTTTAGTAGAGACAGGGTTTCGCCATGTTGGCCAGGCTGGTCTCAAACTTCTGACCTCAGATGATTCACCCACCTCGATCTCCCAAAGTGTTCGGATTACAGGTGTGAGCCACTGCGCCCGGCCAGAAAAAGTTTTGAGCTTAGTGAGAGCTTTTTCTTTGCTATCCTTTAGTTGCTTTGTAAACTAGGGTAAATATGATTTGTGTCCCTGCCCGTAACTTAGCAGGATTGGAATTATTTTGGGTGTACCTTAAGTTGGATTTGTGTGCACAATAGCTTCTGTGTGAAGACTTTCAGGATATCAGATCACAGTCAAGGGAAAGAGGGATCCCTCTTGTTACGACTGTAAAGGGGGAATACCCATTTCAGTGACTAGAGAAGCCTTTAAGGTGTTTTCATTGGACTTTTAGGTATTACAATTTATTGTTCAACTTTTTTTTTTTTTTTTTGAGACGGAGTCTCGCTCTGTCGCCCAGGCTGGAGTGCAGTGGCATGATCTTGGCTCACTGCAACCTCCGTCTCTCGGGTTCCAGCGATTCTTCTGCCTTAGCCTTCTGAGTAGCTGTGACTACAGGCGCGCACCACCATGCCTGGCTAATTTTTGTGTTTTTAGTAATGACGGAGTTTCACCATATTGGCCAGGCTGGTCTCCAACTCCTGACCTCGTGATCCACCCGTCTCAGCCTCCCAAAGTGCTGGGATTACAGGAGTGAGTCACTGCCCCCAGCCGACTTGTTCAACATTTGGATAATTAAAACAAGGTGAAAACCTCAAAGCAGTCATTATGAAATTTGGAATCTCACACTGAGCACAGTTTAGGAATCTGTAACATTTGGGGAAAATGGCCAAAAATTGATCCAGGATATATAAGGGTGAACTGTTTATTCAACACATTTATTGAGCACTTACTATGTAACTTTGGGAGGCGGAGGCCGGCGGATCACAAGGTCAGGAGATCAAGACCATCCTGGCTAACATGGTGAAACCCCGTCTCTACTAAAAATACAAAAAATTAGCCGGGTGTGGTGGCGGGCGCCTGTAGTGCCAGCTACTAGGAGGCTGAGGCAGGAGAATGGCATGAACCCAGGAGGCGGAGCTTGCAGTGAGCCGGGATGGTGCCACTGCACTCCAGCCTGGGCGACAGAGCGAGACTCCCTCTCAAAAAAAAAAAAAAAAATTTATACAGTGTAATGGGAATACTGCCATTGCTTGGGAGAGTCAGGGAAATCTTTGCAGGGGGGAGATACTTGAGTTGGGTGTTGAAGGATGAGTAGGAGATTGCACAAGTAAGAAAAGGCATTTTTACTCGGCCTGGTGGCTTATACCTGTAATCCTAGCACTTTGGGAGGCCTAGGCAGGTAGATTGCCTGAGCCCAGGAGTTTGAGACGAGCTGGCTCAACATGGCGAGACCCCATCTCTGAAAAAGAAAAGGCATTTCATTTGGAGAGAACAGTACTTGCAAAGGCTTGGTGAGGATGTGAGAGGAAAAAAAATTATTTTAAATCTCAGAAATTTGTCCCAAACAGGATGTGTGGTGGGGAAACTGCTAGGAGGTGAGACTGAAAAGAAAGTGGGGAGTCATTGGAATTTTTTTCTCTTTTTTTTTTTTTTTTTTTTTTTTTAGCTTCTGAGGAGTTTTTTTTAAGTTAGGGAGTGACAGAAATGCAGATTAAAGTAATGAAGAATGAGGCAGTGAGACTAATTAGAGTTGTTGCAATTGACTGAGAGTCTGAAGAAAGTGTAGCTGTGGGAATGAAGAGGAGGGGATTTTGGAAATACTGTACTTCTGAGATTGATTCAACTTCTTAGGAAGAGAGTGGGCTAGGATTTCTAATTTGAGAGAGTGGATGTATGGGGATTTCATTGACAGGATATGGATTAGAAAAAGTAGAGCAGGTTTCCAAAGGTTAGGGTATGGAAAGAGGCATAGGGGATATGGTTTGGTATGCCGAGCTCAGGTTGCTTGTAGGATGTACCGATGGAGACCTTAGTAGGCAGCTGGAAGTGAGAGACCTGGTGAGCTTAATGTATTGGCACCAGCTTTGAGTGAGGGCATATATGAAAAAAGTCTTGGGGAAAAAAAAATGTTTATTTTATTTGTCTATAAGGAAGTAGCAGATTATGCACTTCCTCCACTTAATAGTGAGCTTCTCAAGGCAGGGACTGTAATTTAGTAATTTTTTGGTCCCTTTCTGTCTTACACTATGCTTATGTAATTTATAAGGTCTTAATAAGTGTTATTCAAGTAGCAGGAAATCAGTTTACTTTGCAAGATTGCAGGTACCTTTTGGGCTTCCTTTATGAAGATTATGGGGTCAGGCAAGGTGTCTCATGCCTGTAATCCCAGCACTTTGGGAGGCCGAGGCTGGTGGATTGCTTGAGCTCAAGAGTTCAAGATTAGCCTGGGCAAGATAGCAAAACCCTGTCTCTACAAAAAATACAAAAATGAGCCGGGTGTGGCAGTGTGAGCCTGTAGTGCCAGCTACTAAGGAGGCTGAGGTGGGAGGGTCGTGTAAGCCCAGGAGGTTGAGGCTGCAGTGAGCTGTGATTGTGCCACTGCATTCCAGCTTGGGCAACAGAGGGAGACTGTCTTTCGGTGGGGCGGGGGAGTGGGGGAAGAAGATGATTATGGGACTTTATCTTATAATTTTCATTTTATATTTAGGTGGTGTTCATGAGGCTTGTATAATTGAGCAGGGGAAGAAATGAGAAGATATGAGTGACAGTGTGCCGTTTGAATAAGTTCAGGGCTGGAGCAGGAGAAAGTATTAATTTACAGGAATCTCCTGCTCATTGAGAAGATCTTACCATGAATTTTCATTCTGGGATGTGTCAGAAAATGTGGTTTCTAATCAGAATTTCCTGAAATACTGTCAATTTGGAGCTGGTTCCCCCTTCGGAAGGAGGAATGCCTTCCTTCTTGTGTAGGATAATTTGAAAGGGAACCAAAGGTGGTCATGTTTATTTAAATGAACGAGAGCTCATCTTCATTGATCATTTGTAACATTAGGCAAACTGAGTAGATGCTGATGGGACCAGATTAAATTGTCTTTTGTGAAGCTAGTTGACCTGTAGTAGGTACAGACTGGCTGATACCTGGGAATAGTCCTGGTTTTGCCATTTGCTTCTTAGTCTTGGGAAAGTCTCTGAGTTACTTCCATTTTCAGGTATAGGCTGAACACCCATTCTGAGGGGAGCATTGTCTAGAGCACACAAGCTATGGACCCTGCCTTGTAGTGGTTTGTGTGCTTCCTTAATCAGTCTGGTTCTGTCCTAGCTTCTAGAAAATAGAGATGATGCTTGTCAGGTGATGTCCTGAGTTGACTGACTTCTTTCTTTTTCTTTTTCTTTTTTTTTTTTTTCCGAAATGGAGTCTCCCTCTGTTGCCCAGGCTGTAGTGCAGTGGCCCAGTCTTGGCTCACTGCAACTTCCGCCTCTTGGGTTCAAGTGATTCTCCTGCCTCAGCCTCCTGAGTAGCTGGGATTACAGACCCCCTCCACCACACCCAGCTACTTTTTGTATTTTTAGTAGAGATGGTGTTTCACAGTGTTGGCCAGGCTGGTCTCGAACTCTTGACCTCAGATGATCCGCCGGCCTTGGCCTCCCAAAGTGCTGATATTACAGGCATGAGCCACTGCGCCCACTTGACTTTTCTTTCTTTCTTTTTTTTTTTTTTTTTGAGACAGAGTCTTGCTCTGTCGCCCAGCAGGGTGGAGTACAAGTGGCACAATCTTTGCTCACTGCAACCTCCCTCTCCCGGGTTCAAGTGATTCTCCTGCCTCAGCCTCTTGAATAGCTGGGATTACAGGTGCTTGCCACCATGCCCAGCTAATTTTTATATTTTTAGTAGAGGCAGGGTTTCACCATGTTGGCCAGGACAGCCTTGAATTCTTACTCTTAAGTGATCTGCCTCGGCCTCCCAAAGTGCTGAGATTACAGGCGTGAGCCACCATGCCTGGCCTTTTTTTTTTTTTTTTTCTGAGATGGAGTCTTGTTCTGTCACCCAGGCTGGAGTGCAGTGGCGTGATCTCAGCTCAGCGCAACCTCTACCTCCCAGGTTCAAGCAATTCTCGTGCCTCAGCATCCCAAGTGGCTGGGACTACAGGCATGTGCCACCACGCTGACTAATTTTTGTATATTTAGTAGAGATGGGGTTTTACCATGTTGGCCAGGCTGGTTTCGAACTCCCGACCTCAAGTGATCCACCTGCCTCGGCCTCCAAGAGTGTTGGGATTACCGACTTGAGCCACCACATTTGGTGACTTTTCTTGGATAAAATGGGAGTGTTGATATTATGGATGTCAGTTTGGAGTTTCTATAGAAGTGTAACTTTAACTGAATCTTTTTATTTATTTATGTATGTATGTATTTATTTATTTATTTGAGACAGAGTCTTGCTCTGTTGCCCAGGCTGGGGCTGGAGTGCAGTGGCGCGATCTCGGCTTACTGCAAGCTCCACCTCTCGGGTTCAGCCATTCTCTTGCCTCAGCCTCCCGAGTAGCTGGGACTACAGGTGCCCACCACCACGCCTGGCTAATTTTTGTTTTTTTGTATTTTTAGTAGAGACGGGGTTTCACCGTGTTAGCCAGGATGGTCTCAATCTCCTGACCTTGTGATCTGCCCTCCTCGGCCTCCCAAAGTGTTGGGATTACAGGCATGAGCCACAGCGCCTGGCTCTATTTTTTTTATTTTTTGAGACTGAGTCTGGCTCTATCGCCCAGGCTGGAGTACAGTGGCGCGATCTCAGCTCGTTGCAACCACCGCCTCCCGGGTTCAAGCGATTCTCGTGCCTCAGACTCCCGAGTAGCTGGGATTACAGTGAATCTGGTTTTTAATGGTCTAGTTAGCTCCTGATGTTTTGCACTAACAGGACATTCTGATAGGGAGAAGCGCTACCAGAGAGAAAGATTTAATGGCTTTATCACTTACTAGTTGTGTTACTTTGGGCAAAGTAATATCCTCATTGTAAAAATAGGTTGGGGCCGGGTGCAGTGGCTCATGCCTGTAATTCTAGCACTTTGGGGGGCCTAGGTGGGAGGATTGCTTGAGCCCAGGAGTTTGAGACCAACCTGGGCAACATGGTGAAACTCAATCTCTACAAAAAATATGAAAAGTTAGCCAGGCCTGGTGGCATGTGCCTGTAGTCCCAGCTACCCAGGAGGCTGAGGTCAGAGGATCCCTGAGGCTGCAGTGAGCCATGATTGTGCCACTGCACTTCAGCCTTGAGACCCTATCTCAAAAAAAAAAAAAAAAAGTTGCAGGCCCTACTCTATTTTCTTTCTTTCTTTTTTTTTGGAAACAGAGTCTCGCTCTATCCCCCAGGCTGGAGTGCAGTGGCGCGATCTTGGCTCACTGCAACCTCCGCCTCCTGGGTTCAAGCAATTCTCCTGCCTCAGCCTCCTGAGTAGCTGGGATTACAGGCACTTGCCACGATGCGTGGCTAATTTTTGTATTTTTAGTAGAGACGGGGTTTCTGCATGTTGGCCAGGCTGGTCTGGAACTCCTGACCTCAAGTGATCCGCCCGCCTCAGCCTCCCAAAGTACTGGGATTACAGGCGTGAGCCACCGTGCCAGCCCTATTTTCATTTTGGATCTATAGAATCCTTGGAGTGAACTAGCAGTAGAAATTCATTAAAATAGAAAGGGGTTATTTGCTTGTCTTAGAGCCAGTCTTTTGGATGGAAGTGGGGGAACCTGTCCCATGCTACTGAAAGAAGCTGTGCTAAGGAACCATGTGGAACAGTAGGATGTGATCTAGCAAGTGAGCTAAATACCTGGGGCTTTTAGAAAAGAAGAAAGAATGATGCCCACATTCTTCACAAAGGAAAAAAAAAAAGAAAGTGAGAGGCATATTAGGAGATAGCTTGAAGGGCTGGGGCTTGGAGATAGAAAAACTGCATTCTCCTTAAGTTCTTATAGTGCTAATGTTTACCTCCAGGTAGTATGTTAGGTCCTGCAGAGAGGCTTAGGGAGCAGGTAACTTTTGCGTAAAGGTTTTTTAAAAAACCCTGTATCTAGAGAAACTAGGGAATTTTTAGGAGATCAGGACAGGAGACTTACTGGAAAGTCAGGGTAGGGGACTATTGCTGGCTTGATATAAACATGTTGTCTCAGCTGGGTGCGGTGGCTCATGCCTGTAATCTCAGCACTTTGGGAGGCTGAGGCAGGCGGATAACTTAAGATGAGTTCGAGACCAGCCTGGCCAACTTGGTGAAGCCCTGACTCTACAAAAAAATACTAAAATTAGCTGGGTGTGGTGGCATGCGCCTGTAGTCCCAGCTACTTGGGAGGCTGAGGCAGGAGAATTGCTGGAACCCAGGAAGCGGAGGTTGCAGTGAACTGAAATCGTGCCATTGCACTCCAGCCTGGGCGACACAGTGAGACACTGTCTCAAAATGAAACAAAACAAAAACGTGTTGCCTCCTTTGTATATTGGGTGAATGGCTCATGGTCAGATAATGGTAATATTTTCTTTGACTTAGCCACAACTCTTGGACAGATAGCTACATAAGATTTTCATCTCCATCACTAAGTATTGTGGATACTATAGTCAGTGTGTCTTGTAGTGATCTTCTTTCACATATGGGGAAATGGGCTACAGTCCCAAAGGAAGTGTGATTTAATGTGGGGAGAATGATATGTGATAAGGTGAGTGTTGCTTCAACGCCCTTTTTAGAGACTGCAGAGGTTTCATTTATTCTCTCAGTATCATCTGTCTAGATACTCCTTCCTTTTCCAAGTCTGGTTTAAGGCTGGGATGAGTACTTCTCAAACTTTAATGGTCATCAGAATTACTTGGGGCAGGGCTTTTTAACCTCTTTGATATTGACATGTTGGGCTGGATAATTCTTTGTTGTGGGAGGCTGCCTCGAGTATTGTATGATGTTTAACAGCATCCCTGGCCTCTACCTAGTAGGTGCCAGTAGTACCTCCTCTCCCAGTTGTGACAATCAAAAATGTCTCCAGACATTGACAAATGTCCCCTGGGAGGCAAAATTGCACCAGTTGAGAATCACTGATCTGGAGTGATTGTTAAAAATGTAGACCCAAGCTAGGCACTGTGGCTTATGCCTGTAATCCCAGCACTTTGGGAGGCCAAGTGGGCAGATCACTTGAGCTCAGGAGTTTTGAGACCAGCCTGGGCAACATGGCGAAATCTCGTTTCTACAAAAAAATGCAAAAATTAGCCAGGTGTGGTGGTGTGTGCCTGTAGTCCCAGCTACTTGGGAGGCTGAGGTGGAAGGATCACTTGAGCCTGGGATGCGGAGGTTGCCGTGAGCCGAGATCATGCCACTGCACCCCAGCCTGGGTGACAGAGTGAGAGGTTGTCTCTCAAAAAAAAAAAAAAAAGTTTGGTTCAATAGAATGGTAGGAAGGCTTAAGAATTTACATATTTAGGAGGCACCCCAGGAGATTCTGAAATAGGGGATCACAGCTCATCAGTATTAAAACATACTCCCTCCTAAGCTGAGGATTGTACAGACTCTTAGTTGACTTGTTTTCCATTTCTTTTTTCTGTCCTGTTTTATAGTATCTTTCTATTCATTATAAAGTTGAGGGAGAATTATCCTCAGAACACTGACTATACTCAATTAAAATAGTGAAAAAAAATTAAAAATCCTCAAAGATAGTGGGAGAGTTTAAAAAAAAATCAATTAAATCCTGTAGTGGACATTAGGGTGTTTTATCCTTAAAAAAATTACCATGTTGGATACATCTATCAACTTGACTAGACACTCAGATTCTTCTCCTGTTTTTCCCTCCAAGTTTTCTGCCATTCCTGTGAATTTGTCTATTTCTGTCTGTTTCACTTTACTATTACCTACATTTACAGACAGATGTATCTACATCAGACAATTATCTTTTACTTTCTACCATGGCACCTTCATCCACTGACAAACTAGAGTGGTGGCTACTCAAGATATCTAGACATTTCACAGTTTGTTCATTAAAGCCCATGAGTACATACTCCCCCTTACTCACCTAGAACCTCTTCACAGTTTCTCTGTAGGCCCTCAGCTTTGTTTATGTATAGATGACTCTGCTCCTGCTCATTCCTCTGCCTTTTGAGATACAGTATAGCATAGTGGAGAAGAACAGGAACTCTAATATCAGGCTGCCTGGGTTTGAGTCCCTACACTCACTTATCTGTACAAGTTTATTTTCTTTTCAATTTTTCTTTTTTTGAAATGGAGTTTCATTCGTTGCCCAGGCTGGAGTGCAGTGGTGCAATCTCGGCTCACTGCAACCTCCGCCTCCTCGGTTCAAGCGATTCTTCTGTCTCAGCCTCTCGAGTAGCTGAGATTACAGGCATGTGCTACCATGCCCGGCTAATTTTGTATTTTTAGTAGAGATGGGGTTTCTCCATGTTGGTCAGGCTGGTCTCAAACTCCTGACCTCAGGTGATCTGCCCGCCTCGGCCTCCAAAGTGCTGGGATTACAGGCATGAGCCACCAGTCTGGCCCATCTTTTCTTTTCTTTTTCTTTTTTTTTTCTTTTTCTCTTTTCTCTTTCTCTCTCTTTTCTCTCTTTCTCTCTTTCTTTCTCTCTCTCCCTCTCTTTCTCTCTTTTTCTCTCTTTCTTTTCCAGTTCATGCTTTAGTTTTCTCATTGTAAACTTTCTGGATCATAGGGTTGATATGAGGATAAAATGAATTAATATATATAAAGTGCTTAGAACAGTGCCTGGTACATAATAAGAGCTAAATAGACTCTGGTTGTTATTTTATTTTTATTTTTTTTGAAATGGAGTTTAACTGTTGTTGCCCAGGCTGGAGTGCAATGGTGCGATCTCGTCTCACTGTAACCTCCTCCACCTGACTTCAAGCGATTCTCCTGCCTCAGCCTCCTGAGTAGCTGGGATTACAGGAATGCGCCACCATGCCCGTCTAATTTTTGTATTTTTAGTAGAGATGGGGTTTCTCCATGTTGGTTAGGCTGGTCTCGAACTCCCAACCTCAAGTGATCCACCTACCTCGGCCTCCCAAAGTGCTGGGATTACAGGTGTGAGCCACCGCGCCTGGCCCTCATTCAATATTTTCTATGTAACTTACTCACATTGCTTCATGTATCAGTAATAGGCTCTTGTAAATTTCTATGTGGTATTCTATTGTATGACTGTATCATAATTGTCCCATTTACTGCTGATGGATATTTGGATTCTTCTTATATATTAAAAAAATTCACAAACACAAAAGACCCACTTTAATAAACTTTACAAAAACATTTCAGAAAAGGAATGTTTATGCTCTGTTTAGGCACGGTGGCATTTCTGTTTCCTGAACACGCCAAGTGCATTCAAATCTTGAGGTCTTTGCACTTGACATTCCATCTCGAACAATTTTCTCAAGATTTTTACTTGCCTGGTTTCTTCCTGTTATTCCAGATCTTAGCCCAAGTGCCATTTCCTCAAAGAGGCCTACTTTAATCTCTCAGTTGAGAGTAGTCCCCTTTGCAATTTGTCTTCAGGGCCCTTATCACTGTCTCAGTTTATCTTATTTGTTGTCTGTTTCCCTTCTACTGGAATGAAAATTCTGTGAGAGCAGGGATCTTTTCTGTCATGTTTACTGCTGTGTTCCCAGTGCTTGTGCCCAAAAGGTACTCAAAAAAAATTTGTCGAATGAATGAGTGAATAAATGTCGGATCTGTACATATTTTTCCCCCTAAACTATTTACTTTTGTTTCGCTCTTTTTTTTTTTTTTTTTTTTGAGACAAGGGCTGGCTCTGTTGCTCAGGCTGGATGCAGTGATGTTAGCTCACTGCAACCTTTGCCTCCTGGGCTCAAGACATCCTCCTGTTTCAGCGTCCCGAGTATCTGGGATTACAGGCTCCCGCCATCACGCCTGTCTAATTTTCATATTTTTAGTAGAGACGGGGTTTTGCCATGTTGCCCAGGCTGTTCTCGAACTCCTGAGCTCATGTGATCTGCCCGCCTCGGCTTCCTAAAGTGCTGGGATTACAGGTGTGAGCCACCACGCCTGGTGTGCACATTTACTTTTATTCATTTTCCTTCTTTCCCCTTCCTTTTTTCTTTTCTTCTCTTCTTTTCCTTCTATACTGGTTGAAGTATTTTAGGATGTTTACCTTAGCATCTAGCTATAACATTGTTTTTGTTTGCCTCAATGTGAAGAGAGGGTGATACTTGGTGACAGTCCATTACAAATGTGAACCTAAGGCTGGGTGCAGTGGCTCACGCCTGCAATTCTAGCACTTTGGGAGGCTGAGGCAGGTGGATTGCTTGAGTTTGAGACCAGCCAGGGCAACATGGCAAAATCCTGTTTCTATAAAAAATACAAAAAATTAGCTGGGTGTGGTGGCGCGCACCTATAGTTCTAGCTACTTGGGAGGCTGAAGCGAGAGGATGGCTTGAGCCCAGGAGGTGGAGGTTGCAGTAAGCTGAGATCATGTCACTGCATCCAGCCTGGACAACAGAGCCAGACTCTGTCTCAAAAAAAAAAAAAAAGGCCGGGCATGGTGGCTCATGCCTGTAATCCCAGCACTTTGGGAGGCCAAGGCGGGTGGATCACGAGGTCAGGAGATCGAGACCATCCTGGCTAACATGGTGAAACTCCGTCTCTACTAAAAATACAACAAAATTAGCCAGGTGTCTCAGCTACTGGGGAGGCTGAGGCAGGAGAATGGCGTGAACCCAGGAGGCGGAGCTTGCAGTGAGCTGAGATGGCGCTGCTGCACTCCAGCCTGGGCGACAGAGCGAGACTCCGTCTCCAAAAAAAAAAAAAAAAAAAGAAAAAAATTAGCTGGGTGTGGTGGCACACATCTGTAGTCCCAGCTACTCACAAGGCTGAGGCACAAGAATTACTTAAACCCAGGAGGCGGAGGTTGCAGTGAGCCGAGATTGCACCACTGCACTCCAGCCTGGGTGACAGAGTGAGACTCTGTCTCAAAAAACAAAAAAAAGTTGTATAACTTGTATCTTCCAGAGAGAAGTGACAGCAGCTCACGTGACTAACAGTCTTTCAGGTTTAGGAATAAAAGCCTTCATTGATTTACCATTCAGTTGAGGGGATTTGAAACCATTTGTAAGTTTGATAGTAGGTGAAATTAGTATTGAAAAGTTGCCTGATTCTTTTTTATAATTTGTCTATGTCTTATGTCTGAGACACTGCCTTAAAGCCTAAACTGACATTTCTGTGGGATTACTGTGCCTTTGCTGTATTTGCTTCTTTGCCAGAAGGATTTAAAAGCTTGGATCAACAGGGGTCATAGCATAGTCACAGAATGTTTCTTTCTCTCCTTTATTATCCCATAGCATTTTCTTTGTACTTCTACTCCATTTATTTCTCATGATTTGCTTTGCACTATGGGTTGTTATGTGTCTGTCTGTGCCAGTAGATTATGAGCTCCCAGAGAATCAAGTCTGGAGTTTCCTCTCTTTAATCCTATAGTGCCTAAACTAGGGCTTTAGGTGCTTTTTATATATTTGTGGTATTTCAGTGATGCTGAGAGAATCATTAGATAATAGTCTGGTTCAATCCTCTTGTTTTACTTGTGAGGAAACTGAGAAGCACAGTAACTTGTCCATGTCACCGAGTTGGTTGGGAGACCTGTGTTCTAATCTCAGTTCTGCTGGTTGCTTGTTCCATTATGCCTTGCAATTTCTCAGCTGATGGTGGTTCTCTCCTCTGGGAAGGAGGGGGATGGTTGTGAAATAGGAAAAAAGTGCTTGAGAATGTACAGATTACACTCACATTACTGATCTGCTGCAACTTTCTGCTCTACCAATCAGATATTTTACTTTTTCTTAGAGATGGAGTTTCACTCTTGTTGCCCAGGCTGGAGTGCAGTGGCGCAATCTCGTCTCACCGCAACCTCTACCTCCCAGGTTCAAGCGATTCTCCTGCCTCAGCCTCCTGAGTGGCTGGGATTACAGGCATGAGCCATCATGCCTGGCTAATTTTGTATTTTTAGTAGAGACGGGGTTTCTGCATGTTGGTCAGGCTGATCTCGAACTCCCAACCTCAGGTGATCCGCCCACCTTGGCCTCCCAAAGTGCTGCGATTACAGGCGTGAGCCACTGCACCCGGCCGATATTTTACTTTCAAAATTAGGAGCATAGGCTTAATTTCTGAGACCCAAGGAAAAAGTTTTGTTAGAGTTCTGTAGTTCTCCCAGTCTGCCACCTTAGAAACTCCCTGGGTAGGAGTGCTGGCAGGAGGAGAAGACTTTATGTTGTCATTTTCCAGTCACATTTCAGGCAGCTTGGGTGGTAAATTTCAGTTGCCTGTGATGACAGAGAGTAGTGAGTTGAGGCCTTGGCTGATTTTCCTGCTGCTCCACATGGAAGGAGTAAAATGATGAAAAGAATTTAATTTCTTAGGAAATTTGGTAGTTTGGATTGGAATTGTTTTTCCCTCCTCTCCTATTCCCTTTGCTTATTAGAAAGTATTGATTCTGAAATAGAGAAAGTGAATTTATTAGATTTGGGGTGGACATTGATTAGCTGTAACCCAATTATAAATCCTCAGAAGGGGATATTTGTAAACATGTACTTATCACGTCTAAGAACTTGTGGTTCCCACTCTTCCTGCTAATCAACTGGTTGAAGCTGAGCACAGGCAAGATCCATATCCACTAAGTTTAGAATTGCATTGCTTTTGATTTATTCTAATAGGATTCTCTTGATTTCCAATTTATTTTTCCTGGATAAAGACATCTTCCTCTTGACAACATGTTTAAAAGACATGTTGAATGGAGGCTGTATTTCATGCTTTAAGGAAAAGCCATGATCAATACAATGTAAATTGTCCCAAAGAGTCTTCTCTTTTCGTTATTGTTATTATTTTTTTCATCAGTTTTCTCTGGACCATAACAGAATTTGAGGGCTAAATTAAGCCTCAGTAGAGATATGTCTTAGTAAAATTTTAGGTCAGGCTGGGGACAGTGGCTCATGCCTGTAATCCCAGCACTTTGGGAGGCCGAGGCAGGCGGATCATGAGGTCAGGAGTTTGAGAGCAGCCTGGCCAACATAGTGAAACCCCGTCTCTACTAAAGATACAAAAAATTAGCCAGGCATGGTGGTACACACCTGTAATCCCAGCTACTTGGGAGGCTGAGGCAGGAGAATCACTTGAACCTGGGAGACAGGTTTCAGTAAGCTGAGATCACGCCATTGTACTCCAGCCTGGGTGACAGGGTGAGACTCCATATCAAAAAAAAAAAAAGTCTAAAAATAAAATAAAAATACCTAGTTGGAGAAATTTCCTGTGCTTTAGTGTATGCTCAAAGATGAATCTCCTCTCTTTGCTATATGTGTTAGAGAAGGACAATGTCTAAGATACAATCTTTTGTACTATTGGATACATCTCTTCCTTAAACAAAATTTTGATTTTGATCAGAAAGATAGTGCACATTTTCCAAAAGTCACTGATCAAAATTAGTTCTGCTGTGTCGGTTTTGTCTGGAAGTAAAATCTGGCCTCTCCCTATCTCACATACTTGTCATTGGATGAGATTAAGTTTCATATCTAGAGCGTAGGATTTAAAGGAAAGAGAGGAAATTTGTTAATAATGAAAAGAACCTGGGAGGTGAAGGGAATATGTGTAAATTCGCAGTAAAGACCTGTGGGATTTCGGGTTCTCAATTGAAAAAAAAAATCGAGAATTCCGTGAAGCAAGATGGGAACATTTGGCCATGATTCATGAAACTACTTTTATATAGAATTGAAAAATACCTTGGAGTTTGATCTGCAATAGTGTTTTACCTACATATATATATATATATATATATTATATATATATATATGTACACACAATTAAATTTGAAAGTAGTATATTACTCTATTCAGTTATTTTAAATCGGATTTTTTTGGCCTCTTAGCTGCTATTTTCTGCCTTGGGTCTCTTTCCAGAGGAATTTCTAAAGACAGTCAAGTGCAGTGTGATTTATGAGGCAGTAAAGGCCAAGTACTTTGCAGTGACGAGGACCTACTTACTTTGGGGAAATCAATGAAGCACATCAGTCTGCAGCACACTTCCTGCCTTAATGGTCCTAAGCTCGATCAATATTTGAAATTTAACTTCACCATCAGTCTGTGGGCAGTGTGTGCTTTGCTGCCTTCCTTCCATCAACCTCAAATATATGGCCAGACCTATTACAGATGGAGCGAGTTACACTTTTGTGTTTGGTTTTGGATCTGCTTTAAGCCTTGTCCACTGGCACATTTTAAGAATGTAAAATGTGTTGTGCTGTTGGCCAAGTAATGATTTAAACCTTGACATTACCTAGTCAGGGAGGGGAGTGTTGGACAGATGCACAAGCTCTGTAGCATGGTTGTTTATCAGTTCTTCTTCCTAAACGTTGTCTCATTAAGTGGTACGTCAGTGACTCCAGCACCTTGGAGAGCATTCTGGCACTGACTGGCTTTCTTTTCTTTTCTAAGATTTAATTTTTTTAGAGCTGTTTTTAGGTTCACAGCAAAATTGAAAGGAGAGGGCAGAGATAGCCCATACGTCTGCTTCCTTCACACATGCATTGCCTCCTCTATTGACAACATCCCCCACTAGAGTGGCATTTGTTATAAATGATGAACTTACATTCATATATTGTTACCACCCAAAGTCCACAGTTTACATTAGGATTCACTCTTGGTGTTGTATATTCTATGGGCTTGGACAAATGTATGACATATATCTGCCATTATAGTATCATACTGAGTATTTTCACTATTCTAAAATGTGACTTTCTGTTCACAGATTCTCTAACCATGGCACAGGTAGAGAAACGTGGAGGTTTGCTCCGGAAATCTTCAGCCTCCAAAAAACCACTGAAGGAAAAAGTGGTGCTGATGTATGATGAGATCTTCATGGTAAGGCCTGCGGCCTTGTTGTGTACAGCTTGAGTCTTTAGTTTCTTAGTCCAAGATGAGAAATACCCTTACCTCTGCCTGCTACCTTCAGGTTCCTTGGGGGATGTGGGACAGGGGAGAGAAAGAGGGTTTGAGGGCAAAAATGAAAGCTGTCAGAGTAGAGATTATAATCATGTATTAATTAATATAGGTTGTTATTGTGTTGTCCTTATAGGTTGTTGCCATGAGCCAGGTAAAACAATTGAAAGGAGGGAGGAAGGCTGGGGAAGCTCCTTTTCTGAATATTTTAAAGAAAGACTTGCTCTCCTTATGCTCTAACTTAGGGCTATCTTATCCTAGATGTCTCATGAAGTTTCTTTTGGACCTAGAATTCTATAATTCAGATACTTTTAAAGGATACATTATTATATTCCATCTCAAGTTGTTGGTGAAGGAAATAATTACTTAGGACTATCTCATTCTCCAACTATAGGGGATAACTGAGGAATTATTAGTAATTGGGTGGGGGATTTCTTTGGGTCTTCAGAACTGATTGGTCCAAGCCTATATTGTAAAATATACCCTATCAGGGGCTGGGCGCGGTGGCTCCCGCCTGTAATCCCAGCACTTTGGGAGGGTGAGGTGGGTGGATCACAAGGTCAAGAGTTCGAGACCAGCCTGACCAACATGGTGAAACCCCGTTTCTACTAAAAATACAAAACTTAGCCGGGCATGGTGGTGCGCTCCTGTAATCTCAGCTATTCGGGAGGCTGAGGCACAAGAATCACTTGAACCCGGGAGGCAGAGGTTGCAGTGAGCCGAGATTGTGCCACTACACTCCAGCCTGGGCAACAGAGTAAGACCCTATCTCAAAAAAAAAAAATACACTATCAAGGAAGATTAATTAGATATGCTGCAGGGGTACTTGCCTTCTGAAATTCTGGTCATAAGTAGTACGCATAAAGTAGAATAATACTTACAAAAAGAATTACTGGCTGGGTGTAGTGGCCCATGCCTGTAATCCTAGCACTTTGGGAGGCTGAGTGGGTGGATCTCTTGAGCCCAGGAGTTCAAGACCAGCCTGGGCAACATGGCAAAACCTCATCTCTACAAAAAAAATACAAAAATTATCCAGGTGTGGTGGCGTGTGCATGTAGTCCCAGCTACTTGGGAGGCTGAAGTGGGAGGATTGCTTAAGCCCAGGAGGTCAAGGCTGCAGTGAACTGTGATCATGCCACTGCATTCTAGCTTGGGCAAGAGTGAGACCCTATCTCAAAAAAAAGAAAAAAAAAAAAGACCATATATTGGGTTTCTATTATGTGCCTGGAGCATTCTAAATGTATCACTAAATATAGAGGAGTTCTAATTCTGACAGGAATTCTGTGAGGGCACTGGTAGTATCCTCATTTAACAGATGAAGTAATTTGAGATCTCTGCTGGAAGGTGATGGAGCTGTGATTTGAACCCTGGTGCCTGATTCCAAAGCCATGGCTAAGAATAAATAATTCAGTCCACTAAAATACCTAACTTTGGCAAGCCTTGGAAACAGAGTGCAGAAGATTAATACAGATTGCCCAGGCCAGTACAAGCAGCTATACAGAGAAAATAAGTAGGTGCTAGGATCCTATTAGGATTCTTTTGGCTGGGCGTGGTGGCTCATGCCTGTAATCTCAGCACTTTGGGAGGCCGAGGTGGGCGGATCACGAGGTCAGGAGATCGAGACCTTCCTGGCTAACATGGCGAAACCCTGTCTCTACTAAAAATACAAAAAATTAGCTGAGCATGGTGGTGGGCGCCTGTAGTCCCAGCTACTTGGGAGGCTGAGGTAGGAGAATGGCATGAACCAGGGAGGTGGAGCTTGCAGTGAGCTGAGATCGCGCCACTGCACTCCAGCCTGGGCGACAGAGCGAGACTCCATCTCAAAAAAAAAAAAAAAAAAAAAAAGGATTCTTTCTTTTTTACGCAAGCTTGGTGTATACAACTCCTGCTTGAGTGAGCTTTGGGGATGGGAAGTGCCAGTTCCATGAATTCCCTCCGTTTCATTTGTAGACAATACAGTGATATTACAGAAGTGTGAGGGTCAAACTGTGACCTCTGCTTGGGAGCAGGACTTGAGAGAAAGTGATAGATAGAATCCATTAAGTGGCTGGGTGTGGTAGCTCACACCTGTAATCCCAGCTACCCTGGGAGGCTGAGGTGCATGGATTGCTTGCGGCCAGAAGTTTGAGACCATCTCGGGCAACATATCGAGACTCCCCTCTCTAATAACAAAATTAAGTGGGTGTAGTGGTATGTATCTGTAGTCCCAGGTAGTACCAGCTACTCCTAGCTACTATAGGAGGCTGAGGTGGGAGGATCCCTTGAGCCTAGGAGTTCAAGGCAGCAGCTAGCTATAATTGCACCATTGCATCCAGCCTGGGTGACAGAGTGAGAACTTGTCTCTAAAATAAGTAAATAAATAAAATAAATAATTAATTTAAAAATGAGGACGTTGTGAGAAGGCCAGAGATGTTGCTTCTTTATGCCATTCTCCATTAAAAATCCAGAAGAGGCTAGGTGTGGTGGCTCACGCCTGTAATCCCAGCAGTTTGTGAGGCCAAGGGGGGCAGATCACATGAGGTCAGATGTTTGAGACCAGCCTGACCAAGGTAGTAAAACCCCATGTCTACTAAAAATGCAAAAATTAACTGGGCGTGGTGGTGCATGCTTATAATCCCAGCTATTTATGTGAGTCCAAGGCAGGAGAATCGCTTGAACCCGGGAGGCAGAGGTTGCAGTGAGCTGAGATCTTGCCATTGCACTACAGCCTGGGTGACAGAGCAAGAATCCATCTCAAAAAAAAAAAAAAAAGAAAACAAAATCCAGAAGAGATTATTAATATTTTATTAGATCAGGACTTAACTAGTGATGACATTAGTTACTGGTAGTAATTTTATGCTGTTTTATTTTAATTAATCAATTATTTATTTATTTATTTATTTTGAGGTGGTGTCTTGCTCTGTCGCCCAAGCTGGAGTGCAGTGGCGTGATCTCGGCTCACTACAGCCTCCACCTCCTGGGTTCAAGCAATTCTCCTGCCTCAGCCTCCCAAGTAGCTGGGATTATAGGCGCATGCCACCATGCCTGGCTAATTTTTGTTTTGTTTTCTTTCTTTTTTTTTTTTTTTTATTGATCATTCTTGGGTGTTTCTCGGAGAGGGGGATTTGGCAGGGTCATAGGACAATAGTGGAGGGAAGGTCAGCAGATAAACAAGTGAACAAAGGTCTCTGGTTTTCCTAGGCAGAGGACCCTGCAGCCGCAGTGTTTGTGTCCCTGGGTACTTGAGATTAGGGAGTGGTGATGACTCTTAACGAGCCTGCTGCCTTCAAGCATCTGTTTAACAAAGCACATCTTGCACCGCCCTTAATCCATTTAACCCTGAGTGGACACAGCACATGCCCCAGAGAGCACAGGGCTGGGGGCAAGGTCACAGATCAACAGCATCCCAAGGCAGAAGAACCCCTCCCAGTACAGAACAAAATGAAGTCTCCCATGTCTTCTACTTTCTACACAGACACAGCAACAATCTGATTTCTCTAGCTTTTCCCCACCTTTCCCCCTTTTCTATTCCACAAAACCGCCATCGTCATCATGGCCCGTTCTTAATGAGCTGTTGGGTACACCTCCCAGACGGGGTGGTGGCCGGGCAGAGGGGCTCCTCACTTCCCAGAAGGGGCGGCCGGGCAGAGGCGCCCCCCACCTCCTGGACGGGGCGGCGGCCGGGCGGATGTGCCCCCCCATCTCCCTCCCGGACGGGGCGGCTGGCCGGGCGGGGGCTGACCCCCCACTTCCCTCCCGGACGGGGCGGCTGGCCGGGCGGGGGCTGACCCCCCACCTCCCTCCCGGATGGGGCGGCTGGCCGGGCGGGGGCTGCCCCCCACCTCCCTCCCAGACGGGGTGGCTGCCGGGCGGAGGTGCTCCTCACTTCCCAGACGGGGCGGCCGGGCGGAGACGCTCCCCACCTCCCAGTCGGGGTCGCGGCCGGGCAGAGGTGCTCCCCACATCTCAGACGATGGGCGGCTGGGCAGAGACGCTCCTCACTTCCTAGACGGGATGGCCGCTGGGAAGAGGCGCTCCTCACTTCCCAGACTGGGCAGCTGGGCAGAGGGGCTCCTCACATCCCAGAGGATGGGCGGCCATGCGGAGACGCTCCTCACTTCCCAGTCGGGGTGGCGGCCGGGCAGAGGCTGCAATCTCGGCACTTTGGGAGGCCAAGGCAGGCGGCTGGGAGGTGGAGGATGTAGCGAGCCGAGATCACACCACTGCACTCCAGCCTGGGCAACATTGAGCGCTGAGTGAACGAGACTCCGTCTGCAATCCCGGCACCTCGGGAGGCCGAGGCTGGCGGATCACTCGCGGTTAGGAGCTGGAGACCAGCCCGGCCAACACAGCGAAACCCCGTCTCCACCAAAAAAATACGAAAACCAGTCAGGCGTGGCAGCGCGCGCCTGCAATCGCAGGCACTCCGCAGGCTGAGGCAGGAGAATCAGGCAGGGAGGTTGCAGTGAGCCGAGATGGCAGCAGTACAGTCCAGCTTCGGCTCGGCATCAGAGGGAGACTGTGGAAAGAGAGGGAGAGGGAGACCGTGGGGAGAGGGAGAAGGGAGAAGGGAGAGCTTGTTTTCTTTTTTGAGACTGAGTCTCGCTCTGTTGCCCAGGCCGGAGTGTAGTGGCACAATCGTGGCTCACTGCAACCTCCACCTCCCGGGTTCAAGCCATTCTCCTGCCTCAGCCTCCTGAGTAGCTGGGACTACAGGCTCCTTGCACCACACCTGGCTAATTTTTTGTATTTTTTATTTCACTGTGTTAGCCAGGATGGCCTCCATCTCCTGACCTCGTGATCCGGGCGCCTCGGACTCAGCCTGCCAAAGTGCTGGGATTACAGGTGTGAGCCACTGTGCCCAGCTATTTTTGTATTTTCAGTAGAGATGGGGTTTCACCGTGTTCGCCAGGCTGGTCTCAAACTCTTGACCTCAGGTGATCCACCCGCCTCAGCCCTACAAAATGCTGACGTTACAGGTGTGAGCCACTGTGCCTGGCCTATTTACTTATTTATTTTTATTTTTTATTTATTTATTTTTGTTTTTGAGATGGAGTTTTGCTCTTGTTGCCCAGGGTGGAGTGCAATGGCATGATCTCAGCTCTCCGTGACCTCTGCCTCCTGGGTTCAAGCGATTCTCCTGCCTCAGCCTCCCGAGTAGCTGGGATTACAGGCATGGGCCACTGCACCTGGCTGTCTCCTGGTAGTAGTTTTAAAAGGTCAGCTTAAAATAAGGTGGTAGTGGGCTATTGACCTACTTATTTTATGCCATTCCCCTTTCTTTAAAGTAGGGCTTCTCTTTTTTTTCTTTTTTTTTTTTGAGATGGAGTCTCGCTCTGTGGCCCAGGCTGGAGTGCAGCAGTGTGATCTCGGCTCACTGCAAGCTCCGCCTCCCAGGTTCACGCCATTCTCCTGCCTCAGCCTCCCTAGTAGCTGGGACTACAGGTGCCCACCACCACGCCCGGCTAATTTTTTGTATTTTTAGTAGAGATGGGGTGTCACCGTGTTAGCCAGGATGGTCTCGATCTCCTGACCTCGTGATCTGCCCACCTCAGCCTCCCAAAGTGCTAGGATTACAGGCATGGGCCACCGTGCCTGGCCGGGGTTCTCTTTTTCTTGTTTTACCCATTAACCAGCAGCTTCTGACTTCCTAGAATTTGTTTGAACATTATTGCTAGGAAATTTTGGATTTTAGCATGATAATTTTGCTTACTCTTTGGACCAATTTAAATTAAGAAATTTAGAGCACATTAAAAGCTCTGTACAGAATACTAAATGCATATGGAGGGCAAGTAGAAGCAGTCAACACAGCATGCTGTAAAAACCACTGTGGTATTACTGAGGTGATCTGAATTCTGGCTCCTGAACTTGTGTAAGTCACTTAACTTGTGTACTCTCTTTCCTAAAATGGGAGGACGGTGATAATATCTGTCCTTCCTGGCTCACTGGATTGTATTTCACATATGTGAATAGGTTTGAAAACAACACTGTACCAATGCACGGGAGGCATGTTGTGATGTGACTAACTTATTCTGATGTTTATGTTCATTTCTTGCTAGAAGATAAATATTTTAGGGAAGTTCTTTGAGCTATTATTTAACTTTTGGTGCAGAGAATATATATCCATGCACACAGTTTTCCACTTGGGAAAAAAAACACAAAGAGATAAGTGTTCTTTTTCCCCTTCTAGCAGTTTAGAATGACCAAGAATTTTCAAAGTTAATTTTGAAAACTAAGGGGCCGGGTGCGGTGGCTCACGCCTGTAATCCCAGCACTTTGGGAGTCTGAGGCGGGCGGATCATGAGGTCAGGAGATCAAGACCATCCTGGCTAACATGGTGAAACCCTGTCTCTACTGAAAATACAAAAAATTAGCCGGGCGAGGTGGTGGGCGCCTGTAGTCCCAGCTACTCAGGAGGCTGAGGCGGGGGAATGGCGTGAACCCTGGGGGGCGGAGCCTGCAGTGAGCCGAGATCACGCCACTGTACTCCAGCCTGGGCGACAGCGAGATTCCATCTCAAAAAAAAAAAAAGAAAACTAAGGTTGACTATGTATAGTATTCTTAATGCTTTTGGTGTTAGCTGGGAAGGCTGAATGTGCTTATATTCTGGTTTCAGACAGAGGACCCCAGTAAGTGCAGTCCTCGGTTTTGGGAGGAGCTCTTTCTCATGAAGGTAAGAGTTGGTGGCATCTGTGGAATTTCCTGGTAACTAAAATTGCCTTCTCATATATTCTAGGCGCTAAGCTAAAAATGCACTCTGCCCCTTATTTGTTTCCTTGGCAGGTGAATTTAGAGTACCTAGAAGGCAAGCTGGAATCTCTTGATGGTGAGGAGTTAATGAAGATCAAGGACAATATTAATTGCTTATTCCAACACTGCATCCAGGCTCTGGGAGAGGAGCATCCAATTCGGGTTGTCAATGCATTGCAGGTACAAGGCTGGGAGACTGGGGAAGTCTTGTTTAACAGGAGAAAGGAATTGTAACACATCTGTTTGAACTGAGGAACCTAGAGTTGCTCTGAGGTATGAGGTTTTCTTTTTTATTTCTGTAAGTTACCAAATATTTATGCCACGTTTGTTTAGCCATCTTTCTATTTATACAAATTGACACTTAGGAGTAATCGTATCCATTTGTATAATTTGATCTAATGCTAAAGTAGATTCTTAGACAGAATTCTTGTTTTTGCTTGAGAAAGGGAAGAAGTAGAGAGGAAACTGAGGCAAGAATGATTAGTCTTTATCAAAAATCAGAAGACTGCTGGGCACGGTGGTTCACGCCTGTAATCCTAGCACTTTGGGAGGCTGAGGTGGGCAGATCACTTGAGGTCAGGAGTTCGAGACCAGCCTGACCAACATGGTGAAACCCACCTCTACTAAAAATACAAAAATTAGCCGGGCATGGTGGTGGGCACCTGTAATCCCATCTACTCAGGAGGTTGAGGCAGGAGAATTGCTTGAACTCGGGAGGCGGAGGTTGCAGTGAGCCGAGATTGCACCACTGCACCCCAGCCTGGGCAACAGAGCGAGACTCCATCTCAAAAACCAAAGATTTTGAAAGGAATCTGTAATTCAGAAAACATTAAGAAACTGTTCTTTATGTTAGGTGGCATGATCATAAAATTCATTCAACAACTATTCCTTGAATTGTTATGTGCCAGGCATTGGGCTGGATGATAGAGATATACTACAGAGTTCTTGAGGGAAGAGACTTTGAGAGTTTCATTCAGTAGTTTGTTTCCAGTGAGTAGAATACTCCTTGTGCCCAGAGAGCAGTGCATAGCAAATAGTACTCTAGAAGTAAGTTCTTATTGAATGAATGGTGACAAAGTTTCTAAAATTTAGTCTAGTAAGTTTAGTATAGTCTAGATTGAGAGTACTTAGGGCAGTGATTGATAGGTTTAGAATATGAAGAATCCTGGGCTGGGCGCGGTGGCTCATGCCTGTAATCCGAGCACTTTGGGAGGCCAAGGCGGGAGGATCACGAGATCAGGAGATCGAGACCATCCTGGCTAACAGGGGGAAACCCCATCTCTACTAAAAATACAAAAAATTAGCCGGGCGTGGTGGCGCATGCCTGTAATCCCAGCTACTTGGGAGGCTGAGGTGAGAGAATGGTGTGAACTGGGAGACGGAGCTTGCAGTGAGCTGACATGGTGCCACTGCACTCCAGCCTGGGCGACAGAGCGAGACTCCGTCTCAAAAAAAAAAGAATATGAAGAATCCATGATAGGATACATAATTTTATTGGAACTTGTGATAGATTGGGTTTAAGTTTCTAACATACTAGTTAGGCAGATCACTTTGTGAGCCCCAGTTTTCTCATCTGTAGAATGGCAATAATAATTACCTCTTGAGTTGATGTCCCAGAAAGATGGACCATGTTTATTCTATAGCTTTGTTAACTTTTGGCACAATAAGTTCCACCTTTTAAGTTGTAGCATAGGGGCTCAATGAAAGTTGGAAATTGTACTTCCAGTAATTGCAGTGCTCATTGTGTGGGCATGAATTGTAGACTGTTTTATTTCAGTGGAAATAAGTTGACATTAAGCCACTTAGTGACCCATAAAATATTGTACATTGTTATAATAGCTTATACTTACTGAGCTCTAACAGAGTTCCAGGGACTAAGTACTTTACAGTATTATTTCACATAGCCCTCATAATGTTCCTACAAGATGGATGCTATTATTATCATTCCTACTTTATAGATGAGAAAACTGAGCCACTGGAAAGTTAACTAATGTGTGTGTCTGGGTTCTCACAGCTAGTAAGTAGTGGATGAGGATTATGAAGATTTTAAGATTTGAAGCAGTTGGCTATTATATAAGGGACTTAACTGTTATAGTTATTAAAAATAATTATAAAAACTGTTGGCCAGGCGTGGTGGCTCACGCCTGTAATCCCAACACTTTGGGAGGCTGAGGGGGGCAGATCACTGGCAGGAGTTCGATACCAGCCTGGCCAACATGATGAAAACCTGTCTCTATTAAAAAACTACAAAAATTAGCCAGGCGTGGTGGTGCACACCTGTAACTCCAGCTACTAGGAAGACCGAAGCATGGGAATCACTTGAACCCAGGAGGTGGAGGTTGCAGTGAGGCGGGATCACTCACGCCACTGCACTCCAGCCTGGGTGACAGAGTGAGACTCCGTCTCAAACAAAAACAAAAACAAGACAAAACAAAACAAAAAAAACTGTTAAACTGTAATATAAATGCCAAAATTATTATTATTATTATTATTTTTGAGACGGAGTTTCACTCTTGTTGCCCAGGCTGGAGTGCAATGGAGCGATCTCGGCTCACTGCAACATCCGTCTCCTGGGTTCAAGGATTCTCCTGCCTCAGCCTGCTGAATAGCTGGGATTACAGGCATCTGCCTCCACACTTGGCTAATTTTTTGTATTTTTAATAGAGACTGGGTTTCACCATGTTGGCCAAGCTGGTCTCGAACTCCTGACCTCAGGTGATCCACTTGCCTCAGCCTCCCAAAGTGTTGGGATTACAGGCTTGAGCCACTGCGTCCGGCCCCAAAATTAATTTTAAATAAAGGAAAACTCCACCAATCCCATGATTGAACTCAAGAACTATTTTTAATCTTTGAATATCACCTCCCAGTCTGCTTTATAATTTTTAAAAACAAGATGACAAGAAAATAAAAAATGAGGATGACAGCAGTCTCAGTTACTGTTCCTCTTTTATTTGCTGGATTTTGCACATACTGAGACTCAGACTGGGCTGGGCACAGTGGCTCACATTTCTAATTCCAGAACTTTGGGAGGCTGAGGCAGGAGGATCACTGGAGCCCAGGTGTTGGAGACCAGTCTGGGCAACATGGTGAGACCCTGTCTCTACAAAAAATAAAAAAATTAACCAGGTGTGGTGGAGCACACCTGTCATCTCAGCTACTTGGAAGGCTGAGGTGGGAGGATCACCTGAGCCCAGGAGGTCAAGGCTGTAGTGAGCTGTGATTATGCCACTGCACTACAGTCTTGGTGAAGAGCGAGACCTTGTCTCAAAAAAAAAAACAAACAAACAAAAAAACCGAACCAAACGGAAAAAACCAAAAAAACTCAGACTGTGTTTTGGAGCTCAGAACTCAGAGAAATTGAATTTATTCAGTGTCAGCTGTGTAAGGATGAGGCTGCAATGTGGGTCTACAGACCCTGAGACTTCCTCTCCAGAAAGAATTCTTTCTCTCATTTCTGCAGACCCTGTGCGCACTCATTCGAGGAGTCCATCAAAAGAATAAGTCTACCTCTGGGTTTGACATTATCAACATGCTGATGGGCTTTGACAAGGCGGAGCTGTGCATGAAGGTGAGGCATAAGCTGCAGATGTGCCTGTGGATGGCAGCTTCTGACAGCTGTTCCTGGACACTATCAGCAGACAAATGTACTCAAAGATTTGGACTCAGAAAGATACAGATGATTGAATTTGGCCTTGCATTTAGATGTTTTTATTTCACAGATTTGCTTTATCTGAATAAAGGAAAATTTTAAATTCAAATTTGAATGGAGGTATTCTTTCCCTGCGGGATAAAGACAGAATAGTTTATTTTATTACTCGTATCATATGATCATACATTCTTAAGAACATTTATGAATTTAAATAAAATATAACAACATACAAGGGTAACTTTAATTCTAAACTTTAAGCTTATTTAACACAATTACTTTGATTTTATCAGAATTTTTCTTTCTGCTGTTTGACACTATCTTTTTAAAATAACAGCCTTATAATTCATATAGCATAAATCCACCCTTTTAGATTGTACAATCTGACCAGGCGCCATGGCTCATGCCTGTAATCCTAGCGCTTTGGGAGGCCAAGGCAGGCGGATTGCTTGAGCTAAGGAGTTTGAGACCAGCGTGGGCAACATGGCAAAACCTCGTCTCCACAAAAAATACAAAAATTATCTGCGTATGGTGGCACGTGCCTGTAAGTCCCAGCTAGTTGGGGGAGGCTGAAGTGGTAGGACTGCTTGAACCTGGGAGGTGGAGGTTGCAGTGAGCCAAGATCATGCCACTGCACTCCAGGCTGGGCAACAGAGCAAGACCCTGTCTCAAAAAGAAGAAAATAAATAAAGTGTACAATCCAGTGGATTTTAGTATATTCATAGAATTATACAATTATCATCACTATTAATTTCAGAACATTTTCATCACCCTAGAAAGAAAACCTGTACCCATTAGCAGTCATTCCCCAATTCTCCACTCTTCTCAACCCTTGGCAAGCATTAATCTGCTTTATGTCTCTATGGGTTTAGCTGTTCTGGACACCTCATATAAATGGAATCATATCATATGTAGCCTTTTGAGTCTGGCAGTTACTTCACATAATGTTTTTGTGGTTCCTCCATATTATAGGATGTATTAGTATTTCATTCCTTTTTATTGCCTAATAATATTCCTTTGGCTGGAGATACTCACTATATTTTGTTTAGCCATTCCTCAGTTGATAGGTATTTGGGTCCTTTCAACATTTTGGCTATTAGGAATAATGCTGCTATGAATGTTCATGTATAAGTTTCTGTATGGATGTATGCTCGTATTTATTTATTTATTTATTCATGAGATGAGGTCTTGCTATGTTGACCCAGCTGGTCTTGAACTCCTGGCCTCAGGTGATCCTCCTGCCTCAGCCTTCCAAAGTGCTGAGATTATAAGCATGACCCACTGCACTCAGGCCACACATATGTTTTAAATTCTCTTGGGCATATACCTAGGTGTAGAATTGCTGGGTCACATGGTAACTCTATATTTGACATTTTAGGAACTACCAAACCATTTTTCCATAGGGGCTGTTCCATTTTATAATTTCACTAGCAATGTATGAGGGTTCAAGTTTCTGCACATTATGTCAACAGTTGTTTTTGTCTGTCTTTTCTTTATTTTTTTTTTTTGGAGAAAAGTCTTTCATATCCTTTGTCCATTTCTAGATGGGGGTGTCTTTTTTTGTTGAGTTATAAGAGTTCTTTTCGTATTCTGAATATGTCCCTTATCAGATATATGATTTGCAGTGTTGGACACCATATTGAATGAATGTTATTTGAACTTTGAAGAACAGTCTTCTGTCACTCATTAAATTTAAAATAAATCTGTATACCAGAGAATCTTTATAATGATTAGGTTACAAAAAAAGTTATTAATATATAATTATAAATATACAAATATTTAATACTTAGAGTTATTTTTAAATTCTGGCCTTTTGCAGTTCATATATATGTCATGGTAAAATCCCAGATAGCTCCTCATTCTCATAATTCTAACTACTGCTTGTATGTTGATGACTGCTAAGTGTCTGTCTTTAGCCTTAATGTCTCTTCATGATCTCAGAGTTGTATCCTCTGCAAGTACTTGCTGAGTGTACTCACTGACACATCCCATAAGTACTTCTTGCTTGATATATCCAGAATGGAGCTCACTGTTTCTCCTGCATCTCTTCTTCCTCATTCATTCTCTTTCAGAATGGGAGCAGCTGTCTTCACAGGCCCCACGCTGTGATGAGGGGACTTCTCATCTTTTATCTCCAGATGATCACCAAGTTCAGCTAATTTTACCTCAGTTCATATTCCTCATACTTGTCTTCTTCTGTTACCACCATCTCTATTATGCTATCTCTCACCAGAACTATTACAGTGATGCCTTCATTCATTCTTTTTTTTTTTTTTTTTTTGAGACGGAATCTCACTCTGTCACCTAGGCTGGAGTCCAGTGGTGCAATCTCGGCTCACTGCAACCTCCCTGTCCTGGGTTCAAGCGATTCTCCTGCCTCAGCCACCTGAGTAGCTGGGATTACAGGCATGCGCCACCACACTCAGCTAATTTTTGTATTTGTAGTAGAGACAGGGTTTCACCCTGTTGGCCAGGCTGGTCTCGAACTCCTAACCTCAGGTGATCTGCCTGCCTTGGCCTCCCAAAGTGCTGGGATTACAGGCATGAGCCACTGCACCCAGCCCATTCATTCTTTTGACAAATATTTGTTGGGCCCCTATATGCCAGGTACTGTGGTAGGCACTGAGGATACAAGAGGCAAATAAGACATGGCAACTGTCTCAGGAAATTGAAGTCCTCATTAGTCTCCATGCTTACAAGCTTACCATCTTTAAATCCATCATCCACACTGACACCACAACTGTGTGGCATTAGTGTATATATCTTACGCTAGTGTGTACATCTTTCCTGCTTAAAATCCTTCATTAGTCTCCTGTCACTAACAGGATAAAGACCAAACTCCCTAGTTAGACTTATAAAACTTTCAAAATCTGCACCATATTTACTTCCCCAGGCTTATATCTCACCACTGTGCCTCATTCTTTATACTCCCTTAAAAACAAACTACTTTTATTCCAACCCCACACCAGGGCCATTTCTTTCCTTATGTGTCTTTGATGATGCTAATACCTGTCTGGAATTCCTTTCCTCCCCAATTCCTATTGAATTTTCAAAATATAACTCACTCCTGAGGGGTCTTGGAATAGGTGACTTTAGAGCAAATTCCATTCCTCTGTGTATATTTCCATCATAGTAACCACTGAATTGAAACTGTTGGCTTGTTTTTCTCTCCCATAAGACTAAAAGCACCTTGAGAGCAAGGGTCATGGTCTGAGTTTTTTCGTATATTCTTTTAAAGCACAATATTCAGCACAGAGTAGATGCTCACATATTTATTGAATTGAACTGAAGCAGCTTACCTTGGCCTTCCAGCATGCTTAAATCCTTATTCTCCATCTATTCTCCTTCCTCATTTAATGTAGAATATTTCTTTTCATCTTCTCTTTATTGTAGTATACAAGGGTTTCATCTTTTGATTAGTTTGGATTTGTCAGCTGGCTTTTAGTGCAGTGATAAATTCCAATTACATTGCCAAGCGGAGACCAGGATGGACGCAAGTTAGCTTCGTTGGATAGTTTATATGGCTAGTGATAGCCTGTAATGATACTGTTTCTTTTTCATTTATTCAGTGTGCCTGAATCAAGTGTTATGCTTTCTTTACCAAATAACGAAACTTGCCAGGCATAGTGGTTCACACCTGCAGTGCCAACTCTTTGGGAGGCTGAGGATCACTTGAGCCCAGGAGTTCGAGACCACCCTGGGCAACATGGCGAGACCTTGTCTCTATAAAGAAAAAGAAAAAAAAACCTGGGTGTGGTGGCACACATCTGTGGTCCTAGCTATTCAGGAGGCTGAGGTGGGAGGATGACTTGATCCCAGCAGTTTGAGGTTGCAGTGTGCTATGAACATGCCCTGCTTTCCAGCCTGACTGACAGACAGAGTGAGACTCTGTCTCAAAAAGAAAAGAAAAGAAAAGAAAAGAAAAGAAACATATACAATTATTTAACCATTAGGTTTCCCTTTTTTTATTTGCTTCCTTGTAATCTAAACGTTTATATGGGGATGACAGACTGCAAACATTCATTAATTTGGTAGAACAGTGAATTCTTTACTCTCTTGTGCAACTGTTCTAAAGCATTTTTCTCAATATAGCTAGATTTTGAAGTCTTCCTATTTTTCTTTCTTAGCAACCCCAGCCTGAGAAAAAGGTCCTCCTTTTCTTTATTTAATCTTGTAAGTTCTGGGCCTAAGGAAATGATGTTGTTGCTTTATTGTGTGTTATTCACATTACCCTGTATAACATAACCCAGAGTTAGACAAAGGTGGGGTGTTATCTGGTATGGTTTAATGCTTATTGGTTCTCTTTCTCAGAACTTGATGGAGAGTTTGGATTCATTGCTTTGTGCAGAAGGTTCTGAAAGTCTGAAGAGTTTATGTCTGAAACTTCTCCTTTGCTTAGTGACCGTAAGTGACCTATGTTTGTCAAGGGTATTAATTGACAGGAGGGGCAATCCTGTTTGAATACTTGAGCCCAAAGATAGAAGGAAAAAGAGAAGAAATATTCTCAATGAGGGTATTACATCACTCCCTCGTGTCTGGATGTATAGGAAGTTAGCTGCATGGTCTTTTGCTTCCTCTTTGGAGCAATTACTGGCATTTTTGGCCTGCAGGCTATGTGATATTTTACTTTAGAAGTTTCACTTCAGGAGAACAAGTGTCTTCTGGGTTGTCAGACTTGTCCTTATCAGGTCTCATTTGGAAATAGTTTTTGTGATTCTGAGTAATTTTTTTTTTTTTTTTTGAGACAGAGTCTTGCTCCGTCGCCCAGGCTGGAGTGCAATGGCGTGATCTCGGCTCACTTCAACGTCTGCCTCCTGGGTTCAAACAATTCTCCTGCCTCAGCCTCCCAAGTAGCTGGGATTACAGGCATGTGCCACCATGCCCAGATAATTTTTTTTTTTTTGTACTTTTAGTAGAGATGGGGTTTCGCCATGTTGGCCAGCCTGATCTTGAACTCCTGACCTTAGGTGATCCACCCGCTTGAACTCTTGACCTTAGGTGATCCACCTGCCTTGGCCTCCCAAAGTGCTGGGATTACAGGTGTGAGCCACCGCGCCCGGAGGATTCTGAGTATTTTTATTTGTTTTGGCTTTTATTTATTTATTTTTCAAGGTGGAGTCTTGCTCTGTCGCCTAGGCTGGAGAGTGCAATGGCATGATCCTGGCTCACTGCAACCACCATCTCCCGGGTTTGAACAGTTCTCCTGCCTCAGCCTCCCGAGTAGCTGGGATTACAGGCATGTACAACCACGCCTGGCTAATTTTTGTATTTTTAGTAGAGATGGGGTTTCACCATGTTGGCCAGGTTGGTCTTGAACTCCTGACCTTGTGATCCACCCACTTCAGCCTCCCTAAGTGCTGGGATTCCAGGCGTGAGCCACTGCGCTCAGGTAGTTTTGATTTTATAACTGTAGGCTGCCTGTATTTCTAGTGGAAGGAGGGTGGGGTGTTGATTATTTACTTTAGGAGGGTCCCTTTCCCTGCCACCTCTTGAAGACTTCTGCATTCATAAACCTCCTCCTGTGCACTTGAGGAATGAAACCCAAGAAACTGTTAAGCGAATGCATGTGTGAGGATATGAGAGAAACAATGAGGAGTTCAAAGACTTAGGAAGTTTTAACTTGCTGATTTCCTACCCTTATGTTGTCTATTCAGACTCTCATGACTTAAGGGGCACTTGTGAAAGGTCAGCTAAGTTATCTAGTAGAAATATTTTAATATTTTTGTTTCTCTTAGATGTTAGGGGAGGAGATTACACAAGATATCAGAATACCTCAGAACAGACTTTAAAAAGCCTTTTATTACATTCAGGTGACAGATAACATCAGCCAGAACACTATTCTCGAGTATGTAATGATCAACAGCATATTTGAAGCAATTTTACAGGTAGGTCCCTTGTTACCTCCTCTCTTTGGGGTAAACCACCTCTTCAAATTTTCTCTGTGTTCTCAGGAACCAGGAGTTAGCAGTCTCATGCATTTTTGGTTCTTGTTACAGATACTTTCCCATCCCCCAAGTCGTAGGGAGCATGGGTATGATGCTGTCGTCCTCTTGGCTTTGCTGGTGAACTATAGAAAATATGAGGTAACTGGGCTCCTTAGTGGACAGTTGTTATCTGCCTATAATCTTCTTAAATGCGGCCCCTCCTAAAGGACTTTGCTTAATGTAGAAGACGTTCTTGGTAAATGGTATATTGATTAATTTTGATAATCCAGATTCTAAAAATCCTATATTAAATGCATGGGGCAGAGGATCTAGTTGTTTAAAGGAATCCTGTGATGCAACTTCTAATGAAGTGAGTAAGTACGCCCTAATGTAGTGATTCCCATACCAGCTTATTAGAATCACCTAAGAACTTTTTTTTTTTTTTTTTGAGACGGATTTTCGCTCTTGTTGCCCAGGCTGGAGTGCAATGGCACGATCTTGGCTCACTGTAACCTCCGCCTCCCGGCTTCAAGCAATTCTCCTGCCTCAGCCTCCCAAGTAGTTGGGATTACAGGCATGCGGCATCATGCCCTGCTAATTTTGTATTTTTAGTGGAGATAGGTTTCTCCATGTTGGTCAGGCTGGTCTCAAACTCCCAATGTCAGGTGATCTGCCCACCTTGGCCTCCCAAAGTGCTGGGATTACAGGCATGAGCCACCGCACCTGGCCTAGAACTTTTTAAAAAGAAAAAATTTCGGCCGGGCACGGTGGCTCACGCCTGTAATCCCAGCACTTTGGGAGGCCGAGGTGGGTGGATCACGAGGTCAGGAGATCGAGACCATCCTGGCTAACACGGTGAAACCCCGTCTCTACTAAAAATACAAAAAATTAGCTGGGTGTGGCAGTGTGCGCCTGTGGTCCCAGCTACTCGGGAGGCTGAGGCAGGAGAATGGCATGAACCCGGGAGGCGGAGTTTGTAGTGAGCCCAGATTGCACCACTGCACTCCAGCCTGGGCGACAGAGTGAGACTCCATCTCAGAAAAAAAGAAAAAAATTCTGGATCTTATCCTGGACACAGTAAATCAGTCTTTTGGTTGTGGGGGAAACAGGAACCTGGGAATTTTTTTTTTTTTTTTTTTTTTTTAAGTCAGAGTCTCGCTCTGTCGCCCAGGCTGGAGTGCAGTGGTGCGATCTTGGCTCACTGCAAGCTCCGCCTCCTGGGTTCACGCCATTCTTTTGCCTCAGCCTCCCCAGTAGCTGGGACTACAGGCGCCCACCACCACGCCCGGCTAATTTTTTGTATTTTTTAGTTGTTTTTTTTTGAAGTTCCCCTATTGAGTATGATGATTAGCCCAGGATTGAGAACCACTGACCTAGTTCATCTGTTTAGAAAGATTTGATTTTTTTGTGGTCATGTGTCACTTAACAAGGATACATTCTGAGAAATGTGTCATTAGGCAGTTTTGTTGTCGTGAACATGAGAGAGCGTCTTTATACAAATTTAGATGGTATAGCCTACTACATACCTAGGCTGCATGATATAGCCTATTTCTCCTAGGCTGCAAACCTGGATAGTGTATGACTATATTGAATACTGTAGGCAATTATAACACAATAGTAATTATTTATGTATTTAAGCATATCTAGGCTGGGCATGGTGATTCACACCTGTAATCCTAGTGCTTTGGGAGGCTGAGGTGGGAGGATCGCTTGAGGCCAGGAATTTGAGACCAGTCTTACTCAAATAGTAAGACAGTCTCTACAAAAAAAAATTTAAAAATTAGCTGGTTGGCCGGGCGCGATGGCTTATGCCTGTAATCCCAGCACTTTGGGAGGCTGAGGCGGGTGGATCACGAGGTTGGGAGATCGAGACCATCCTGGCTAACACAGTGAAACCCCGTCTCTACTAAAAATACAAAAATTAGCCGGGCGTAGTGGCGGGCACCTGTAGTCCCAGCTACTCGGGAGGCTGAAGCAGAAGAATGGTGTGAACCCAGGAGGCGGAGCTTGCAGTGAGTGGAGATTGCACCACTGCACTCCAGCCTAGGTGACAGAGCGAGACTCCGTCTCAAAAAAAAAAAAAAAATTAGCTGGTTGTGGTGATATGCATCTGTAGTCTCAGCTACTTGAGAGGCTGAAGCAGGAGGATTGCTTGAGCCCAGGAGTTTGAGGCTACAGTGAGCCATGATTACACCACTGCACTCCAGTCTGGGTGACATAGTGAGACCCTGTCTTTAAAAAAAAAAAAAAATCTAAGGCTGGGGACGGTAGCTTACGCCTGTAATCTCAGCACTTTGGGAGGCTAAGGCTAGTGGATTGCTTGAGCCCAGGAGTTCGAGACCAGCCTGGCCAACATGGCAAAACTCCATCTATATTTTTAAAAATACAAAAATTAGCCCAGCATGGTGGCACATGCCTGAAGTCTCAGCTACTCAGGAGGCTGAGGTGGGAGGGAGGCTTGAGCCCAGGAGGTGGAGGTTACAGTGAGCTGATGTCACGCCCCTGCACTCCAGCCTGGGTGACAAAGCCACATCCTGTCTCAAAAACAAACACACACACAAAACCTAAACCTAGAAAAGGTATGGTATAAAAGATATAAAATAGTTGTTGATCTTCATGAAACATGAAAAAAACTGTAAAAAAATCATACACCTGAATAGGGCACTTACTATGAATGGAGCTTGCAGGACTGGAAATTGCTCTGGGTGAGTCTGAGTGAGTGGTGAGTGAATGTGAAGGCCTAGGACATTACTGTATACTACTATAGACTTTTTTTTTTTTTTTTTTTGAGACAGAGTCTTAGTCTGTTGCCCAGGCTGTAGTGCAGTGGTGCGATCTCACTGCAATCTCTGCCTCCCAGGTTCAAGTGATTGTCCTGCCTTAGCCTCCTGAGTAGCTGGGATTACAGGCACCTGCCACAATACTCGGCTAATTTTTTTTTTTTTTTTTTTTCTGAGATGGAGTCTCTGTCGCCCAGGCTGGAGTGCAGTTGTGTGATCTCGGGTCACTGCAAGCTCCGCCTCCTGGGTTCACGCCATTCTCCTGCCTCAGCCTCCCAAGTAGCTGGGACTACAGGCGCCCGCCACCACGCCTGGCTAATTTTTTTGTATTTTTAGTAGAGACGGGGTTTCACCGTGTTAGCTAGGGTGGCCAGGATGGTCTCGATCTCCTGACCTCGTGATCCACCCGCCTCGGCCTCCCAAAGTGCTTGGATTATAGGTGTGAGCCACCGCGCCCGGCCGTGCTCGGCTAATTTTTGTATTTTTAGTAGAGACAGGGTTTTACCATGTTGGCCAGGCTGATCTTGAACTGACCTCAAGTGATCTGCCTGCCTTGGCCTCCCAAAGTTCTGGGATTACAGGTGTGAGCTACCGTGCCTGGCCAACTATCGACTTGATAAACATTGTATACTTAGGCTACGTTAAATTTATTAAATTTTTTCTTTCTTCAATAGTAAATTAACTTACTGTAACTGTTTTACTTTATAAACTTTAAACATTTTTTAAAGCTTTTTAACTCTTTTGTAATAACATTTAGCTTGAAACACAAACACATTGTACTATATTTTGTGATGTTTGAGATGACATGTTTGACATGTTTGAGACCAGGCTGGTCTCAAACTCCTGACCTCACGTGATCCACCTGCCTTGGCCTCCTAAAGAATAAAAAGAATATATCTTTATTCTATAAGCTTTTTTTTTTTTTTTTGAGACAGAGTCTCACTCTGTCTCCCAGGCTGGAGTGCAGTGGCGTGATCTTGGCTCACTGCAAGCTCTGCCTCCTGGGTTCATGCCA
The DNA here is from genome assembly GCF_000001405.40 of Homo sapiens. Lineage (NCBI taxonomy): Eukaryota > Metazoa > Chordata > Mammalia > Primates > Hominidae > Homo > Homo sapiens. Next base: position 102,019,840 of record NC_000010.11, on the reverse strand, counting down.
TTCTCCTGCCTCAGCCTCCGGAGTAGCTGGGATTACAAGTGCCTGCCACCACGCCCGGCTAATTTTTTTGTATTTTTAGTAGAGACGGGGTTTCACCATGTTAGCCAGCATGGTCTCGATCTCCTGACCTTGTGATCCGCCCGCCTCGGCCTCCCAAAGTGCTGGGATTACAGGCGTGAGCCACCGCGCCCGGCCCAGCTTTTTTTAGTTAAACAATTTTTAAAACTTTTTAGTTAAAAACTGAGACACACACACACAAATTAGCATAGGCCTATACAGGGTCCAGATGATCAATATCACTGTCTTTCACCTCCGCATTTGGAAGATCTTCAGGGAAATAACACACATGAAGCTGTTACCTCCTATGATAATAATGCCTTCCTCTGGAATACCTGCTCAAGGACCTGCCTTCAGCTGTCTTACAGTTAACTTTTTTTTTTTTAAATAAGTAGAAGGAGTACACTAGAAAATAACAATAAAAAGTATAGTATAGGCTGGGTGTGGTGGCTTATGCCTGTAATCCCAGCACTTTGGGAGGCTGAGGTGGGTGGATCACATGAGGTCAGGAGTTTGAGACCAGCCTGGCCAACATGGCAAAACCCGATCTCTACTAAAAATACAAAAATTAGCTGGGCATGGTGGTGTGCACCTGTAATCCCAACTACTTGGGAGGCTGATGCACGAGAGTTGCTTGAACCCAGGAGGTGGAGGTTGCAGTGAGCTGAGATCGCACCACTACACTCCAGCCTGAGTGAAAGAGCAAAATTCCATCTCAAAAAAAAAAGTATAGTATAGTAAATACATAAACCAGTAACATAGTCGTTTATTGTCATTATCAAGTAGTAGGTACTATACATGATTGTATGTGTTATACTTTTTTTTTTGAGACGGAGTCTCACTCCGTTGCCCAGGATGGAGTGCAATGGCATGATCTTGGCTCACTGCAACCTCTGTTTCCCGGGCTCTAATGATCCTCCTGCCTCAGCCTTCTGAGCAGCTGGGACTACAGGCATGCGCCACCATGCCCAGCTAATTTTTTTGTATTTTTGATAGAGATGGAGTTCACCATATTATTTAGGCTGGTCTCAAACTCCTGACCTCAAGTGATCTGCCCACTTCAGCCTCCCAAAGTGCTGGGATTACAGGAGTGAGCCACCGTGCCTGGCTGATAATTGTATGTGCTACACTTTTATATGACTGGCAGCACAGTAGGTTTCTTTACACCATTATCACCAGAAATATGTGAGTAATGAATGCGTTGCACTATGTTATAATGGCTAAAATGTCACTAGGTTATAGGGATTTTTCAGTTCCATTATAATCTCATGGGACCACCATAGTATATGCAGTCCATTATGGACCAAAATGTCCTTATGCAGCACATCACTGTGTATCACATCTTCTTATGCAATCTGCTTATGTAAGTATCGCTGTTGGCCTAGAAACTCCTTCTGATTTTAATGAAAAATTGAAGACAGTGCCTTATTCATATGAGTTCTGGAGTTCTTTTTGCCCCTGAATTAATCAAGGTGCAGATTTATAGGTTTTTGAGATGAAGAGCAGAACCCAGAGATTTATACTTGGGTTGGCACATATATTTGATTCCCTTCAAAAGGCAGAATACACAGAAAAGGAAGGGGACCACTCAAGGAAGACCGGGGGCTTCATTGGAGATTGCTTTTGAGGAGTAGGAAGCATTTGGCACTGAGTCCTGGTAACTAGGAGTACATTACTGAACCCAAAAGTCAGGAGCTGCACTGAGGCAACCTGACTTTCTTCACTTAATAAATAGCAGTACTGTGAGAACTGGGCCAGCTGGAGAGAGAATTTTCTTTTTTGAGCTTCTGGATCTTCACCTAGTGATTTTTGATATGAGTCCTAGTTGGGCTTTATTTGGCCGGGTTGAAAGTGATGGGTAACACAAAATCTGGAGCTTATTCTTATAAGAAGAGATATGGAAGAAGGGGAGGCCGTGAGAAAGGAATACTTAAAGAGGGACTAGAATATGCAGAGCAATGTGAATGTGTTATAAATTCCAGGATCTGATTGTTTTCATTGTCTTGGAGGAACTGATGAATGGTGGGTAGAGCTCCTAATAAATATGAAATTTATTCCCAACACCTATTTTACTGATGATCTGGAGGGGCTGGCATGGTAGCCATTTTGATCTCTGTCATGTGTAATAGCCTCTGGGGCCTCATTACAACAGCAAGAAAAATAGCTGTGGAAAAATGCTGAGGATAGTTAAAGAGAGGTGAGGGTTATATGTGATAGGAACACACTATCATCAGTAATGAATATTTTTGGAGCATTCTACTGGATGCAGTCCACTCTGAGGCAATGGCTTGGCTTCATGATTGTGATCCGAATCCTGGCTCAGCTCAGTAGGGCTCTCTGAAATGTCAGTCTGAAATATTGGACATGGCCAAGGAACTGGAGAGAATCATATTTCTGGAATGAAGTATGCATCTCTAGTCTTTCAGAAGCCCCCAGAAGAATTAATGTAGTGGGCAAGGGCGAGCTGGTGGGCCTAATTTATCTGGGCTTTGCAGCTTTTGATATAAATCATTCACCAGAAACCATTAAGGAAGCCTGGTGATCATGGAGTAGGAAGGTTTTTGACAAGAACGTGAAGAATTCCAGATGAACACAGCAAAACCAAAGCTGGTGAAATTCTGTGCAAACTAGCATGAGGCAGTGTGCTGGGGAGAATAGCATTCTAGCCACCAGTACAATCAATCTCATGACCAATGGGGTAAGTTGTAACCTTTCCAGAAAGGTACCGAGGCACAGAGAGGTTGGGTACCCAACTAAGCACAGAGAAAGTGAAGAAGTTGTTGGACTTAAGCAATAAAAGTGATAGAAAAGATACCATGTAGTAAATGTGTAGTTCTTCCTCACTTCAAGTAATGTGTTCCATTTTAATCATTTCATCCAAAAAGACAAAAGAGCCCCCAAAAAAGGTCTAGGGAAGAGCAATGGAAAACGTTAAGTGTACCTGCAATCAAATAAAGGCAGGACCCTAGTAGAGTGATACTGTGAAGACTCAAAGATTTTGTAATTCTGTCTTGTGGATGAAAAGTAGATTTCCTCCAGTTTTAAAAAGTGACCAGTACAACAGTGGTATAGTTTAAATAATTGGCCTCTGGTAAAATAGAAATTTTCACAACATAAGATCCTGGCTTTCTAGGCTGGCCAAGTCTCCTGAGATGAAGTGACTCAGATCCCAACTGTTTCCTAGAGCATGACATTTCTCAGAAATTAACACATTGTTTGTTATGTCTAATTAAGTTGTTCCTTTTCTCCCCACACTGCCTTTTTCCTAAAGAGCTTTCCTTTGAATGTGATAATAATGTAAAAGAGGAAAACACACAGCTACCTGTACCAATTATTAAGCCTTTAGCATGTACCAGGTATTGTGCTAAGGATTTGATGTGTCTTACTTCATTTAAGCCTTTTAGCAACCCCAGGAGAAAAAATACAGGTTGACCATTTCTTATCTGAAAATCTGAAATTCAAAATGCCCCCAAATCTGAAACTTTTTGAATACCAACATGACACTCAAAGGAAGTGCTCATTGGAGTATTTCAGATTTTTGGATTAGGGATGCTTAACAGCTAAGTGTAATGCACATATTCCAAAATGTTAAAAAAAAATCCAAAATCCTAAGTACTTCTATCCCAAATGTTTGTTTGATTGATTGATCGAGACAGGGTCTCACTCTGTTACCCAGGCTGGAGTGGAAGGACGTGATCACAGCTCACTGCAGCCTTGACCTCCTGGACTCAAGTGATCCTCACACTTCATCCTTCCGAGTAGCTGGGACTACAGGCGTGTGCCACTATGCCTGGCTAGCTTTTTAAATTTTTTGTAGAGATAGGGTTTTGCCATGTTGCCCAAGCTGGTCTTGAACTCCTGGGCTCAAGTGATCCTCCCACCTTGGCCTACCAAAGCGTTAGGATTACAGGCATGAGCCACCGTGCCCAGCCCTAAAGCATTTTAGATGAGATACTCAATCTATATCCTCATTTTACAGATGAGGAAATAGAAACTTAGCTTTATGTGCCTAATTCGTCACAATTAATAAGCAGAAGAACTAGAATGCAAACGTTTGCTTGGAAATCAGATGACCCCAATTAAAACCTAAAACAGGCTGGGTGCAGTGGCTCACGCCTGTATTCCCAGCACTTTGGGAGGCCGAGACAGGCGGACCACCTGAGGTCAGGAGTTTGAGACCAGCCTGACCAACATGGAGAAACCCTGTCTCTACTAAAAATACAAAATTAGCTGGGCGTGGTGGCACATGCCTGTAATCCCAGCTACTCAGGAGGCTGAGGCAGGAGAATCGCTTGAACCTGGGAGGCAGAGGTTGTGGTGAGCTGAGATCATGCCATTGCACTCCAGCCTGGGCAACAAGAGCAAAATTCCGTCTCAAAAAAAAAAAAAAAATCCCAAAACCTTAAACAGTCTACTTTTGGGTGACTAGAACCTTCAAAAATTATGCCAAGAAATAGTGGTCTGCTCTTTCTAGTGTTACTCTCATCATGGCAGCATATCTAAGTCAGCCGATTTTGCTTGATTTTCTTTTCCAAGGACCCACTTGCATGGGAGCTTCCTTGAGGTCTGTAGAATCAGCAGAATTTGACTGTTGGTTATAGGAAGAAATGTTGAGAGCCTTCCTTCTGTCAGATCAAGTAACAAATGGAGTGGGTTTTACCCCTTAAGTTGTGTTGCATTAAACCTTATAAACATTTGGGCTGTTAAGAAAGCAAAGCTGTCTCTTTCTCTGTTCCCAGTTGACGTGCGAAAGATGCCCTCAGAAGCTTGGTTAAATAGGTCTGTGTGGGGAATGAGCCTTTCAGTTGGGTTTTCAAGTTTCTTAGTTATGAGTTTTTTTGGTAGCTGTAGAAACTGCCAGTCTGAGAACTATTGTTCCTTGCCTCTCTTGGATTAGAATTGGTGCCTGATTTATATGAAATTTTTCCTCACATCCCATAGGTGTAAGGAGAGGTCATTGGTTCTCATCCCCCTTGTAGGAGATGATCCAGTTGCTTTATGAGTTTAAATATATGACCATTTATGCTGCCCAACTGAGATTGGGTCTGGAAAAACCCAAGAACTCTTCCAGTGCTCTAAGTGATGGGACAATCATTAAATTCCAGTGTCCTGACCAGATTGTTGTTTGGGTAATTACATCCTTTTTTTCAGTTCTCCCTGCAGTGTTATTTGGGTATCAGATCTCCATAAATGACCTCTCTGGCTGTTAAGCAGCTGCCACTTTCCACCCCAAGGTGGCTTTGCTTTACGGGTGGGTGAATCAGTCCTTGCATGTAGTTTGTGAAATGGTTAGGGAGCCTTTGGGATGAAAATATAAGTTAGCAACTTATAAATATGTGCCTTATGGCAAGAAGCTTTTATGTTCCCCAAAAGACAGCTATCTGTATGGACTTAGTAAATTATTGGTAGGGTAGGACAAAATGAGTGTTGTGGAGCACTCACTTACTTTTTAGATGCAAGTAAGAGGGAAAGATCGTAGAAGTGATGGACATAAGGCCTGCACTGATTTAGCCTAATGGTAGAACAGAACTGAGGTGTGTATGTGTATTTGTGTGTACACTTGATGAATGCCCAGACACACTGAAAAATTAACTGGAAATGGGAGGAGTCAGCAGGCAATATGGATTGGGACTGTGTATCAGGAGCATCACTGTAGAGAGAGGGCCTTATGGAAGCATTTTTGTTAACACTTTAAAGATAGCTAACGGGCTTTCTTAACTAGGTCAGACTTACCTGGAGTCTCTTCTCTTATTTAACAGTCTGTGAATCCTTATATTGTGAAGCTGTCTATCGTGGATGATGAGGCCACACTCAATGTGAGTATCTGGATCCTTGTGTATTGTCTTACTTATTTGCATTCAATGGTATTACTTTCAGTGAAAGTACATTTAGAACAGAGAGCAGAGAGCTATTCTGTCAATTTCATCCGGTTATAGAGAGGGAATTAATATTTCTTTTTAGTGCGTCAGTGCTACCGTTTTACTGTCTTCTGACTTATTATCATGGAAGGAAGATTTGAGGGGACATTTGCTTGCTAATCATGATGAAGTGGTTATGTTTCATGTTATAGTGTGCTGAAGTTGATTATCCTACGATGTCAATAAATTACACATTCAAGAATAAGAAAGCTTAGATGACTAAATGATGGGAGATTCCTTCTTTTAGAACTAGCCAGATAGTATTTATAGCCTGACTTGGTGAAACTGAAACAGGGGGATGATCTGTATCTACTATATGTATCCTTGAAAGTTTGAGAAATAACATCTGATCTCTGAATATAGGGAGGAAGAAGATGACCAGGTGTCTTGCTTTATTCCCTTTCCATCATACCCTATTCCTTCTTTCCAATTTCCTTTATGGAAAAAATGCACACGTGATTCATGCTGTGGCCTTAATTGATCTTTGTGTTATGCATCACAGGTTCTGGGGGAAAGTTGATAAGTCACTTTAACATTTATTGAATGCTACTTGCCTTTACATTCCTGTGGCTTTAAAGAAAGTGGCTTATCTATGTGCACCTTCATTTAGCATGGACTCATTGTCACCTTGCTGTGACTGTTTTGGAGACATTTGAGGGCTTTTTGTTTGAAGATTCTAACTGGATCTTCTCTTTCAAAGTGAAAATGATCCCAGTGAAATTGTCAACAATCTGGGCTGGTCTGTTTCACCGCTTGATAATCCATTTTAATTGTACCTGGGAACATTAAGATAATTAGATACGAAAAGTCTTCCCAAAGAACTTCCTTTTGATGCTTTGACAGTGCCTCTCAGAATTTCTGTCCTTGTCGCCAACTTTCAGGCAGGACTTCTTGGGCTAATTAGTGTTCTTTCTGACCTTGTTCTAGCATCATCACCAACTCCCAAAGGCTACTGTCTTATTTCACCTGTGCTATCTTTTCCCTTCTAGGGAATGGGACTTGTAATTGCTCAGGCTTTATCTGAGTACAACAGGTAAGTCCACCTTTCCAGAATGGAAGGGGGTCTGATTTTCATTTGAATTGGTTGTTAGAGTTTTGTTAGAGTTCTTGGGTCAAATTCCCTTACCTAGTCTAAGAGTATTCAGATGTACAGCCCCTGGCAGATGTATTTGCTCTAGCTTTGCTTGATGGCCTTAGCAGGGATTGTTTTTAACACCAGGGGAAAAGTAGCCACCAGATTAGTGTCTCTTTAGGCAGTTAGGCACATTCCTTTGCAACTTTTGGTATTTTATTACAGAGCATTTTAACTAGTCTTCCAGCCACAAGTGGGCACTTCCATTTAGTCCAGTGTATCATACAAGTATTTTCCATGTAAAAAAGGTTGTGGAGACTGCTTTTTTGTTATCTTAAAAAATATATAAAAGGAGAAAGTATATTAGGTAGCCCTAGTTTGACAGATGTTTCTTATTTATTGGGAATGAACCTCAACTTCCCAGAGTCCCTGTTTCTCCTGGGGGCTCCCTTCATTGATGCTTGCTTTCCCTTTTGCTGGAAGGATCTGACATTAGTGAATGGAAACCAGAAGTATCCCTAATTCTGGCAAGGGCCAGGCAGGATCTTTCATGCTCCTCTCTAGACTTTTCTCACACACAATTGGGTATCAGAACTTCAAATCTGTCCCATCTCTGCAGAGAGTTTAGTTTACTGATTTCCTTCCTCCTCCTTTAAAAAGAAACAAGATTTTCAGTGTTGTAGCCCTAAAGTAATTTTACTGTCACACTTTTCAAGTAATAGATTGTTTGAGAAGTAACTGGATCAGCTATATGTTAGGGCACTTTTGCAGCCTGCTTTCTAAGTCTAAGTCTCTCCCAAAGTAGCCAGGCATTTTGGTACACACTACCTCAAGAGCAGACAGGTGACTCTTAGCTTGCAGGGATTGTCATGATGCTTGATTGTCATAATGCTTTAGTTTTCTGGAGTCAGAGAATTTTAAGAGTGCTCTGCCCTGATTACCCCAAATGTCAAGGACAAAGACATAATTGATAAACAATCCTAAAGTTGAATTTAGTTCTTTTTGTTTAGGCAGTATAAAGACAAGGAAGAAGAACACCAAAGTGGTTTTTTCTCTGCTTTAACAAATATGGTAAGTCCTGCTTTTTTTTTTTCTCCTGAAAAAAACAGAAACAGTGTGGTCTGCAGGGGTGGACAAATCGGGCTCCGAAGTTCAGATATTTGAAGTGATGGCATGATGACAAGAGAGAGGCTGCTCAGAGCAGATTTTCTTGGGGAGTGTATTTCCTTTACTGAGTTTCTTTCTTTTTTTTTTGAATCCCCACTTTTGATGTACCTTTAGTGAGATTCAAAACCAAGTGAGATGGGGAAAGGAGAGCTTTGGTTTCTCTGGCACTTAGTTTTTCCACATTAATTAATTAATTAATTAATTTTTTAAAGGCTAAAGAAAAGGTACACATTAAGCCAGAATTTGCTTCCTAAAGAGTTGGCTCCGTTTAGGCACTGACCTTGTGGAACACGGTATAGTAGGGTTTGGATCTGAGTGCTCTCCTGAATGCTCCTTTGCTGTCTGCCATGGCTGTTTGATCCTCATAGCTGGTCCTAGGGTTGAGCGATCGTGCAGTAGATCTGTGCCACTCTTCTAATAGCTTAGGGTTTGGGCTTAGAGGTCTGAATTTTAGGGAAGTTATTGGTCCAGCTGGCAAGACTCCAGGGCAAGGTTTCTTGGCATTTGGTACCAGATAATCTGGGACTGATTTTGAAGAGATAAATCTAGGAGATTCTAGAATCTAGGCAGATTCAGAAAGTCTGTCTTTCGGGCATTATTATCCAAGTATTCAGCTCTAGGGCAAGACAATTTTTTGGTTAGTTGCAAGAAGTAGTTGCCCCCTCTCCTCCTCCACTTCTGCAATTCTTTTTCCTCCACTGCTTACGAATTGTTCCTTCTGCCTTCTCAGCCTGTTCTCAGGAAGGGGCCTGATAAACTCTTTAACTCCAAAATGTAAATGAGTGAAGTCTCTCAGGGGCTAGAGAAGTATGAGTTTTGTACTGGTGTTTGATGAAATGAATTAGATACAATTATACTGCTCCCAGATATCTCTGCCTTTCAGTCAAGTTTTCAGAAAGTTTTGTACCAAACACATGAAGCTCTAGGAGCATAGGTTTGTGTATAGTTTCAAGCATAATTAAGGAGGTGGAAGAGGTATTTTTTAGTGGGTGTAGGCATCTTAGTGCTTCTGATATCATACACATTAGAGGCAGCCTACTCCATTTACTTATTCACTTGCTCTGACTAGGACACAAACTAAAGATTTTGTTATCTGAAAAATGGAGAGTGGATCTCATATAGACAGCTTTGGTCTGAAACCTGAATATTGTTCCCAAAGATAGCTTTATGTTGGTTGAAGTCAGCCTGCTTCCTGTGAAGTTTTTCCTAAGTTAGTTTCTGACTTCAAATAAGCAACTTCTAGGAAAGATACAGAGTGATGAAGATGTGTAGGTTAACTGTCAGAGGGACTAAACTTACACACTGAAAAGGAGAGTTGGACAAAAGTACTAGGCTTTTTCTTTAAAGCGAGGTGATTTAGTAGGCAAGATGATTTACTAGGCAAGATGATTTAGTAGGATTCTCATTATTTCATTTATTACTTATGAGTCTTTTAAGATTTTCAAAGTGGGCTGGTTTTGGTGTGTGTGACTTATGGCCTAGAGTTCCAAGTTCTCCCCAGGTGGAAGCAGCTTGTTTTCTTCACTGATAAAAGGCTTCCTAGGCATAAAGCTCCTCTCATATCCTCCTGCTATAAGTTTGCAATTCCCCTTTTCTTCCACAGGTGGGCAGCATGTTCATAGCAGATGCCCATGAGAAAATCTCAGTACAGTAAGTGCCTGACATTCTTGTGCAGTGACTTGGACTTTAGTGTGGGCTGTCCTGCTGGATATGAGAGTGTGCAGTGTTACCTCTTGCTAATCTTTTACAGAATCATACTTTTTTGGTGATTTTCAAATGTTTCATGGGTTTTGAACATTAATGGACCCTTAGAAATTTCTGCTTTTCATATGTATTGAGCGACAATAAGCTGAACAACTGTTGCCAGACTATCTCTGCAATGAAACAAAAGAGGGATGGGTGTCTGAGCCAGTTGAGGACTTAACTGGGTTGAGGTGGAAAAACAGAGGGAAGATAATGAAGTAGATGAGAACTGGTCCTAAGGAATTAAAGTGAAGGCCCTGACTCCTGCCTATACACTTTTGCATACGCCCAAATGGCAAGTAAAGGGGAACTTTAGAAATGCAAAGGAATTGATAATGAGGCGCTGGGGTGCAATCCAATCTTATCTTCATGGTTATACTGTTTTAACTCCCCCCACTATAAAAACTGCTCCAATTTGTTCTCTTTTTCTTTAGAACCAATGAGGCCATTCTTCTGGCACTTTATGAAGCTGTTCATTTAAATCGCAACTTCATCACAGTATTAGCTCAGGTTGGTCACATTAAAAATCCCAGTGTTTTTTTCTCTCTAAATTTCATACCGATTAATTCCATTGAAAAGCCTATCTGGCTGTACTTGTTTAAACCCTGCTTTGCATTGGTAAGTGGTAGTAACAAGGAGTTGAATCAGTTGCCTTTGTTTCCTGCTGTCCTCAAATATGTATGTTTCCATTGGTGCTGAAATGGGTCTAATAACGTGCAAAGTTAGTTTTTTTGGCCAATTTATTGATCCTGTTAACCCAAATGAATTGTCATGACTTCATTTTGCTCACTAGAAATCCCTGGTATTATCCGCTATGTGGATTTTTATATTGGGCTTTCTGCTTTCCACACCACTGTGGAATTACAACTGGAGATAAAATAGGCCAAGCCACTCACCTTATTATCTCACCAATTTCCAGAGGAAAAAAGTAAAAAATATCCTGGCCAGGTTAAGGTTAGCTGTTAACAGATAACGTGGTTTACATACATTGAAAGGAAGTCATAGAATACTGAGCGCTGGGCCCTGCGCTGTGGCTCACGCCTGTAATCCCAGCACTTTGGGAGGCTGAGGTGGGCGGATCACAAGGTCAGGAGATCAAGACCATCCTGGCTAACACGGTGAAACCCTGTCTCTTCTAAAAATAAAAAAAAAATTAAAAAAAAAATAGCTGGGCGTGGTGGCGGACGCCTGTAGTCCCAGCTACTTGGGAGGCTGAGGCAGGAGAATGACGTGAACCCAGGAGGCAGAGCTTGCAGTGAGCCGAAGTCGCGCCATTGCACTCCAGCCTGGGTGACAGAGTGAGACTCTGTCTCAAAAAAAAATAAAATAAAAACAAAACATAACAAAATAAAACAAAATAAAAAAACAAACAAAAATACCCCCAGAATACTGAGCGATGGGTCACATGCCTGAGGGATAGCCACAGTAATTGGCATAGAAGAGGACTAAAGTAGACCAAGAACTCAAGAGCTGTCCATGAAAGCCATTTTAAAAAATTGATAAAGTGTTATTATCTTAAAGCCAGACTGTTTAAAATATGTATGTAGGGTTATTTTAAGGGAAAGTTTGCTTATGCTTTTTCTCAAAGGGTAGATGTATATGGAATCTATTGATTTGAATTTTAACACAAAAATAAGGTCATGCTTAAAAAGCATCATGCTGGTTTGAGATCTGCTTCATAGAACACTTAAGAGTTTTCATGACTGATAACATAGAGACTTTAGTTATTATTTTCACTCGTTTCTTATCTGCTCTCCAAATCCTATAACTGATTGTAAAGGAAGAGGTGAGGAAGGTAAAGTGCTGGTAAAGCTGTTAGGGAAGAAAAGGGAAGTTAAAAACAGCTATCACTCAGCTTAATTCTCAAGAGCTGATGTGGGAGGGATGGCTAAGAAAGGTTAGGGACAGAAGAGTCATCTGTTTTGGTCCCTACTGGGTGTCTCACCATGTCTTTGCCTCCCAATGAAGGCACACACACTTTTGTTTGTTGTGGAACAGGAAGGCCGCCATCTGAATAGCTCTTTTGCTTTTTTTTTTTTTTTTTTTTTTTGGAGATGGTGTCTCGCTCTGTCACCCAGGCTGGAGTGCAGTGGCACGATCTCTGCTCACTGCAAGCTCTGCCTCCCGGGTTCACGCCATTCTCCTGCCTCAGCCTCCCGAGTAGCTGGGACTACAGGTGCCTGCCACCACACCTGGCTAATTTTTTTTTTTTTTTTTTTTTTTTTTTAGTAGAGACAGAGTTTCACTGTGTTAGCCAGGATGGTCTTGATCCCCTGACCTCGTGGTCCATCTGCCTCGGCCTCCCAAAAGTGCTGGGATTACTGGTGTGAGCCACCGCACCCGGCTGAATAGCTCTTTTTATAGTACCTGGTATCCCCTTGACTCATCTACATCTGCTAGTCAATTATTTGGTTATCAGAACAGCCTATTGATGTGTTTTAGGTTGATCTGATGAGATCCCAGGTCTGGATGGGATTGCAAATGTTCTCTGCTCTCTTGTAGAATAATCCTGTATATTTGTTGACCCCAGTTTTTTTTTTTTTTTTTAAATGTCTGTGGTGCCACAGAAAAACTTATGTAATGGGAACCTAGTTGCTTAAGATAAATTAGCACACAGAGCTTATTAGAGATTAGCAAGCATCAGTCGTAATCAAGTACTCATGAGAACGAAATACAGAAGTAGTCCCTTCTCAGCTTTTTTTTTCTTTTTTTTTTTTTTTTTTTGAGATAGAGTCTTGCTGTGTCACCAGGCTGGAGTGCAGTGGCGTGATATCACCTCACTGCAACCTCCGCCTCCTGGGTTCAAGTGATTCTCCTGCCTCAGCCTTCCAAGTAGTTGGGACTACAGGCATGCACCACCATGCCTGGCTAATTTTTTGTATTTTAGTAGAGACGGGGTTTCACCGTGTTGGCCAGGATGGTCTCGATCTCCTGACCTTGTGATCTGCCCAGGCCTCCCTAAGTGCTGGGATTATGGGTGTGATCCACTGTGCCCAGCCTCAGTGAGCTTTCTAATTATGAGACTAGGGGCACAGTGGCATGCATCTGTAGTCCTACGTACACAGGAGGCTGAGGCAGGAGAGTGCTTGAGCCTAGGATTTCGAGACCAGCTTGGACAACATAGCAAGATGCTGTCTCAAAAAAAAAAAATTATAAGGTCCAGAATACCAGTCCTTATTGGTATTAGGCACTTGATACTCAGGGAGAACTGGATTTTCTGTTTTCTTACACATCTGTGTATCTTTTTCAGAGCCATCCAGAAATGGGCTTGGTGACGACCCCTGTCAGTCCTGCTCCTACAACCCCAGTCACACCACTTGGGACCACACCGCCTTCCTCTGATGGTGAGCCCACCACCACTTTGTTTTTCTTGGTTAATATGATCTTAGATCTCTCAGAGTGAGCATAGCTGTGTTCAACAAAGAACCTACGTAGTTGTTAATTTTTCCCACTAAATTGGTCTGTAGTACTATCCTTCAGGCCTCCTAAATTTCCAAAGAAAACTTTGGAAAAAGACAGTCCAGTGATTTTCTCTGTAAAAGAAGCTTACATAACTCTAGCTTTTCCTCCTCAGGGAGTAGTTGTAGAGGCATGGAGTGCTAGACCTGCAAGGTCAGTAATGCCTGTCCTGCCACACTCTCAGAGTCCTTGTGAGGCTCAGATGAGATATTTTGTGAAAAATGTCACCTTGTGATTATAAAGCACTGAAATGAATGTAAAATAGTAATGTTATCTGATGTTACCATTTGATCAATGAGGGAATTAAGGCCAGAGAAATGAAGCAGTTTGCCTAAGATTAGTGAGAGTAGAGACTGAGAACCCAAACATGTAAGCAGGATCTTGTCTATTTTGTTTACTACTAAATGCCTAGCATAGTGCCCAGCATGGTACTTGCTTAATAAATATTTGTTGAATAAATGAATGAGAATGTGAACCTGGCACTCACTCACTGTTATGTGTCTATCAGCCACTCCCAGTTGGAAAGGACAGGCTTTGAGTGTATTATAATTGGGAGTTTGGTGGATACGTAAGATTTATCTCCCTCAAGACAACAACGGTGAAAATTTCCCCTTCATAAATCTTATGGCTGGAACCTAAGAAAAAGGCAACAGAAAAGAAATTATGAATTTTTGCCAAAAATTTTGAGGTCTATTATAGGCTGAGTGTGTTTGGTGGAATATTGTAACCTAAAAACAATCTATGTTAATATTTGATGTTGTAGCTCAAAGATTGACCTTGTTTTGGTAAAGAAGTACAGACAATCCAACTTTGATACTTTCTTTTTGCCTCCCCACTGTTTGTACGTGAAATGACCTTCTTTATTCTTTCTCTCCTTTAAGTTTTCATATACCACCCGTGGCAGTAACATTTCCAGGCAGTATAAACAGTACAGAACTATGACAGGGAGGTGCCATTGTTAGTTATATATATGGTAGCAAATTGGATCTGTTTAGAATTGAAAGCCAAATCCCAAAATATCTTTTTTTTTTTTTTTTTTTTTTTGAGACAGAGTCTTGCTGTCATTTAGGCTAGAGTGTGGTAGTGTGATCTCGGCTCACTGCAACCTCTGCCTCCCAGATTCAGGCGATTCTCATGCCTCAGCCTTCTGAGTAGCTGAGATTACAGGCATGTACCACAATGCCCGGCTAATTTTTGTATGTTTATTTTTATTTATTTATTTGTTTTTGAGACGGAGTCTCGCACTGTTGCCTAGGCTGGAGTGCAGGGGTGCGATCTCAGCTCACCGCAACCTCCACCTCCCAGGTTCAAGTGATTCTCCTGCCTCAGCCTCCCTGGGACTACAGGTGTGTGCCACCATGCCCGGCTAATTTTTTGTATTTTTAGTAGAGATGGGGTTTCACAGTGTTAGCCAGGATGATCTCGATCTCCTGACCTCGTGATCCGCCTGCCTCGGCCTCCCAAAGTGCTGGGATTACAGGCGTGAGCCACCACGCCTGGCCAATTTTTGTATTTTTAGTAGAGATGGGGTTTCACTGTATTGGCCAGGCTGGTCCCGAACTCCTGACCTCAGGTGATCCGCCTGCCTCGGGCTCCCAAAGTGCTGGGATTACACCCATGAGCCACCATGCCCAGCCCCAAAATATCTTACTGAGAAGGAGCAAGTAGTAAGGATTGCCTACTTGTCTCTGTTTATTCAGGCCACAGAATAACCCAATGGAAATACAGTACTTTCTCTTTAAGAATGAACCCTGCCTGGTTACCATGGATATCAAAAGCCATATATATATATATGAGTTCCATGTGATGTTGGGGTTTGGATGCTTCAGAGAACTGCCTTTCAAACTGTTCATTGTGAACACTTCCACCCACACACTTGATTATGCAATGGTAGGATTTGTGCTTACTTACCTACAACCAGTGAGCTTTTATTTTTTCTAGTGGGAAGATCAAGTCAGCCCACTTTCAAATGACTGTCTCCCTTGACAAAAGCTGCTGGGAAGAATTATGAAGCCAAAGATCAAGGAATGACTCTTCCTTAGGAAGAAGATTTTAATTTGTGAGGGATTTTATTCTGTCTCTGTTCTATTTGTTCTTTTCCCTGTCTCCTAACTCATTTCCTTCTGTAGGGTTCCTAAGTATTACAACCTTGTTTTTAATTTTTAGATCTTAATTATAGTGGTGTTCAGTAGCCCACTTATATTTAAAGGTATGTCACCAGAGCCATATTTTTAAAAGCCGGCAGTTTAGCTATAACATTTGTTCTCAGCTCAGACTTGACATTTGACAACTCAGCCTTGGCATGAGAGGACTTTCTGGTAAACTAAAAATACATATACTTCTATATTTCTACATATTATATAAGATAGTTTTCCAGTTATTGCTGTGTATGAGCAGGAAAAAAGCCCCACTTACCAGTTAGGTGCCTCCTTGTATTGGACAAAGGGATGATTACGGGTTCTGAGCTTCAAAACAGGCTGTGGTTTGAAATGACAGTCTTGGGTCATTAACCCATAACATGAATTAAAACCTTTTAGTATTTCAACATAAAAATATATTTGTCTTATATTAGCTCTTGGAGGCCTAACTGGGAAAATAGCCAGGGGTTGGGCATGCTGATTTCTTTTCATAAGGCTTTTTGTTGTGCTTGCTGTTTATTATGGGTTCATAAAATGCAAATGTTTCTCACTGTTCATAAATGTTCTCTGCATATGTCGTAATAACTCCAGAGGGATCTGTTATGGTTATGAATACATATTATGAGTAATATCCCAAAGTCAACTGAGTCTTCATGGCTGAAAATGTAGCAGAAAGCCATAGATTCTCTAGCTTTTTTGGGCCATTATAAGACTCCTTTTAACTTATATATTGTGTCTTAGGCAGTGTAAAAGCACTTAACAAGAGGTCTGAGTCTAATTTAAAGTCTTAGAATTTTGGGAAGCCTACATTAAGACTTTGTTCTGGGCCAGGCACAGTGGCTCATGCCTTAATCCCAACACTTTGGGAGGCCCGAGGTGGGTGGATTGCTTGAGGTCAGGAGTTCAAGACCAGCCTGGCCAACATGGTGAAACCCTGTTTCTACTAAAATACAAAAATTAGCTGGGCATGGTGGTGGGTGCCTGTAATCCAAGCTATTTGGGAGGCGGAGGCAGGAGAATTGCTTGAACCCAGGAGACGGAGGTTGCAGTGAGCTGAGATGGCACCACTGCACTCTAGCCTGGGCAACAGAGCGAGACTCTGTCTCAAAAAAAAAGAAAATACTGTGTTCTGTGGTCAGCCCTGGTCATTAGAGGCCAATTATCTGTCATTGTTCATTGGGACTGTGGCTCAGAGAACTGGGTGGGGGATTTCTCTTAGAAACATCAGCTAGGTATGTAAAACTCAGTTCCCAGGCTGTTCCAATCAGTAATGTTCATCTGTTTTTATTTATTTATTTATTTATTTATTTATTTATTTATTTATTTGTGACAGAGTCTCGCTGTGTCACCCAGGCTGGAGTGCAGTGGCGCCATCTCGGCTCACTACAACCTCCGCCTCCCGGTTTCAAGCAATTCTCCTGCCTCAGCTTCCCTAGTAGGTGGGATTATAGGCACCGACCACCATGCCCAGCTAATTTTTGTATTTTTAGTAGAGATGGGGTTTCACCATGTTGGCCAGGCTGACCTCGAACTCCTGACCTTAGGTGATGTGCCCAACTCGGGCTCCCAAAGTGCTGGGATTACAGGCGTGAGCCACTGCGCTTGACCTGTTCATCTGTTTTCAGTCTACTATTACTTTCAGTTCCCTTAAGCGGGGAAGGGAAGTCTGCCACTTAATAGTGGTAGAATTTGAATATAGTTCTGCCTTAACATTTTCCCCTCTCTATCATGGGTACGTCCAGCCTAAAGACTTGTTCTCAAAATTCAGCAAGATTTCTCCTTGTTAGGGAGGAATCTTCACTGATTTCAAGCAGGAGACCCATCAAAGTAAAACTCATTTATATTCAATACAGATCTTTCCTTCAGGTAGAAATCGAAGTTTCTTTAAGAAGGGCCTTAAACTCTTTGGGGATACTTGGGGCAGGAAGTGGAATCAACATACCCTTCCCAGGATGTTGGGAGAAAAAGCACCGTTCTTGGAGACTGGCCCTAGATAGGAGAGCAGGTCACTGGGCTTAATTTGGGGAATAGGAAGGGGGCTCTACAGGCTTAGGAAGAGTAGATAAAAGTTTTGTGATGAGCACTTGGTCCTCCCTCTGTTGTGGAAAAAGCTTATTTAGTGATTTTTTTGCCTGCTGGCAAATTGGCTATGTGGGTAGAAGTGTTAGATGGAATATGTTGCAGGCTAAGTGCATTTTATCTGTTCTATTCCAGTTATAAGTTCTGTGGAACTCCCACTGGATGCAGATGTACAGACCAGTAATCTACTGATAACCTTTTTAAAGTATAGCTCAATTGTCATGCAGGACACCAAAGGTAAGCCATAGCTATTTTGGGGGCTCAGGAAGTCAAAGGTGTGGCAGGCAGCTAGCATCAAAGAGCAACATTAATATTTTGAAGCTTTGACAAGATGAACTATTGGGGCCTTGTGTACATGGTCTTCATTGCTGGAAAATAGTGATGTCTCACCTAATTGCTAGATGGCAATTAGGTGGTGTTGGGAAAACCTGAAGCTGGAGGGGAGTACTCAAAAATAGAACAGGAAAAAAATTGGTCTCTTTGAAAGCTAGCAAATCTTCTTAGCAGATCTTGGTAAGTAGATGCAGACTCTTATGTGTGGGAAGTGGAGGGATTAGCACGCTTCAGGGAATTCCCTTTTGAGGACAGGAACTGAAAGCATCAGCTCGTGGTGAGAATTAGAGGACTGTCGTACACAGTACAGTAGGAAGAGGTGAGATTCAGAGGGACTCTGTTCTTGAACACTTAAAATAGAAGTGTCAATACCCATCCTAGAAATGCAAGAGTGGAAGTGGGAGAGGATTGAGTGTTGGAAAAGTTTGAGGTTTTGTTGTGTGATTTCCTGTTTTTCCTCTGTTTGTGATTTTGCCATGGCCTTTTACTTGGTGGTAGAGTAGTGGAGTAGTTGTCCTAGGATTGAGAAGGGGTTGGAAGGAGACACAGCAAATTCTATCCAGTATATATCTTAGTTTTGTTTTTTTTCCCCTACTTAGCATTTTTCTTTATACAGGATTTATGTGAGTGTTCACAATTTTTATGTTTGTTTTTATTGTGGTAAAGTATATATAACAAAATTTACCATCTTAACCATATTTAAATGTACTATTTAGTTGCATTACCTACTTCCATATTTTTGTACAACCATCATCACTGGCTGGGTACGGTGGCTCATGCCTGTAATCCCAGCCCTTTGGGAGGCTGAGGCGGGAGGATCACTTGAGGCCAGGAGTTCAAGACCAGCCTGGCCAACATGGTGAAACCTTGTCTGTACTAAAAATACAAAAATTAGCCGGCCGTGGTGGCATGTGCCTGTAATCCCAGCTACTCGAGAGGCTGATACAGGAGAATTGCTTGAACCCGGGAGGTGGAGGTTGTAGAGAGTTGAGATCGCGCCACTGTACCCCAGCTTGCATGACAGAGTGAGACTCCATCTCAAAAAAAAAACAACAAAACTATCATCACCATCCATCTCTAGAACTTTTTATTTTTCTGTTTTTTGAAGGCAGGGTCTCAGTCTGTCAGCCAGGCTGGAGTGCAGTAGTGTGGTTTCAGCTCACTGCAGCCTTGACTTCCTGGGCTCAGGTGATTCTCCCACCTCAGGCTCCTGAGTAGCTGGGACTACAGGTGTGCACCATTATACCTGGATAATATTTTTTTTGTGTGTGTATTTTTTGTAGATACGGGGTTTCGCCATGTTGCCCAGGCTGGTCTTGAACTCCTGGGCTCAAGTGATCTGCCCGCCTTGGCCTCCCAAAGTACTGGGATTACAGGTGTGAGCCACCGCACCTGGCCTCAGAACTTTTTCATCTTACAAAATGGAAACTCTATACCCATTAAACACTAATACCCCATCCTCCTCTTGCCCCAAGGCCTGACAGCAACCATTCTGCTTTCTGCCTCTATAAATTTGACTGCTCTAGGAACCTGATATAAGTGGAATATATCCCAGTTTTAGGATTGCCTGGAAGTAAGCCTTTGATTTCATGGTGACACTGAGCTAGCATTTTTTCTTCCATTTTTTGTAATGAAAAAATTCTAGTATACAGAAGTTGAAAATAATTGTGAAGTGATTTACCTATATACTCATGAACATTTTACCATACTTGGTTTGCACTTAAATTTCTTTCTGTGTGTTGTTGTTGTTATTTTGGCTGAATCATTTTATTTTATTTTATTTTTTATTTTTTTGAGACAGAATCTTGCTCTGTTGCCTAGGCTAGAGTGCAATTGCAACCAAGGCTCACTGCAACCTCCGCCTCCTAGGTTCAAGCCATTCTCCTGCCTTAGCTTCTGGAGTAGCTGGGACTACAGGCATGTGGCACAACACCTGGCTAATTTTTGTATTTTTAGTAGAGACGGGGTTTCATTGTGTTGACCAGGCTGGTCTCAAACCCCTGACCTTGTGATCCGCCCACCTCAGCCTCCCAAAGTGCCGGGATTACAGGTATGGGCCACCACGCCCGGCCTGGCTGAATCATTTTAAATGAAGTTGCAGACATCATGATTCTGCTTTACACATAAATATTTTAACATGTATCACCTAAAGTTAAGGACATTTTCCTAGATATCCAGAATACCATTATTATATCTAAGAAAGTCAACAATAATTCTGTAGTATCATGTAATATTTAGTCCCTATTTCAGTATCCCCATTTGTCCCCAAAATGCTTGCTTTTTTGGGACACAAAGCTAGCATTTTAATGAACATTTTTATTAGCATTTCTTTTGGTACCTACAGATTGATCCAGTGGGCTTCTCCTATTTAAAAGGATTTTTTGGCTGGGCGCTGTGGCTCACACCTGTAATCCCAGCACTTTGGGAGGCCTAGGTGGGAGGATCACCTGAGGTCAGGACTTTGAGACCAGCCTGGCCAACATGGTGAAACCCTGTCTCTACTAAAAATACAAAAATCAGCCAAGCATGGTGGTGGGTGCCTGTAATCTCAGCTGCTTGGGAGGCTGAGGCATAAGAATCGCTTGAATGCGGGAGGCGGAGGTTGCAGTGAGCCAAAATCATGCCACTGCACTCTAGCCTGGGCAACAAGGGCAAAACTCTGTTTCAAAAAAAAAAAAGGATTTTTTTTCCTAATTACAAAAATAATTGAAATATTCTTATTAAAAATTAAAACATTCTAGCAATAGTTAACTTAGAAAGTGAAAGTTCTTTGTAATTTAAACTCTCCAGAGTTAATCACTCTTAACAATTTGGCATAGATTCTTCCTTTTTAAGGCTTCTTTATAAGAATCTTTAAATCCTTTTTAGGAACTAACTGTCCAGTAGTTTATATTTGGGTTCTTAAATTATGGTCCACAGATGAACTTCAGATTCCTAAATAACAAAAAAACCATTTCCACTTTAGAAGCAAAATTGCTGAAATACTATGGTTTTTGCCACTTTACTTTCTGTGAGGAGAGATTAATGCCTTGTAGGTGGTTTAAGTTTCCCTTAGGCATTAAGTATACTCTAGAAGTCTCTTATTTGCCAAGTGAGGTAGGTAGGTTTCTGGTTGGAGAGTTTTCAGAAGTCTAAGAATGGAGCTGAAAGGCAAGAACTGCATAGGAGGAGAAGACCAGGATTCGGAGACTTTTAGAGTGAGAAAGAAACATTGGTAGACAGAGACAGGAGAGCTAAAAGGTAAGTATGGGAAATGAAGAATTGCCAGAGCAGAAAGGAGCCTGGGTGGGCAGAGTCTAAGATATGTTACACTCAGACATATTGTATTAGCTCTTGGAGATTTCTGCCTTGCAAACTTAGACTTTTTTCTTCCTTTATGTTTTGCAAGTGTTCTCTTTCAAGAAAGAGAGAGCTATATCAGGGATGAGATAGATTTAAGTAGTCCATGTCACTAACTCCTAACATAAAACAGTCCATTGGGAGCTGCAGAGATAGCTGAACCTCTGAGACTTGGCAAGAGAGATCTGGTAAGCAAGGATAACCAGACTTGTGTATCACTTTCTTGAAGCCATTGCTTCTTTATGGAAATGGTAACCTCTTCCTTTCTCTAGAAGTATTGCAGCAACCACAGAATAGAGACACTGCATGGATGTGACCTAGAAAATGAACTTTTAGCTTTGCCGGATATAACACAGTGAACTGAGGCCCTTGGAACTCATTTTTAGCTTTAGTGATTATATAAGCTTCTTTGTCTTGGTCACTTGCCATCCATAAAATGGAAGGCAAAATTAAAGGCTGATTAATTGTAGAATGAGTGGTCTTGGCCAACAGGCAACCTAAATATGGCAAAGGGCAAGGTTAGGAATGAAGAGTTAATTTCAAAAATGACTCCTGTGTGGCTTTATTGGCCCAGCTTTCTTCCTGCCTCAGCCCCTGCTGCATGCCTTGGCTAACAGCATCTCATTATGTTTTTAGCAGCAATAGAAGCAACTTTTTCTTGGCTCTGTTTCCACCACCGCCATGAGGATATTATCTTTTTCCTTTTTCTTATATATTTATCCTTTAAACCCAAAAAGATACTTTTAATAGATATGTATAATAAGGTATAAAGTTTATAATAACTATAATAAATAGCATAACTTATAAAGTATAATAATAAAATGAACATATGTGAACCTACCACCCAACTTAAATAAAACAACATTAATGCTGTTGAAGCTACCTGTGTGTCCCTCCCCAATCACTTCTCTCCTCTCCATTCTCCAGAATTTTTTTTTTTTTTTTGAGACGGAGTCTTGCTCTGTCGCCAGGCTGGAATGCAGTGGCACGATCTCAGCTCACTGCAACCTCTGCCTCCCGGGTTCAAGCGATTCCCCTGCCTCAGCCTCCTGAGTAGCTGGAATTACAGGCTTGCGCCACCATGCCCAGCTAATTTTTTGTATTTTAGTAGAGATGGGGTTTCACCATGTTGGCCAGGATGGTCTCGATCTCCTGACCTTGTGATCCACCCGCCTCGGCCTCCCAAAGTGCTGGGATTACAGGCATGAGCCACCACGCGTGGCCCAGAATTTTGTATTTATCATTCCTTTGGTTTTGTTTGTTTGTTTGAGACAGAGTCTCACTCTGTCACCCAGGCTGGAGTGCAGTGGCATGATCTTCTCGGCTCACTGCAACCTCTGCCTTGTGGATTCAAGCGATTCTCTTGCCTCAGCCTCCTGAGTAGCTGGGATTACAGGTGCATGCCACCACGCCTGGCTGATTTTTGTATCTTTAGTAGAGAAGGGGTTTCACCATGTTGGCCAAGCTTGTCTCCAACTCCTGACCTCAGGTGATCATCCCACCTCAGCCTCCCAAAGTGCTGGGATTAGAGGTGTGAGCCACTGAGCCCAGCCCCTATTCCCTTGGGTTTTCCCCTGCTTTTAAAGCCTTTATTACTTGGGATTTTTCTGACTTTGGTGGTGTCACCTTAAAGAAGCTTCTGCTCAACCTTTATAATAGATACTAGGCAAAAAATTGTAAAAACCATGTATATCTATGCATAGACTTAAAGTTGATTCACCAAAGTCTTAACAGTTATAACATTTGGGTGGTATGATTAAATTTGATTTTCATTGTTTTGTGTGTATATGCTTTTTTAGAGTTTAAAAGACTGTCTATAATGAAATAAGCCTAGTTTTGTATTCATAAACACTTTAATTTTAAAATTAAAAAAAATTTTAAGTGGAGAGATAGCTGCAGGCTTTTCTGTGGGAGTTGCGTATCAGTTTGTGGGAGGATAGTGCCATAGAAACTGGCTAAAGGTGGGTAGAAGAGTTGTGAATCTAGTTTTCTGGAGGCAAGGGCATTACTCTTTGGCTATATCGGGGCTTTGATGAAGCTCCAGGGAGTGTCAGATAGGGATTGTCACCATTACTCTTTTTGCATTGCCTATCTCTGAGGAGATGTGAGTATATTTGTGGATTGTAATCCCCATTATGCCATCTAATTGTCAGGTTTTAATTGATAGATCCCATTTTTGAGAAAGAAGCAGGTCAATGTCAGGGTAAATAGTAATAGCTAACTTCTACAGCACTCTAATCCATTAAGAGGTCTTCTCTCTAGATTGGACTTCATTCTGGGTCCTGTTGAAGCTAATTTGAAAATCATGAGCCATTTGTCTGTTTTGGCTATGCTGGCATGATCCTCTTCTTACTTCCTTTTCACTCCTTCACCCACAGAGTTTCTGGAAAGTAACATAAGCTTGATGGGTTCTCGTACTTGGCAGTAATGGATTAGCTCTTTTTTGTCCTTTTGTGTGTGGGCTTAGAGCCCTGCTACTGAGGTTGTCTTCTTCTTTTTTAATAACTAGAATGTGAGTTGTGAGAGACCAGGGACCTTTGTCTGTTTTATTCAGTGCTATATCTCTAGTGCCTTGCACAGTGCCTGCCACATAGTAGTGCTAAGTAAATATTTGTTGAATGAGTAACTTTGACAGGAAGAAAAATGATCAAGAGTTCACAGCTTTCTAGGGCATAAGTATACAATTGCAAGGAGAAGCGTGGGCTGGACCCTAGTCTCCAGTTAATTTCTTTTTGATTTCATTGCCAGTTTGCTATGAGCAGTCATGAAATCTTTCTAGATTTTGTGGTAGGTGGTGCTTAGAGCTGGCAGATGAGAGGGTGGGTGGAAAAGGAAATGGACCTGACTATTCAAGTTCTATCAGCAAAGGGCTGATGTGAGAGTACTGGCCACTATTTGAGCCATGACAGTAGGAACCATTGTGAGTTAGATGGCTTTCAGGAAGGTGGTTAGCCATTTAACAGACTACCAGGATATTAAAAAAATAAATCTTCTGGGGGAATTCTTTTGCCTAGGAGGGAAGCAAGAATTACTATAGTAGTACCTTGATTTTCATTTATGGATTTTGTGGGAAGAGAAAGTGTGAATGTTTCCTTTTATGATATACGTCCTTGTTCTGTATTGAAACAGATGATGTAAATCTGGATGATTTACAGAGAAGAGTTTCTTTTTTCTTTACAGATGAACACAGGCTTCACAGTGGCAAACTCTGTCTGATTATCCTTACATGTATTGCAGAGGTAGGTCTCACGAGCCTTCTGCTATTAGGCAGTCTTTTACAAAGTGCTATCTTTCCCTGCCTCCCCTCACCCCATTACTGTCTCATGACATTTAGGGTCCTAAAGTTTAGGAGAGAAAATCTTCCCCCTTTGTATTATCTGTCTTCTCCCACTAGAGTGTAGTCTTCGATGAAGCCATGGATAGACAGGGTCTTGTCTGCTTCCACGCTGTTTAGCACTGTGTTTTTAAACTGTGGAGCAGTTTGTTTGTTTGTTTGTTTTGAGACGGAGTATCGCTCTGTTGCCCAGGCTGGAGTGCAGTGGCATGATCTTGGCTCACTGCAACCTCCACCTCCCAGGTTCAAGCGATCCTCGTGCCTCGGCCCCTCTAGTAGCTGGGATTACAGGCAGTGCCACCTTGCCCGGCTAATTTTTGTAATTTTAGTAGAGATGGGGTTTTGCCATGTTGGCCAGGCTGGTGTCAAACTCCTGACCTCAGGTGATCCACCCACCTCGGCCTCCCAAAGTGCTGGGATTACAGGCGTGAGCCACCATGCTCGGCAGTGGAGCAGTTTAAAAAATAAAAAAGGAGCTCAGGTTTCCTGTGATGGGGTGAAGGGGTGGATAGTAAAGCCAGAGAGGGGAATTGGAAACTCAGTAATTGCAGTTTGCCGAGGAACAAGAGCTGAGGGGAAAAAAGAAGAGATGCTTTGGCTTTTTAAGAAGCCACTTTTGGTTGGACTAATTAGGTTCAAACTCACCATGTATCTTGGTGACACACAGGCATGGCAGAACTTGAGTGAGTTTAGAGCTAAATTTATAGCTTCAACCTCCCCCTTTACTATTCCCCACTCTGCTCTTTTCTCTCTTAAGAAAAATGGTGAAGATATTCCACATGAAGTAGAGATCTCTCTCAGTCTCTCTCTCTTCATGTTCTCTGTGGAAAGATGACCTCCTTTTCACAAGATTAGGGGTGGCTGGTTATGGAAGAGCTGCTTATTAGCAGTGGGCCTGGTATAATTGCTTTTCAAAAATCTTTCTAAGAAAATCTTTAAAGGAGTTGTTTTTCACAAATTGTAACAGTTCCTTGTAATTGGAGTCTGTAGGCTTGTCAGATCTTCAGAAAAGGTATTGGGAAAGGGCCAAGGGATGTTTATTACTAATCCATGGTAAGAGGTTTTTGATTTTCTGTCAGTCTTCAGGAAAGCCCGGAATAGACAGGGTCTTGCCTGCTTCCACGCTGCCTGTGTAGCAGTTTGCTTCTGTTGGGCTGAACCCATTCCCAGCAGAGCACAGATTTTTCTTCTTGCTCCTAAACCCTCATGTGGAGCCTGCACATGAATCCTGCAGCCTCTGTGAAAACCTTAAACTATCACAAACAGAGCCAGCTCCTTGGGCAGATGGGACGGAAGAGGGAATAGGAAAACAGATTACTCTCATTCCTCTCAGCATCTGCCTTAAGTCCCTGCGTCTTAATTTTTATTGTTTTTGCTTGGAAATTTTTGACCAGTTAGAGATACACTGGGAAATTACACTAAAGAAAAATCTCATGGCTTAAGTAGGGTTTGACATAAGGCTCTAGGCTCATCCTATTAGCTGTCCAGCTGATCCTTGAAAGTAGTTCTCAAAGTCCAAGGATTTGTACGAAGTGTGATAGATTACAGTTTCTTAAATATAGCTCTCGCTTCTTACTTTTTCTCTATATTTTTATTAGGATCAATATGCCAATGCATTTTTGCATGATGACAACATGAATTTTCGAGTAAACTTACATAGAATGGTAGGTGTTTCTTTTGCTTCTTGTTTTTTCTTAGAGGAAATTTTTTGTATGTCGGCAGGGTTGGGATGAAATTGATCTTACTAGAACAAATGTGGGTGGAAAGTTGTGCCAAAGGGCTTTGCATGACGGCTGTTCAACAGACCCATGCTTGTTGTTGGGATTTTTGTGTGTCATGGAGCTGTTTCTTAATCAAGAGTTTTGGAAGATTCACAAGCGTGGCAATGATACTGGATTTCTTTTTTTTTTTTTTTCTTTTTTTGAGGGAGAGTCTCTCTCTCTCTCTCTCCCCCCCAGGCTGGAGTGCAATGGTGTGATCTCTGCTCACTGCAACCTCTGCCTCTTGGGCTCAAGCAGTTCTTCTGCCTCAGCCTCCTGAGTAGCTGGGATTACAGGTGGCTGCCACCACGCTCGGCTAATTTTTGTATTTTCGTTACAGATGGGGTTTCACCACGTTGGCCAGGCTGGTCTCCAGCTCCTGACCTCAGATGATCTGCCCGCCTTGGCCTGCCAAAGTGCTGAGATTACAGGTGTGAGCCACCGCGCCTGGCCTGATACTGGATTTCAATAATATAGGTTTCAGCAAGGAAATGGTTCTAAGCCTTTTGTTTTCAAAATGTAGTATAATTTTTGAGTGGCTAAGACTAGCTGCTGCTCAGATTTGTTCATCTGAGAAGTGGGCAAATAGAATATGGAGGATCAGGGAATTTCTTAAAGCTTGGAGGTATGTTAAAAAATATCACATTGAGGGCCGGGCTTGGTGGCTCATACCTGTAATCCCAACACTTTGGGAGGCCAAGGCGGGATCACAAGGTCAGGAGATTGAGACCACCCTGGCTAACAGGATGAAACCCCGTTTCTACTAAAAGTACAAAAAATTAGCCGGGTGTGGTGGCAGGCACCTGTAGTCCCAGCTACTCAAGAGGCTGAGTCAGGAGAATGGCGCGAATCCAGGAGACAGAGCTTGCAGTGAGCCGAGATCGTGCCACTTCACTCCAGCCTGGGCAACAGAGCGAGACTCCGTCTCAAAAAAAAAAAAAAAATTACATTGAGGTTTAGATGTAAAACTTTCTTTATTTTTTTGCAACTACTACTGTTGCTGCTTCTATAGGTGGCACCATCACTTCCTCTTTTTTTTATTATTATTATTTATCGTCAAAGAAAAACACCAGTGTACCTCTTTTGTCGTTAGTAATGCCACTTATATAACTAAAAGCAAAGTAAAACCAACAGTTTTCCCATTGTAGTATTCTCTAGTGCCCTTTGAGGTTGTGAATTGTAATTTTGTAACAGGCGTGCATTGATAACTGAAGCATTCACAAGTCCTCCCTTCCCCGCCTCATCCCATGCTACCTCATTCCTCTCCCACCATGTGAAAAAGAGAAAGAAAAGGAAGTATCCCTGTAATAGTGATTTTATTTGCACAAGGAACATGATGATGGGCCATTGGATGTCAGTGCCGGTGTCTACTAATTTCCTTTCTTCATTTTTTTGGTGTGAAGCCTATGAGACACAGGAAGAAGGCAGCAGACAAGAATCTTCCCTGCCGTCCTTTAGTATGTGCAGTACTGGGTGAGTGAGTATCATCAACATTGACATTGTTCTGTGACAGCGATAGGCTTTCATGATGAAGATGAAGAGTAGAACCTGTTTGATGTGCTTCTTCCGCAAATAAATTATTAGTTGTGTTTTTTCCCTGGCCTAAGAATCATGTTTATTGTTGTGTTTGGTAAAGCAACCCCAGTTATAGAGTGGTCAATAAAAGGGTCCTGTTGTTCAAAGAAAAAAGTCATTCCAGTGAGACAAATGGCTGTGTCTAAACTTGATACATGATTTACAAGATACATGATCAAGATTTCAGGCTGGGCGCAGTGGCTCACACCTGTAATCACAGCACTTTGGGAGGCTGAGGTGGGCGGATCACTTGAGGTCAGGAGTTTGAGATCAGCTTGGCCAACATGGTGAAAACCTGTCTGTACTGAAAATACAAAAATTAGCTGGTCGTGTTGGCGTGCGCCTGTAATCCCAGCTACTCAGGAGGCCGAGGCAGGAGAATCGCTTGAACCCAGGAGGCAGAGGTTGCAGTGAGCCAAGATCACGGCATTGCACTCCAGCTGGGGCGAGACTGCATCTCAAAAAAAAAAAAGATTTCAAATTCTTCCCATCCTTTCTTGGTTTGAATTGATGTGCTGGCTGGCCAGGAGGCTTGAAGTTCATGGTTTACATATACAAAACTTCCCCTGAGTATATTAAACTGAGATGAGGCTGACTGAGTTGACAGGTAGGGGGCTGTATCTTGGGTAATTTTGTCTGTCCAGAATTCTGCATTTTCCTCAGGGAATTAGCTGAATTCTTAATCCCATTTCACTTGGATATTCAGCCCCAGTTTCTAAATCTACTTAATTTTAGAAACAGTAATTAAGGCTGTATAATAAGCCTCTCTTGACCCAAAGCCCCACAGCCCATTTCAGTCAATATCTGTCTAACTGAGCATGATAGTAAGATGAGATTGACTGACATAGCTTTAGAGCTGAGTCTCTGGTTACACAAATGTGATCCATAATTTCTTCTCAGAGCTTGCTTCATTGTCTAGTCTCAGAATATGATTTCCCTTTGGCAGTCTGCATTAATGCCATGGGATGAAATATCTATACAATGAAATTTTCCATTTATCTGAATTTATTGGCAGGTCAGGGTATCCTTCTGGAGGTCAGCAAGTGAAATAATTTCTTATTACTTTACAAGTGGCAGGTGGTGAACAGTGTTACACAAAATGCGTTATATAAAATAAGTGTATATGAATAAAGATGTGGTTAGTGGATGCCGTTCAGTGTGAGTGCAAGGTGTACTCAGAAGCTTTTTTTCCAACTCAAAGACAAGAAATGAATTCCATTGTAATTGATCCAGTTTTTCTCTATTCCCCTTTCAGACCTGATGGTAGAGTTTATTGTAACACACATGATGAAGGAGTTTCCTATGGATCTCTATATGTAAGTACAAATATGTACACATTTAATGTGTACAAATCTATTTTAAAGAACTGAATGTTAGAAAATTCATGGTCTGTGTAGGCCGGGCGCCATGGCTCACGCCTGTAATACCAGCACCTTGGGAGGCCGAGGCGGGCGGATCACAAGGTCAGGAGATCGAGACCACGGTGAAACCCCGTCTCTACAAAAAATACAAAAAATTATCTGGGCGCAGTGGTGGGCGCCTGTAGTCTCAGCTACTTGGGAGGCTGAGGCAGGAGTATGGCGTGAACCCAGGAGGCGGAGCTTGCAGTCAGCTGAGATTGTGCCACTGCACTCCAGCCTGGGCGACAGAGCGAAGACTCTGTCTGGGAAAAAAAAAAAAAAAAAAAGAAAGTTCATGGTCTGTGTATACTTTAAGAAAAACACATTTGCATGTGGAGAAGTGTTAGGGAACATTTTCTGGCCTGGATCTGTACATCTTTTCAGAAGAGGTAATAAGCACAAACCACAATGTGGATTCTGCACATATCCGCATGATCACTTCTAGGCACACTGCATGAAGAGGGAGCCGACACATGAATATAGTGATCGCAGGGGTCTGTTGTAATCAAAGATATGCAATACCAGCAGACCACTTAGTTGTCTCTGAGCTTTCGCATTAGGTAGGACGAATTTAGAGAGAGATAGCGCTTCTGATCCATTCTTAGCCTACATTGTCCTGACAGCCTAGCTGGAGCCCTATTATCTGGGCAGATTATGTCTCCAGTGGCCTCGCCGGGAGAGTCCTGCCTCCTGAGGAGAACTGTTTGACCATCACAGTTTTTTGTTTTTGTTTTTGTTTTTGTTTTGAGACGGAGTCTCACTCTGTTGCCTAGGCTGGAGTGCAGTGGCATGATCTCGGCTCACTGCAACCTCTGCTTCCCAGGTTCAAGTGATTCTTCTGCCTCAGCCTCCCAAGTAGCTGGGATTACAGGTGCACACCACCATGCCCTGCTAATTTTTGTATTTTTACTAGAGATGGGGTTTCACCATCTTGGCCAGGCTGGTCTCTAACTCCTGACTTCAGGTGATCCGCCCACTTCAGCCTCCCAGTGTGCTGGGACTACAGGCATGAGCCACCACACCTGGCCGACCATCACAATTCTTTATAATGAGCACAACTGGAGGCAACTCAGAATCATCATATTTTCTTTTTACTTTGTGACAGGGCCTCACTGTGTTGCCCAGGCTGGTCTTCAACTCCTAGGCTCAAGCAGTCCTCCCACCTCAGCCTCCCAAAGTAGCTGGGACTACAGGTGTGTGCCATTACACCTAGCCATTATCATATTTTAATAAAGTTTAAACCTTAAGAGTTTTGTTTCTCCTTTGCCACTCCTCCTACATTCTTCTCTTTAACACCCAAGAACAGCTGTGCCACATTAATGTGATCTCAAATATGTATATTATCTTTAGTCCTTATAAAACATCTGAATTGAGTGTGACATCAGAATTGCTCCCTCCGATTTTTGGGCAAGAGGGTAATTTGGTGAACAGCAAATTGAGTAAAGCCCATTGCAGTGCCAGGCCTGGGATCTAGGGAGGTATAAAGGATTTCAGTCTAAATAGAGTAGACCTCTAGCTTGCTTTTTTTTTTTTTTTTTTTTTTTGAGACAGAGTCTTATTCTGTTGCCTAGGCTGGAGTGCAGTGGCATGATCTCAGCTCACTGCAACCTCTGCCTCCTGGATTCAAGTGATTCACCTGCCTCAGCTTCCCGAGTAGCTGGGACTACAGTCGCGCACCACCATGTTGGCTAATTTTTGTATTTTTTAGTAGAGACAGGGTTTCACCACATTGGCCAGGCTGGTCTAGAACTCCTGACCTTAGGTGATCTGCCTGCCTTGGCTTCCCAAAGTGCTGGGATTACAGGCGTGAGCCACTGTGCCCAACCTTCCGGCTTCTTAGATTGCTTATAAACTATATAGTCTTGCTTTCGTAGGTCTGAAATAATGATACAAATTTTACTTTTAGGTAAGTAGGTTGCAGTTTGCATTTTTCCATACCTTTTGGGTGTTTAGAAGTAAGTCTGATCCTTTATTTCAATTCAAAGACCATGAACAGTTGCTTTTTATAACACTTAACAGATGAGTGTTCAGCTTATTTTAGCTGGGGTCCCTGAACTTCATTATCTTAGGGTTCAGATTTGTTTTTGCTATGGACTTTATTTCTGGCTTATTTTATATCCTAGTTTTAGGATGTGCTATTTACTTTGTAACACGTATTACTGTAGTTTCAATTTTTTCATTTTAAAAGAAAGGAAACTGAGGCTCAGGAGATTAATTACTTTGCCCAGGGTTATTCTGTTAGTAAGCATCATTGCCTAGATTTGAACCCAAATTTTCTTACTATAAATTCTGAACTGTTACATTCCCAGGTGTATTAGTTATCTACTGCTGTGTAACAAACTACCCTAGACGTAGTGGTTTAAAACAAACATTTATCACCTCACAGTTTCTGTGGTTCAGGAATCCAGGAGAAACTTAACTGGATAGTTTTGGCATAGGGCCTCTCAAAAGGATGCTTTTTAAGGAATAAAGGTAATATGCATACTTGAGGATCACATTAACGTGGCACAGCTTTTCTTAAAGAGTGTTAAAGAGAAGAATGCAGAAGTGGCAAAGAATTAAAAAAAACCTTAAGGCTTAAACTTTATTAAAATAAGATGATGACCAGGTTAGTTGGGGCAGCAAGTATCTGAGATTCTACTGGGGCTCAAAAATCTGCTTTCAGGCTCACCTAATGGTTGTTGGTAAGCCTCAGTTCTTCACCACGTGGGTCTCTCCGTAGGGTTGGTAGGCATGGCAGCTGTCTTTCCCCAAAGCAGTTAATCTAAGAGAGAAAAGGGGAGCGAGAGCCCAGGATGGAAGCCATAGTATCATGTATAACCTAATCTCAAGTAACATATCATTTCTAATGGTCACACAGACCAACCCTGTTGCAATGTGGAAAGGGACTATATGAGTGTGTGAATACCAGATTGGGGTCCATCTTGCAGGCTGGTACCACAGTTGCACAGCTAGTAAGCTGCATAACTAAGGTTAAAATTCATGTCTGACCCCGGAGGCTGTTCTCTTAATCATGTCTGTGATAAGTGATGGAGGAAAGATTTGTATAGAGTGACTATGCTGACTGGAGCATTAGAGAAGATATCGGAAGGTTGCATTTGACCTGAGTCATGAAGAAACACTAGGGATTTTCTGTGTGGAGGAGTCAGGGAAGGACATACCACGTAGGGGACCAGCATGTTTAGGTGCTTGGAGGCTAGAAAATGTGGTATGTTTGGAGAATAGAGCATAATTCCAGGTGGTTAGAGTGTAGAGTGCATGGAGGGAGGATAAGAGAGTAGAAAAAAAGCTTGCCCAAGATTAAGTGGATGATGAGGAACAGTTGAAGGTGGGGCTGATATGATAAGATTGTATGTTCATTACTGTAAAGTTACAGGTATATTATCTGTTTACCCAAACCCCCACATTTCTAGCCAATGAACCTGGTCTACCCAAATGTTCTAACTCCCTCCTCGCCCTTGTTCATAACTTCACCCTCAAAAGAGTTTTTATCTTGCCTTGCTTTCTTAGGCGCTTTTTCCACCTGCTCCTTAATTTACTGCCCTGGGGTTAGGGAAGATGGAGAAGATAACGAGGCATCAAGTTGACAGAGGCTGGGCAGAAGGTCCCACCCTCAGGCTGAATTCACTTTCTTCATTACTACCCCTGGGCATGTTTCCAGATCTTCCTTCCCCCACTTCTAGCTCCCTTTCCAGTTTTTAGAATTTGAAGCATCAAGTCCTTATCAGGTGAACTTCCTGCTTCCAGCTGGGCAGCAGGCCAGGCTGCTGCTCTCACTTCTCATTATGTACCCCTTTTCGGCAGTATACAGCAGAATGAGAAATTGAAAGCAAAATGAATTTCTGCCATTTCAGATAAGTTTATAATCTTCCTAGTGAAATATGAAGAAATATGGAGTTTGGAAAGACTTAATACTCAAAGCCAGAATCTGGGTCAGAAATGAAACAATTTCACATCTGTGTGTGAATGCTGTAGGTAATGATGGGGGAAGGTGCTTATACTGAAGAAAAAAAAAAAAAGAAAGGTCTTGCCTGGAGCAGTTAAGAGGTAGCAAAACCGAACCAATTACTTTCACCTCCTAGCTGTACTCCTTGATTCTTGCTGCCACTCTCACTGCCACCACAGGATTGGGGAGTGAGGGGATATAGTCTCTGGGAGAGTAAATTTTCCTTTAAGTTACTCTTACATCGAAAACTTGGACTCTTCTTAAGTCACATATTTCCAAACCTGTAGGTAGGCATCAGAAGAAAGGTACAGACTTCAGTGGGTCCTACAGGAAGATTTCAGGAGAAAGTGGAACTCATTTTGTGTTGAAATAGGAAATTGCTACAAGCATGAAAGAAGCCCCACAAGAAGCACTAAATTTAGAGTCATTCTGCCAGTACATACATATGTGTGTGTGTGTTTGTGTGTGTGTGTGTATTTTATTTCATTTATTTTTATTTTTTTTTGAGACAGAGTCTCTGTGTTGCCCAGGCTGGAGTGCAGTGGCATGATCTTGGCTCACTGCAACCTCCGCCCCCCAGGTTCAAATGATTCTCATGTCTCAGCTTCCTGAGTAGCTGGGATTACAGGTGCCCACCACCACACCCGGCTAATTTTTTGTATTTTTAGTAGAGACAGGGTTTCACCATGTTGGCCAGGATGGTCTTGAACTCCTGACCTCCGGTGACCCATCCACCTCGGCCTCCCAAAGTGCTGGGATTACAGGAGTGAGCCACCGCGCCTGGCCTATGTGTGTAATTTTTTTTTAGAGGCAGGGTCTTGCTTTGTCGTCCAGGATGTAATGCAGTGGCACGATTATGGCTCACTCTAACTTGGAACTCCTGGGTGCAAGCAATCCTCCCACCTCAGTCTCATGAGTAACTAGGACTACAGGCTTGCACCACCATGCCTGGCTATTTTTATATTTTTTGTAGAGATGGGAGTTTTGCTGTGTTGCCTAGGCTGTCTTGAACTCCTGGCCACAAGTGATCCCCCTGCCTCAGCCTCCCAAAATGTTGGGATTTACAGGCATGAACCACTATGCCTGGCCTCCAGTATATATATATGCACACACATATACACATGTATGTATGTATATATACGTATTATATATACATGTATACATATATGTGTATATATAAACCCATGCGATCTGTATATATATATGTATATACATGTATATATACGTGTGTATATACGTATATACACATACGTATATACACATATATATACACACGTATATATACATGTATATACGTATATATATACATATATACGTATATATATACACACATATATATTCATATATGTGTACACGTATATATACATTATATTTATATATGTACACATGTGTGTATATATATGTACACGTGTGTGTGTGTGTGTGTGTGTGTGTGTGTGTGTATATATATTTTTAGATGGAGTCTCTTTCTGTTGCCCAGGATAGAGTGCAGTGGTGCTATTTCAGCTCACTGCAACCTCCGCCTCCCAGGTTCAAGCAATTCTCTGCCTCAACCTCCCAAGTAGCTGGGATTATAGGCAAGCACCACCACGCCCGGCTAATTTTTGTATTTTTGGTAGAGACGGGGTTTCACCATCTTGGCCAGGCTGGTCTTGAATTCCTGACCTCGTGATCGACCTGCCTCATCCTCCCAAAGTGCTGGGATTACAGGCGTGAGCCACTGTGCCTGGCCTCCAGTATATATATATATTTTTAAGGCCATAGCAGTGGTTAAAATTTTCATTCTGCTTGATAAATAGTATAAATTATTGAAACCACAAGGCTAATGATGTCACCTGTTGGTGACTGTGGAGACAGGAACAGAATCTAGGAGCAGTGCTGGAGTGGATGTGGATAGATGGCCGCAGGGGTTGGGGATGTAGGTCGCATCTCATTGGTGCTCTGGAGTGGCTCAGTGTTGGTGGGATGGCGTTATCAAAGGGGGCCAAATATAGGCCGTCCAGACCCAGGCCATACGAGAGGTGCTGGCATTCAGGAATGTACTGTGTGTGCATAGGTAGTCATGTATGGGCAGCATCTAGTCACATTTGCTGGCTGCAACAAAGCCATTAGCACCAGGAACCTCATGACTCTCAAGTTCATGGGAAAATTGACAGATGAGTTTGTAGATTGCTAAGGCAAATCATGCTCAAACAAGGGCATCATTAAGTGACAACTGTATCAAACAGGATCACATCACAATTTCTAAAAATCAGCAAATTATTTGGAAACAATTAGGATGATTTATATTGCAACTTATGTCACTTGGTAAGCAATTTTGGTACAGGCTTATGAGTGTAAAAAAACATAGTGTTTTTTCTGTTTTCTCACTCAACAACGACAATCAACACAGAAGACTTCTATGACCAAATGTGGGGAGGGTTTAGTCCCTACACACCAAGCAAGCAATCAGTTCTGTAGCAGATAGCAGCTGGGTGTACTGTATTTCAATTCTGACACTATCTACCTGGAGGTAGTTTCAGATCCCATGGGTTTAGGGCTCAGTCCCTAAGACTACCCCTGGCTTTCAAAGCCAATCAGAAGCCCAAGGTTATTTTGCCTGTGTTTCTGATGGACCGGCTATAAATTGGGGTTCCTACAACCTCCTCCTTAGGTTTGATTAATTTGCTAGAGTGGCTCACAGAATTCAGGGAAACACATTTACCAGTTTATTACAAAGGATATTTTAAAGAAACATATAAACAGTCAGATGAAGAGATACATAGGGTGAGGTCTGAAAGGGTCTGGAGCCCAGGAGCTTCTGACCCCATGGAGTTGGGGTGTGCCAACCTCCCTGCACGTAGATGAATTCTTGTTCGCCTTCCTGTAGGCCTCCATGTGTTTAGCTATCCAGAAGCTCTCCAAACCCTGTACTTTTGGTTTCTTATGGAGATTTCATTATGTAGGCATGTTTGATTAAACCATTGGCTGGCCATGGTTCATGCCTGTAATCCTAGCACTTTGGGAGGCTGAGGTAGATGGATCACTTGAGCCCAGCCTGAGCAACTTGGTGACACCTTGTCTCTACAAAAATTAGTTAGGTGTGGTAGTGTGTGCTTGTAGTCCCAGCTACTTGGGAGGCTGAGGAGGGAGGATGGTTTGAGCCGTGGAGGTCAAGGCTGCGGTGAGCCGTGATTGCACCACTGCATTCCAGCCTAGGTGACAGAGTGAGACCTTGTCTCAAAAAATAAATAAAATAAAATAAAAACCACTGGCCATTGGTAATCAACTTAACCTTCAGCCCCTCTTCTCTCCCTGGAAGTCAGGGCTAGGGCTGAAAGCCCAGCTCGCTAATCATGCCTTGGTCTCCCTGGTGACCAACCCTCATTCTGAAGCTACCTAGGGGAGGCCAGCCGTCAGTCACCTCAACATACAAACAGACATCACTTTGGAGATTCTAAGGATTTTAGGAGTTGTATGTCAGGAAACAGGGTTGAAGACCAAATATATATTTTAGAACAGTGGTCCCCAACCTTTTTGGCACCAGGAACCAGTTTCATGGAAGACAATTTTTTCACAGATCTGGGGGCAGTGATGGTTTCGAGATGATCCAAGTGCATAACATTTATTGTGTATTTTATTTGTTATTATTACATCGTAATATATAATGAAATAATTCTGTAACTCACCATAATGTAGAATCAGTGGGAGCCTTAAGCTTGTTTTCCTGCAACTAGATGGTCCTGTCTGGGAGTGATGGGAGACAGTGACAGATCATGAGGCATTAGATTATCATAAGGAGCCACAACCTAGATCCCTTGCATGCGCAGTTCACAATAGGGTTTGTGCTCCTATGAGAATCTAATGCTGCCACTGATCTGACAGGAGGCAGAGTTCAGGTGGTAATGCAGACCATGGGCAGCAGCTGTAAATACAGTTGAAGTTTCCCTTGCTCACCTGCCACTCACCTCCTGCTGTGCAGCCTGGTTTCTAACCAGTACTCGTCCATGGCCTGGGTGTTGGGGACCCTTTTTACAATATCACAAGGTTAGTTTATTAGAGAATAAAAGGGAATGACTTAAAATTTTTCCATGTATGTATTGATTTATAGATTATTTTTCTGTACGGTTTGTAAAATACATGTTTTTTTCTTTTTTTGAGACAGTCTTACTCTGGCATCTAGGCTGGAGTGCAATGGCGCAATCTCAGCTCACTGTAACCTCCGCCTCCCGGGTTCAAGCAATTCTTGTGCCTCAGCCTCCCAAGTAGTTGGGATTACAGGCCTGCACTACCACTCCTGGCCAATTTTTGTGTTTTTTTTTTGGTAGAGATGGCATTTCACCATGTTGACTAGGTTGGTGTCAAACTCCTGACCTCAGGTGATCCACCCACCTTGGCTTCCCAAAGTGCTGGGATTACAGGTGTGAGCCACTATACCCGCTATACCCGGCCTGTAAAATATTTTTAATATCACTGCTGAAGGTACCCCAGTCTTTGTTTTTTTTTTTTTTTTTTTTTTTGAGATAGAGTCTCGCTCTGTCGCCCAGGCTGGAGTGCAGTGGTGCGATCTTGGCTCACTGCAAGCTCCACCTCACTGCAAGTTCACGCCATTCTCCTGCCTCAGCCTCCCGAGTACCTGGGACTACAGGCACCCACCACCGCGCCCAGCTAATTTTTTGTATTTTTAGATAGAGACGGGGTTTCACCGTGCTAGCCAAGATGGTCTCAATCTCCTGACCTCGTGATCCACCCGCCTCTACCTCCCAAAGTGCTGGGATTACAGGCGTGAGCCACCATGCCCGGCCTGTACCCAAGTCTTTTAAGAGAGTACTGTTTAAATAGTTTTTACTAAATTCTGTCTGAGAGGCTCCTGCAAGACCACTTAGGGAGTGAGAAGAACAGAGAGAGATGTGAATAATGGAGCAAGTAGAATAAGCTAATAAGGTAGCAATGGAGGCTTATTATTCGGAGTGCTATGAAAATATCTGGAGAAGAGTAATTTTAGGACTTTAGCTTATAAATTTAGTTCAATTCACTTGTATCCTTGGTACGTTGTTAGGCATTTTGTTTATTTATTTATTTTTAAGACGGGCTATCACTATGTTGGCCAGGTTGGTCTTGAACTCTTGGCCTCAAGCAGTCCTACTGCCTCAGCCTCCCAAAGTGCTAGGATTACAGGCGTGAGCCACCAAGCCTGGTCAGTTGTTAGGCATTTTAATTCCTCTACCTGGTGTCTCTGGCTCTCATTCTGCAGAGAGAGGTTAGTAGTGTTTTCTCTGCTTTCTTCTTTTCTCCTCTGGTAAGAAGCCCAAGAAATTAGCTACCCCTGTTTTTTTTCTTTTTCTTTTTTTTTCATTATTTCTTCTTAAAAAAACAAAAAAACGATTACATGTGCAGAATGTGCAGGTTTGTTACATAGGTATATGCGTGCCATGGCCTATTGACCCATCCTCCGAGTTCCCTCCCCTCACCCCCCAACCCCCCAACAGGCCCTAGTGTGTGTTGTTCCCCTCTCTGTGTGCATGTGTTCTCAATGTTCAGCTCCCACTTATGAGTGAGAGCATGCAGTGTTTGGTTGTCTGTTCTTGTGTTAGTTTGCTGAGGATGATGGCTTCCAGCTTCATCCATGTCGCTGCAAAGGACATGATCTCATTCCTTTTTCTGGCTGCATAGTATTTCATGGTGTATATGTACCACATTTTCTTGATCCAGTCTATCATTGATGGGCATTTGGGTTGGTTCCATGTCTTAGCTATTGTGAATAGTGCTGCAGTGAACATACATGTGCATGTGTCTTTATAGTAGTAGCTACCCCTATTTTAGCTTGATTCCGTCAGCTGTCAGATTGATACCCCACAGATTAATGTGGTGTCTGCTAAAGTCAGTAGGGTCTTGGGATATTCTTTGTCTCGGGTTATAGCCATAGAACTTGAAAGAGTCTCAGGCTGGGCACGGTGGCTCCCGCCTGTAATCCTAGCACTTTGGGAGGCTGAGGTGGGCGGACCGCCTGACGTTGGGAGTTTGAGACCAGCCTGGCCAACATGGTAAAACCCCATCTCTACTAAAAATATAAAAATCAGCCAGGCATGGTGGCAGGCATCTGTAATCCGAGCTACTTAGGAGGCTGAGGCATGAGAATCACTTGAACCCAGGAGGCAGAGGTTGCAGTGAGCCGAGATCATGCCACTGCACTCCAGCCACTGTGACAGAGTGAGACTCTATCTCAAAAACAAAAACAAAACAAAACCCCCGAAAGACAAAAGGAGGAGCCGGTTTCATTTACCTGAAACTAGCAGTTTACCTAGGTTCAGTTTTCTAGGAACTTTATAGCTTAGTATAATAAGACTTAAGCAATAGCATTCAGTTGGTATACAGTCAAGATTTGTTGAATGAATGAATGAAAAGGGTAGGTCTGACAGTTTCTTCTAAACCTTTTGGTTTGTGTGATGAGCCTGGAGTTCCAGAGGGGTACAGTCCAAGCCTTGGGCCTGTGGTTGACCAAACCCTCCCTTAACTAAAAAAGTCCTAATTTAAGTACTTTTAAGGCAGCGAGGATATGACAAAGTGAGACTTAGAATCTGGATTTAGTTAAGACATTGCATTTTAGGCCATTTAGAAACCTCTATACACTAGGGATTCTAAGGGCTGAGATCATAGTTAATTGAATGTTGAATTTGTGAATTTAAATTGAAAATAGGAAATATAAAAGCTAATCCTCTCAAATGAAGAGTATCAATTTATCCACCTAACATAGGCTATTAAAGTGGACATTTAATGGCTTAATCAAGAATCCAAGCATACCTAGTTATAGAATATATGAAATGAACATTGCCGTGAAAGCTGTAAATTGCATATCTTGACAAATATTTGGAAAACGTAGGCCACAGAGTTTTTTTTAAGCAGCTTTAAATTATACAATTTAGTGTTTTTAAAATATATTCACAGAGTTGTGCAACTATTACCACAAACTAATTTTAGACCATTTTCAATCGACCCTTGCATAAAGAAATCCTGTACCCAGTAGTAGTTACTCTTCTGTATTTCTTCCTCTGTCCTCTCCCTCAGGCCTAGATAACCCATGTCTACAAAAATTAAAAAATCTACTTTTTGTCTCTATGTATTTGCCTATTCTGGACATTTTATATAAATGAAATAATAGAATATGTGGATTTTTACTACTGACTTATTTAATTTAGCATACTATTTTCCATATTCATCCATGTTGTAGCCATTCCTTTTTATGGTTAATATTTCATTGTCTAGAATACAACATCGTTGTATTTATTCATTCACTAATTGATAGACATTTGGGTTGTTTAGACTTTTTGGGTATTAGGAATGCCACCATTACTGTTTGTATACCAGTTTTTGTGTGGACATATATTTTGTTTTATTTTTATTTTTTCTAGAGACAGGGTCTTACTCTGTTATCTGGGCTGGGGTGCAGTGGTGCAATCATAGCTTCAAACTCTGGAGCTCAGGCGATCCTCCTGTTTCAGCCTTCTGAGTAGCTGGGACTATAGGTGCATGCCACTGCACCCAGCTATTTTTAAATTTTTATTTATTTTTATTTTATATTAATTTAATTTAATTTTATTTTTTGAGATGGTGTCTCGCTTTGTTGCCCAGGCTGGAGTGCAGTGGCGCCATCTTGGCTCACTGCAACTTCGACCTCCCGGGTTCAAGCAATTCTCTGCCTCAGCCTCCTGAGTAGCTGGGATTACAGGCGCCTGCCACCACGCCCAGCTAATTTTTTGTATTTTTAGTAGAGACGATGTTTCACCATGTTGGCCAGGCTGGTCTTGAACTCCTGACCTCATGATCCACACACCTTGGCCTCCCAAAGTGCTGGGATTACAAGGCATGAGCTACTGCGCCTGGCCTAATTTTTTTAGTTTTTAATTTTTGTAGACATGGGATTCTGCTTTGTTCCCCAGGCTGGTCTGAAATTTCTGGCTTCAAGTGATCCTCCTGCCTTGGCCTCCCAAAGTGTTGGGATTACAGATGTGAGCCACTGCACCTAGCCTGTTTGTGTTTTTCTTTTGTATACACCTAGTAGTGGAATTGCTGGGTTATGTGGTAGCTCTGTATCTAACATTTTGAGAAACTCCAGACTTTTCCAAAGTGGTTGTACTATTTTTATTTTTATCAATATTCTTTGAGGGTTCTAATTTCTCTACTATTAACTTCCCTCTGTGATGTGAGAGCCAGAGACACTAGCTAGAGGAATTGATGTGTATTTATAATTCACCATATGAATTTTGGGGGACAGATGTCAATCTGGAACATGTGTGTAATGATTTACTTGCTCTTCTCCTGGCATCAAATGTTCTTTCCATAGTTGTTTCCAGTTTTCTTTTATTATGAATGCTGTTTCTTTGTAAGCATGAAATCTATGTTCATTTGATATGCAAAAGTAGAATCATGTTTTAATATGCCTTTTAAAAATGAAGTTGAACATTATAGAAAAATGTTGACTTTCCCTGTTCCCCTTTTTTGGGAGATGGAGGAATTTGTTGACTGTTTCCTTGGCCTATCTTTGTTGTTAGAGGTTGTCTTAGTCTGTTTGCTGTTGCTATAACTGAATACCTGAGACTGAAAAATTTATAGAGAAAAGAAATTTATTTAGGTTCACAGTTCTGAAGACTAGGAAGTCCAAGTTCTAGGGGCTACATCTGGGTGAGGATCTTCTTGCTGATGGGGACACTCTGTAGAGTCCCAAGGTGGTGCAAGGTATTGTATGGTGAGGGGGCTCAGGAGAGAAAGCCAGACTGGCTTATATAACAGACTTACTCTCATGATAACTAACCCACTCTCATGATAACCCATTAATCCATTAACCCATGAGTGGATTAATCTATTCCTGAGGGCAGAGCCCTCATGACCCAGTCACCTCTTAAAGGCCCTGCCTTTTAATAATATTACATTTGCAATTACGTTTCAACATGAGTTAGAGAGAGGGCAAACATTCAGACTATAGCAAAGGACACTGTTTTTATCATCTATGTATATAAACTTCTATATATTAAACATAGTAACTCTATTATATCATTTGTTGCAAATGTAATTTCCCATGTAGTTTGCCATTTAATTTTAATCATTGAATTTTTTTTTATTAAATTATTTGTATTTTTAGGAAGTAAGTTTCATCAGTATTTACCTTTATAATTTCGTCTGGCTTTTTAACCTTTCAAAATCCTATCTCAGTCAGAGATGAAAAAAATGTTTTTGGTAGGTTTATAATTTTTAAAAATATCATTTATCTTAACCTCAAGCTACTAACTGCTTATTTGGAAATACTCTCAGAAACATATATGTCATTGAGATGTGAATAACCCTGAATATTCCAATGATCTAGCAGAATGCTGTCCAGTAGAAACTTTTGTGATAATAGAAAAGTTCTATATTTTTTTGTGTTCACTATAGTAGCCATTAGCCACATGTAGCTATTGAGCACTTGAAAGGTGGTTAGCACAACTGACAAACTGCATTTTTAATTTAACTTTTAATATAAATAGAATTTAAATTTTACAGTTTGCAGCAAAAAAAAGAAAAGAAAGGAAAAGAAAGAAAAAGAAACAGAACTTCTGGCTGAGCATGGTGGCTCGTGCCTGTAATCCCAGAACTTGGGGAGGTCAAGGCAGGTGGATCACTTGAGGCCAGGAGTTCTAGACCAACCTGGCCAACATGGTGAAACCCATCTGTACTAAAAGTACAAAAAAAAATTAGCCGGCTATGGTGGTGCATGCCTACAGGGTGGCTGGGAGTATAGGCTTGTGCCACCATGCCCAGCTAATTTTTTAATAGATTTTATTTATAAGTAAGACTGGTATCTTAAATTATATATTTAATTAAAAATTTAATTTAAAT
This sequence comes from Homo sapiens, assembly GCF_000001405.40. Taxonomy (NCBI): domain Eukaryota; kingdom Metazoa; phylum Chordata; class Mammalia; order Primates; family Hominidae; genus Homo; species Homo sapiens. Next base: position 101,976,671 of record NC_000010.11, on the reverse strand, counting down.
AAAAACCACATTCAGATAGATACAGAGAGTTAAGGTCTTTACTTTTGTGTTTTTGCATTCCATGTCACTATACCACTTTGAGTAGAATAGTTTAATTGTGACCCACTGGTTTATCCTTTTCCCCTGGAAAGGTACTCAAGGGAAAGACGTCAGTGGCGCCTAATTGATTATTGACTTATAAGTAGTTATAGCACCCTTTTCCCATTGATAAGGGGAATGGGTAGCACAAGCAGTATGTGATTGCGTGTGTGTGTGTGTGAGAGAGAGAGAGAGAGAGAGAGAGAGAGATTGATTAATCTACTAGAAGAAGGCAGAAGTTCTTTTTTTTTTTTTTGAGACAGTCTTGCCCTTTCGCTCAGGCTGGAGTACAGTGGCCCGATCTTGGTTCACTGCAACCTTTGCTTCCTAGGTTCAAGCGATTCTCCTGCCTCAGCCTCCTGAGTAGCTGGGTCTACAGGCATATGCCACTGCACCTGGCTTTTTTTTTTTTTTTTTTTTTTTTTGAGACAGAGTCTCACTCTGTCACCCAGGCTGGAGCGCAATGGCGTGATCTTGGCTCACCGCAAGCTCCACCTCCTGGGTTCATGCCATTCTCCTGCCTCAGCCACCCCCCTGCCCTCCCCGAATAGCTGGGACTACAGGCGCCCGCCACCACACCCCGCTAATTTTTTGTATATTTTTAGTAGAGGCAGGGTTTCACCTTGTTAGCCAGGATGGTCTTGATCTCCTGACCTCGTGATCTGCCCGCCTCGGCCTCCTAAAGTGCTGGGATTACAGGCGTGAGCCACCGTGCCCAGCCTATTTTTTTTTTTGAGATGTAATCTCGCTCTGTTGCCCAGGCTGGAGTGCAGTGGCACGATCTCGACTCACTGCAACATCTGCCTCCTGGGTTCAAGTGATTCTTCTGCCTCAACCGAGTAGCTGGGACTACAGGTACATGTCACCACACCCAGCTAATTTTTGTATTTTTAGTAGAGATGGGGTTTCACCATATTGGCCAAGCTTGTCTCAAACTCCTGACCTTGTGATCTGCCTGCCTCGGCCTCCCAAAGTGCTGGGATTACAGGCGTGCACCACCACGCCAGGCTTTTTTTTGTACTTTTAGTAGAGATGGGGTTTTGCCATGTTGGCCAGGCTGGTCTTGAACTCCTAGCCTCAAATGATCTACCTGCCTTGGCCTCCTAAAGTGCTAGGATTACAGGTGTGAGCCACCATGCCCGGCCAGAAGTTTTGTATATTTTTTTGCATGTATACATATTCATATCCAGTGTCTTTAGTGGCCTTAGCAAAGCTGGCTCACTAAGAAGGGATCTCTGGTGAGTTGCACTATATTCTCAGGCTTACCCTCATTTTTTGCTTTCCCTGTTACAGACGCTGCATCCAGGTAGTACACAAACTGCTCTGCTACCAGAAGAAGTGTCGGGTACGCCTGCATTACACCTGGCGGGAGCTCTGGTCAGGTAACTTTCTCTCTTGAATTCATCTTCCTTTTTCTATACCTTTTTTGAGCCCCTAGGCCTGGGCTCAAGGTGGATTTTTTGTTTTTTAACCTTTTGGTTTGTTTAGGTTGCCTTTATTTTCAGTTACTCTTTTTGTCTTTTTTTTTTTTTTTTTTTTTTTTTACGTTTTAGCTTTTTTCGAATCCAGACCTGGGTGTGTCACATGTCTATTCTTTACTTTGTCCCTTGTTCCTTCCCCTTCCTATATTTTTTGTCAACTGGTAAAAACAATTGAGTATTTCTTGTGTTCCAATAAATCTTCCTTTGAGTAAGAATGAGGTAGGAGGAGTCGGTACAAACTTGGGTTCTCACTCGGTTTCATTTGATAGCCGCATATGGACTGTAGGGAGGCTTCTGTGTGTTTCTTCAGGAATGTCATAGGGAGAGATGGAGGGATGGGGACGGGGTGGGGAGATGCGGGAATCCTGTTCTTTGTGTTACATCTGGCATTATTACTGTTTACAGACAGTGTCACTTGTACCACTCCCCCTGTGCCAGAGACAAAACAGCAAATTACAGTGTTTACTTTTGTCTTTCTAACCATTTGGTAGCCCAGTAAAGTCACTGCTACCCCTGCAGGGGGGAAGTGCCTCTTCTCTAAGGGTACAATTAATGCTGGCTTGCCACCCCTTTCTTTTGTGTGACTAAGTTGGAGGTTTCAGGAAAGCAGAGGAGACATGTTCCCTGAGGCAGTTGCTTGCTACTAGGTCCTGTGGCTTTTGAGACCTGATGGTACAATAAAATCTTCTCCAGATGATTACAGTGATGAAGGGTTGCCCACCCATGGGAGAGCTGCTCTGTATTTTCAGCAGAATAGGGTGTGTTAGTGTCAGAGCCTTTATAAGAAACAGGCCAGTAACCCAGCCCCCTTCCATGGAATTCATCTCATTCGTTGTGACACATGATTTCCTCCCAACCCAGTTTGGCTTTCTAAATTTAGTCCTCCATAATGGGAAGTAGAGATCTTTAGTTAATGGATTAGCAAGTTTTTGCAGTTACTGCCTATGGTGGTAAAGGGGGAGTAGGAGAATAACATTAAGTGGCAATAGTGGCATTTTGATATTTTAGGAGAGGAGAGTATGATTGTGTGAGAGGTTGAGATTGAAAGAATGTCAGGAGAGTTAAAGAGAGATCAAAAGAGATGGAAATGACCAACAGTAGAATTTCTTAGGTAGCAACACCTCCTTTTAATATAAAGGACTATTATTGCTGCCTATGGATAGTTGTATGATTGTTAGGCTCTAAAAGCATAGGATTAAAGAGAAAACACAATAATGATGCAGATCTTCAGATGTTGGTATAGTTGTTGGATTTATAATAAGTACACATGGTTTATGTCTATAACTTGAATGAAATTACACATTGTAGTACTAAACAAGGTGGTAGTAGTAGTTGTTTCCGCCTGCATCTTCTGATTCCCTTCTGGTTTTACTTTCTCTTTCATTCTATTTTCTTTCCTTTTTGTCCTAGCTATTCTATCTCTGGCCTCTGTGATCTCTGTGGCTTTTCTCTCATTCTCGTGATCTGTTGTCCTCTTCCTCATTATCCTGTTCCATTGTCTTGTCCACATTGCCTTCTATTCTTCGTTCTGGTCTGTCTCCTGAGACTCAGGGCTTCCTGTTATTCTCCTCCTATCCCCATTTTGTATCCTCTGCTCTCTTGATGAATCGACACTTTTATTGGTATGAAGTGTTCTTTGTGTTATTATAGTCATGCATTTTACTTTTTACATGTGTCATAAACTCTAGAATACATTGCCCTCATTTTTGCTTAAACAAGCGATTATCTTTTTTCTTTTTTTTTTTTTTTTTTTGAGACGGAGTCTCGCTCTGTCGCCCAGCCTGGAGCAGTGGCATGATCTCGGTTCACTGCAAGCTCCGCCTCCCGGGTTCACACCATTCTCCTGCCTCACCCTCCTGAGTAGCTGGGACTACAGGCACCCACCACCAGGCCTGGCTAATTTTTTTTGGATTTTTAGTAGAGACGGAGTTTCACCGTGTTAGGCAGGATGGTCTCGAACTCCTGACCTTGTGATCCGCCCACCTCGGCCTCCCAAAGTGCTAGGATTACAGACGTGAGTCACCATGCCTGGCTGCGATTATCTTTGAAAGAGATTTAAAAATGTCTTTTATATTTATCTTTTCTGACTCAGCATTTTTTTCTTCTCACTAGGAAATGGTGAAGAAGAAGGCCATTCTTTATTCTGTGTTGGTCAGTTGACGTTATGTCTTTCAGAACTTTCAGCTCTATTTATAATTATGTCCTATTCTCAGGACTGATTGCATGACAGTCTAAGGCCCTTGATGAGCTGAGGGGAAGTATATATGAGTGTCCTTAGGCATGGACCATTGCTTGTCGCGAAGGCATCTAGACATTTGTACTGGAGTTCTCTGCTAAGTTGACGTTAGCTCCTTTTCCTGTATAGGCTGGGTGAGCCCTCCTGGAACCCTGGCTCCGTGTATTCATATGTGGAACATACAGTGAGATGCAGAGCAGCAGGTGTTAAGGAAAGCTGCAAAACACAACGTTGCATCCTATGCAGTCACATGTATAATATTGCATTCTGTGAATACAAGTGTGTCTATGGCAGATCCACCTACCTCTTAGCAGGCACTACCCCTCGTATGTTGGATTGCTCATGTTTTCACTCTTTCTTTGCCTTCTAGACTTATGGATTTGAGGGAGCTGTGTGAAACTCATCATGGCAAATATGCTTATGTGTATATATCCTTTGCCATACATGTGCTGCAAACTGTAATGAAATGTTATTTATAAGACTGGTAAGGCATGTGTTATTAGACTGGACACACAAAAGCCCTTGATTATCTAGGAAGCAATCCTCTAGGGTCCAGATGTAGTTTGGAATGTGGGTGTTTAGTATCACTGTACTTCATTACTGATTTTTATTTCTATGCTGTTTGACTGTATTAGCTCTTTGTTATTATTGGGGAGGTAGCCAGAGGTCTCCAGATTCCCATAATGAATTTACAGGTGTGATCTTATGGACAAGGAGGAGTCAGCTGTATTAGTTGGGGGTTCAATCTTGCCTGATAAGCTTTTCCTAGTTGGTTTTACAGATACGAGCCCTGATCTACTCCCTGCTGCCACTGTCTGTTTCTATGATGCATGTCACCATGATATCTGAGTATGTATGAAAATATATTTAGGCTAATTTTAACTAGAATATGGAAAGGAAAAAGTTCTATTGCTCTGCATTGCTCTGTTTTCAGCAATCACTGTTTTTCACCACATATAGAAAGTTTGAAAGCTCTTCTCTGATGTCTAGGCAACCCAGATCTCCCAGTCTGAGTAAAAGATTAGATCTTAAAACTCTCCACTGATAGAGGTAGAAAACTGGGTTTTGGGATAAGATCATACTGAAATAGTTCTTTACTTTTGAGAATAGAATGAAAGCTACAGTCATCTTTGTATTCAGAAAAAATGTCCATTTGCACATATATATTTTGCATATAGTTTCACAGAGTTTCTGGATCCTCTGAAGCCCCTTGTGTCAAAAACCTCTGTCTTAATTTTAAGTTCCACAGCCTCCCAATTAATCCTGTTCTCACAGAAATCTTAGTATCTAGGTAAATTATTTTATTTTATTTTATTTTATTTTTTTGAGAAAGAGTCTCACTCTGTTGCCTAAGCTGGAGAGCAGTGGTGTGATTGCGGGTTCAAACAATCCTCCCACCTCAGCTCCTGCCCCAAGTAGCTGGGACTTAAAGGCACACACCATTATGCCTGGCTAACTTTTGTAAAGATGGAGTTTTACCATGTTGGCCAAGCTGGCCTCAAATTTCTGACCTTAGGTGATCTGCCCTCCTCTGTCTCCCAAAGTGCTGGGATTACAGGTGTGAGCCACTGCGCCCGGCCAGTATTTTTTCTTTATTTACTAGTCACACTGCGCTCCTACTGGGAACTTTAGGTTAGCAATCTCCTTTGCACTTCTTGAGGCTATAGACCATTTTGTTCACTATGTCTTATTTTTGGAGTGTTTTCTATAGCATATTGGGCCCCTATTTTAGTGTATCACATTGTTTTGCTATGTTTGCTTTTTTTTTTTTTTTTTTTTTTGGAGACGGTCTCACTCTGTTGCCCAGGCTGGAGTGCAGTGCCACAGTCTCAGCTCACTGCAACCTCTGTCTCCTGGGCTCAAGTGATCCTCCCAACTCAGCCTCCTGAGCAGGTGGGACCATAGATGCAAGCCACCATGCCCCAGCTAATTTCATATGTTTTTACAATGATTTGTTTAAATATCTATATTTCCTCTCAAAAAAGTTCCTGGAGGGCAGGGCCTGTTTTTTAATCATTGTTACATCTCCAGCAGACTGCTTGGCTATTTATTTATTTTTTGAGACAGGGTCTTGCCCAGGCTGGAGTGCAGCGGCACAATCATGGCTCATTGTAGTCGCGACCTCCTGGGCCCAATGGATCCTCCCACCTCAGCCGCCCAAGTAGCTGGGACTACAGATGCGTACTACCATGCCTGGCTTATTTTTGTATTTTTTTTTTTAGAGATGGGGTTTCATCATGTTGCCCAGGCTGGTCTTGAAGTCCTGGACTCAAGTGATCTGCCTGCTTTGGCCTCCCAAATTGTTGGGATTATAGGCATGTGCCACAGCACCCGGCCTACTTAGCTTTTTAATAGGAACTCAGATAACATTTGGATGAACAAATAAATGGATGAATGGATATGTAAGATTTTCATTAATGATGGATCAACATTCTCCAAAAGCAGCACAATGTTGTGTTTGAGCCGAATAATAATAATAATAGAACCCAGTAGGATGTTGTTAATGTTTCTGTTGAGCTGACATCATCACCTTTGATAGGGCCAGCCATCCACCTTAGTTTATTTGATTTGTTGATGTGAGAGAGAGTAGTTAGTAATTTCTTTTGTTTTTCTCATTCTTCCTTACCCACAGGTGCATGGATTGCTTTTAACCAAGTAAAAATGGAAACTTTGATGGTTTCTAAGCCATTAAGCAAAGATTGAGCAGGATGTGCAGAGAGAAGTGTGTAGTTGTTGGAGAGAGAAATACTTGAACAGAGCTTCATGGAGTCAGCTTATTTTACTTCCACTGCAGGAAGAAGGGGCATTGGAGAGGCAGGCTGCATTTAAATAGTATGACTTTCCATCGTCTGAAAACATGGGTTGTTTTAAAGGCAGATTTATACTGACATTTTATATTCAACATTTATCTATGGATCACAGTTGTTACCCTCTCACTCTGCCACATCCCGGTGATAAGTCGTTATTTTTATCCCCATTTGTTGGGGAAGGGAGTAGAGATATAGAAGGGTTAAGTGACTTGCTAAGGATCATGGAACCAGACGCTAAACAGAGTCATGATTAGAACTTAGAGTTCCTGACTCCTATGCTCAGACACAGATCACTAAGCAACATTTGCTTGCCTGCAGGAAGAAAGGCCCCCTAAGCCCCCAGAACAATCTGTTCAGCTTCACTGTGCTAAGTAACATCCAAAGCATTCACAGCTTTGTGAAAAAGAAATTGTACATGGCCTGACCTTTTAGATATCTACTGGGAAAAATGGAAAACCCAGGGAGTATCACAGCGTTCTGGATCCAGCTGGCTCTCCTATTACTGGCAGAGGCCTATGACTTCTTGGTTAGGTACATCTCAAGACTGGCAATTGAGAGCCTTTCGTTGGAAGCTTGTTTTACTTTTAAGTGTTGCCATACAGGACTGAAATTTTTCAAGAGAAAGGCTGACTCAAGCCATAGATTTATCTGGCAGTTCTTGTGTAGATGTAGCTTTGATAGTTCAGCAGCCCCTCTTGATTTTGAGAAACTATGCTTTGAACTTTTCATTGTGTGCTTCTTTTAGTTTAGTTTCTTTTTTAAACTTTTAATTTTGATGTAATTATAGACTTACAGGAAGTTGCAAAAATAGTATATAGAGTTTCATGTACCCTTCACCCAGCTTCCTCCAGTGATGACATCTTATATAACTCTACAACATTGCTTCTTTTAGTTTTGAAGAGAGTATCCAGGCGGGAAAGAACATAGCAGTAAAAACTAGAGTAGATGGGAAGGGGAATTTTGGCAGCTGCTATTTCTATCTTGTTTTTAAAATTGCTCTTCCTCATTCTGCTAAATTTTCTCTGATTTAGGCAAATATGTCACAAGATATATTCTAGGCTGATGTGCCTAATTAAGACTGCTTTAGCTTCCATATGCAAAAATAGAGAGCCTCTTTTCCTCTATGGGTGATCAATTCCTCTCAAAATTAGAATGTTCTAATTCAGGGGCATTAGAAGGTATCTTTCTGGTTCTATAATGTAGTTATGAAATATTGTCTACAGCAGTATAGAAAGCCCAAGGACTAAAAAGGAATGCCAGGAAGCTTTTTTCCCTTTCAAATCACTACATTTGGCTGAATCCAAAATTTACACTATTTTGAATCTTTCTCTCATCCCCTCAGAAACTTGGCAGAAGCAAAAGATAAGAATCTCTAACAGGTTTAGCCTGTTACAGGGAGAAAAAGATTCCCACGTAAAAGCCCCCAAAAGAGCAAGAAATCACTTTGTTCTTTTCTCTGTGCATGCAGTCACTTCCTATCCAGAAAAATGTCAACTCTCATAGGCCCATGAGCATTTTGTCAAGTAAAAGGGACCAGGGAAGGATTAGCTGTGCTTTTGGTTACTCTGCCTATATTAGTTTCAAAGGGACATGTCATGTGGTTTCATAAGGTATCATCCTTCTCTGGATCTCGAGGGAGCAAGACAAGTCTGTTATTGGTCCTACCTCATTTTGGCAAAAAGTAAAGTTATTGGTTCTGTGTCAGATGGCTCCACTGAGACATGGTCTCATTGACTTTTAGATTTCTTAAAGGGTGATTTTGGCTATCACTCCTTTAGGAAACGGTGGGGGGAAAGGAGCAGGTGGTATAGGGCCCTAGAAGAAGGCAGTGGCTCCTGAGCATGCTTGGTTAGAGGCAGCTGCACAGGGACCCTACATTTCCCAAAGTCTAGGATCTGGGAACTTTCATGTGGAAACTCATTTTCATGAAAAAGAAGAGGCTGGGTGCTAATTGTGAGGTTTGCATTGTCTGCAAGAAAATGGGGAATGGAAGATGGTTGAGAACCTTATTTATTTTTTTTTTTTAGCAGATACACATTGACTGCAAGGAAAATGGTAAGGATGGAAGCAGATTTCCGTTTAAAGAAAGGATTTGTTCTATTTCTGACTCATTTAGAGGAATGTGGAGCCTTTAGTCAGTGCAGGCTGTTGACATACTGACTTGTGTGCTGTGTTCACCTGGAGAGGCTGATAGCATACAGCCAGAGCCATTTCATTTTCTTGTTTGATTCTTTGGCCTCTGTGTCAGTGAAGTGCTTAGGCTTGCATCCAGACAGATGCCTGTATTCTGAAAAGCCACCTAGAGTTGTTCCCCGCCCCCTGCTCCCCCCACGACTGAGTCTTGCTCTGTAGCCCAGGCTGGAGTGCCGTGGCGCGATCCCAGCTCACCGTAACCTCTGCCTCCCTGGTTCAAGCAATTCTCCTGCCTCAGCCTCCCGAGTAGCTGGGAATACAGGCGCACACCACCATGCCTGGCTAATTTTTGTATTTTTAGTAGAGACGGGCTTTTACCATGTTGGCCGGGCTGGTCTTGAACTCCTGACCTTGTGATCCACCTACCTTGGCCTCCCAAAGTGTTAGGATTACAGGCTTGAGCCACCGCATCTGGCTGAGTATTTTTAAATTATTCTACTGGCAGGTGTTGGCTTCAGATTCTCTCCTGCACCACTCTGCTGATTGACAGTGAGCCTGCTGATTGCTGGCAATGTCCCTGGGTAATTGGTGATTTTGTCCAGAGATGCTGGAATTGGCTAGAGTTTATAGTGCTTCCAGGGTTTTGGTGGCATGAGCTTGTTACACTAGTGCTATTTTCATCGTGTCCTTTGAGTTTCTTGACTTCTCTCCTAAGCAACTGAGATGGTAATATTATTCTTTTATTAGTCACTGTGAAATTATCCATCTCTCCTAATGAACAGGTTTTGATTTGGGTTCTGTGGTACCTAAACCTAGCTCCATGCCAGGTCACAAAATCAAGTCTGGGTGAGTGTTGTCTTTGCTGTTTGTCTTCATAGCATGTAAAAGCTGCTCAAATAGACAGCTTTCTCTGACCTGATTCTTTGGAGATATTAGTTTGTGCTCTCCTGGAGGCTGTCTCTTTCCTGTTTTTAATCTTATTTAAATGTCATTCACTTGGTTTTATAATTAAGCCTCCCCTCTCCTTTTTTGAGGCAGAGGCCTGAGCTACCACTTAATTGTGTCTTCCTGTGGTTGGCTTGTTCCTCTCTGCACCTGGTTTACCTTAATGTGGGGGACAGGTTTTAGTCCTGGAGAAGTTCTCATATCCATTATTCATTCTACTGCTACATGGCAACACAATTTGCTGCTACCTTTTTTCCCTCCTCCTGAATTCAAAGCAGGATAGAAAAAATTCTGGGAAAGTTCTCATTGTGTATTAATGCTAGGAACAGCTCTGCAAAAAAGGTTCCTTGTGGGGTGTGTGTTGGGGGCACTGTGTAAGATGGCAGGATTCTCAGATGGATCGTATTCAACTCTTCCTATTTGAAAATTAGGGTGGGCTGGGCGCAGGGGCTCACACGTATAATCCCAGCACTTTGGCCGATCACCTGAAGTCAGGAGTTCGAGACCAGCCTGGTGGAGCCCTGTCTCTACTAAAAATACAAAAATTAGCCAGGCGTGGTGGCGGGCGCCTGTAATCCCAGCTACTTGGGAGGCTGAGGCAGAAGAATTGCTTGAACCCGGGAGGCAGAGGTTGCAGTGAGCCAAGATCACACCATTGCACTCCAGCCTGTCTCAAAAAAAAAAAAAAAAAAAAAAAAAAAAACCCAAACCAAAAATTAGCCAGGTGTGGTGGTGCATGCCTGTAATCCCAGCTACTCAGGAAGCTAAGGCACAAGAATCGCTTGAACCCGGGAGGTGGAGGTTGCAGTGAGCCGGGATTGCACCACTGCACCACTCCAGCCTGGGTGACAGAGTGAGACTCTGTCTAAAAAAAAAAAAAAAAAAAGAAAAGAAAAAGAAAAAAAAATTAGATTGTCTGCTTCTATCTCTAGGAATTCACGTGGGACTTAGGGAACCATCAGAGTGCCTGGTCCTGGCTCAGCTTCCCGAACCTGTACACTCTTCTATATTCTATCTGCATGTGCATACAGAAAAGTCAGAACTCTACACACTGTTGTCATACTCTTTCAGCAGATATGATGCACAGGACTCCCCAAGGAAGGGAACATGGGCTGAAGCTGAGTGTGAGACTGATAGTTGCCTCTAGTACAGAGTCAAAAGAGAGCAGTTGTAGCCAATTTGGAGTTCCTGAAAAACAGCCCAGAAAATAAGTTTTCAAGGGGCCTGGTATGAAAGACTTGCCAATGAAGAAATGAGTGTGTATTGAGCACTCACTTCCCTACAACTTAAACGTATTTAATGTGTAATATAATACCTCAAATATTTTACTGCAGTAATTTCTCAGTTCTTCACTTGGTGCAGAGTTAAGAGTACTTGGAACCTCATTAAGTATAACAGATGAAACAGCAAGGATTAGGAATCAAACCCAGAGTCCCTGAGGATTTTGTAGGATAGTGTTGGTATTTAGTGCATTGTTAGTTTGGATGGTGAACTTTGGTGATTATTTTGAAGATTGCCACAGTGTTGCCTTGAAGGCTGCCCGGGGTTCATTTTGAATTTGCATTCCTGCTCAAGTTCATGGGCTCTCTGTTGATTGAGTATATTTGGCTCCTTTCCTTTTACCTATCAGTGAGGAAGCATCTTTGTGTGTTTGTCCCTGTACTTAGTATGGTGTACTTTGACGTGAATGTCAGCCAGTCAGTTATGCAGAGGTTACAGAAAGTGAGACTGGAGTGTTTGTGAGGCTGTTGGGAGTGTCTGTGGAAAGAAAAACATTGACCTTTTGTTTTTCTTTTTAATTGGGGTAAAATAAACATAAAATTTATCATTGTAACTATGTTTAACCATACAGTTCAGTGGCATTAAGTATATTCACATTGTGCAACCATCACTACCTTCCATTTCCAGTACTTTTTTTTATCTTCCCAAACTGAAACTCAGTACTCATTAAACAAAAACTTTTTTTTTTCTTTTTTTGAGATGGAGTCTCACTCTGTCACCCAGGTGGGAGTGCAGTGGTGCAATCTTGGTTCACTGCAACTTCCGCCTCTGGGTTCAAGTGATTCTCCTGCCTCAGCCTCCCGAGTAGCTGGGACTATAGGTGTGTACCACCATGCCAGGCTAATTTTTTTTTTTTTTTTTTGGTAAAGACGGGGTTTCACCATGTTACAGGCTGGTCTTGAACTCCTGACCTCAGGTAATCCACCTTCCTTGGCCTCCAAAGTGCTGGGATTACAGGTGTGAGCCACCGTGTCTGGCCAGCAATAATTCTTAATTCCCCCTCATGCCAGACCCTGGCAACACTAATTCTGAATTTGATTACTCTGGGTATTTCATTTAAGTGGAATTAAACAGCATTTGTCCTTTTGTAACTGGTTTATTTCACTTAGAATAATATCTTCAAGGTTCATCTATGTTGTCAGAATTTTCTTCCTTTTTAAGGCTGAGTAATATTCTGCCATATGTATATACCATATTTTGTTTATTCGTTCATCTTTTGATGGACATTTGGGTTGCTTCCACCTTTTGGCTGTTGTGAATGATGCTGCTGTAAACATGGGTGTACAAATACTTGTTTGAGTTCCTGCAATCGCTTGTTTTTTTGAGATTGTGTGCGTTTAATTATCTTAGGCCAGTGGAGTGAAGTCCTAAGACATTTAGAGACATGTACTCTGAGCTGGCCAGGAGTGATGGCTCATGCCTGTAATCCTAGCACTTTGGGAAGCCAAGGCGGGCAGATCACTTGAGGTCAGGAGTTTGAGACCAGCCTGGCCAACGTGGCGAAACCCTGTCTTTATTAAAAATGCAAAAATTGCCGGGCGCAGTGGCTTACACCTGCAGTCCCAGCACTTTGGGAGGCCGAAGTGGGCGGATCACGAGGTCAGGAGATCGAGACTATCCTGGCTAACACGGTGAAACCCCATCTCTATTAAAAATACAAAAAATTAGCCAGGCGTGGTGGCGGGCGCCTGTAGTCCCAGCTGCTCGGGAGGCTGAGGCAGGAGAATGGCGTGAACCTGGGAGGCGGAGCTTGCAGTGAGCCGAGATCACACCACTGCAGTCCAGCCTGGGCGACAGAGCAAGACTCCGTCTCAAAAAAAAAAAAAAAAGAAAGAAAAAGAGAACCCCTACTTTAACGAAAGGGAAATGGCATAAAATAAGTAGGTCAGTAGCCTACTACCACCTTATTTTAAGTTGACCTTTTAAAACTACTACCAGGAGACAGCCAAGTGCAGTGGCCCATGCCTGTAATCCCAGCTACTCGGGAGGCTGAGGCAGGAGAATCGCTTGAACCCAAGAGACAGAGGTCGCGGAGAGCCGAGATCGTGCCGTTGCACTCCACCCTGGGCAACAAGAGCAAAACTCCATCTCAAAAACAAAAATAAATAAATAAAAAATAAAAACAAATAAGTAAATAGGCCAGGCACAGTGGCTCATGCCTGTAATGTCAGCACTTTGTAGGGCTGAGGCGGGTGGATCACCTGAGGTCAAGAGTTCGAGACCAGCCTGGCCAACATGGTGAAACCCCGTCTCTACTAAAAATACAAAAATGGCTGGGCACGGTGGCTCACACCTGTAATCCCAGCACTTTGGGAGGCCGAGTCCAAGGCGACCGGATCACGAGGTCAGGAGATGGAGGCCATCCTGGCTAACACAGTGAAATAAAAAATACAAAAAATTAGGCAGGTGTGGTGGCAGGTGCCTGTAGTCCCAGCTACTCAGGAGGCTGAGGCAGGAGAATGGCTTGAACCCGGGAGGTGGAGGTTGCAGTGAGCCATGATCGTGCCACTGCACTCCAGCCTCGGCAACAGAGTGAGACTCTGTTTCAAAAAAAAAAAAAAAAATGCAAAATTATCCGGGCATGGTGATGGGTTCCTGTAATCCCAGCTACTTGGGAGGCTAAGGCAGGAGAATCTCTTGAACCCGGGAGGTGGAGGTTGCAGTGGGACAAGATCATGCCACTGCACTTCAGTCTGGGTGACAGAGTTGAGCTCTGTCTCAAAAAAAAAAAAAAAAAGAAAAAAAGACATGTACTCTGAGCTTATAGGATTTTTCCTTTGGTCACTTTGTTATGTGAGGGGCTAATCAGTGGAATTGTGATCAAAGTATGGTTTTTGGTGGCAAATATAGATATTGGCCCTAGATAGCTCCTGTATCCCCAACAAATATTTTTCAAATTGAAGTTTGGGTGGATCCAATACAGTTTCATAGACCTCAGCAGTGGGAGTTCAGAGACCTTCTTCTCCCCAGCATGATTTGTCCTTAATGCAGTTTAGCTCCAACCAGCATATTGGCTTTGGGTAATTTATTTAACCTTTCTGAATTTTGATTTGCTCATCTGTAAAATGGGAACAATAATACCTACTTCATCAGATAGTTAAGAGGATTCAGTGAGAAGAATATAATTTAAGTGCTTTACATAATATCTAGCACCTAGCAAGCACCTAATAAGTGTTACCTTTCCTGCCATTTATGACCATGGTATTTCTTACTTTGAAAAGAGGTGAATGTAGTTTGAGGAAGGTGATTTCTGTAGTTAAGTGTCTTTTTTTAAGGTATCAGATAGAGGGTAAAAAAAAAAAAAGGAAAGTTTGAGATGCTCTGTGTGAGCTTCTGGACACAGTTATTAACTTGTAGTAGTTGTCATTCTTCTGGAGGAAATGATGCATTCCTCTGTGATGTGTCTCTTCACGTTGGTATTTTGGGACAGCGCATTCCCAGGGATGTGGAGTATGGGCCCATGGGCATTATCTCTTCAGGTTTGGAAAGTCTCAACTACCAAGCTTGCCCTTACCCAAAAGGATATTCTCTGCGACAAGCTATGCCATTCTCTTTTGAGGGAGTGAGCAGCCATTGCTCACCTAATGGGCAAAGCTGTTTACACAGTGTTAAGTTTCTATACCATAAGGTCATGCTTCGTTGGAAATCTCTCAGACCAGGAGTCAGGCCTTTGGTGAAGAATCCTGTATTAGCCCTTTTGCCCCACTTCATTTTAGAAACTATTATTTAACAATGAGAAACATGATAAGGCAAAGGATTAAATTAAATGGTACATCCTGTCCCTCATATCTTCATGACTGCAACATTTACTGTACTTGATTGCAAAGTCTTACAGATGTATGACTGATTAACCGTACTATGTTTATGCAATCATCCCCTTATTTTTTAGTTATCTTAATTCTTCCCTGTATGTACTGCTACTTCTGTGAGTGTCCTTGGAACAATTTGGCTGGTCATGTGCCCAGATGACATCAAGTGGACAAGTGGATCAAGGGCAGTTTTCTAAAAATGTGTGTGTATGTAGAGGGGGTGAGTCAGGAGCCTGTTAGCATGAGCTCTGTGTTGGCACTGAGATCCTGAGTGCCAGTTCTCTGCTGTCCTTGAAACTGCTCCTGACACAGGGCATTTTCTTCTTTGGCCTAAACCTGTCTTTTTTGGCATAAACCCTGTGCAAAGCTCGGTCCATAATAGTTTATAAATAAACCTGGTTATTAATTGTTTATACCCATATTTTTTTGTTTTGGTTCTGATTTTTTCTAAAGAAAGGGGATCTTGGCTCCCTTTAATGTCCATATCCAATCATCTTCCATTGGCAGTACCTAATTTTGAAGAAGGCAACACTGACTGAGGGAATTAGGAACAGTTTTAGTTGATAGTTATGTGCTTAAAAAAAAAAAGAGAGAGCAAGCAGCCACAAGGGATAGAGAGGTGGAGGTGAGAGCTGAGATGTAGATAAGACAGCAGAGAGCAGGCCAAGGAGCTGGCAGAGAGGCCTGCTGAGGTGGCTCGTGCTGAGCAAAGCTTCTGGGAGTCTTTTTGTGTTGCCAGTGAGTGACAGGAAGGCGATAATGAGGTATTAAATACTTGTACTTTAACAGGTAGCTGAGGACCAAGGGAAAATGGGGACCAAATACATGAAAATGACGTAGAGCAGCCAACAGGTGGAGAAAGTTATAAACCAGAGTCTAGAGAAGTGCTGATAACAGTATAGTCAGCAGATCTAAGCACACCATTTATAGTAAGCTGTAACCCCACTTTCACGTTCAGCTTGATCTCGCACCTTTATTTGTTTAATCTTCTTTTTTTTTTTTTTTTTTTGAGACGGAGTTTTGCTCTGTCGCCCAGGCTAGAGTGCTGTGGTGCAATCTCGGCTCACTGCAAACTCCGCCTTCCAGGTTCAAGCGATTCTCCTGCCTCAGCCTCACGAGTAGCTGGGATTACAGGTGCCCGCCACCGTGCCTGGCTAATTTTTGTATTTTTTAGTAGAGACGGGGTTTCACCATCTTGGCCGGGCTGGTCTCGAACTCCTGACCTCATGATCAGCCTGCCTCAGCCTCCCAAAGTGCTGGGATTACAGGCATGAGCCACTGTACCTGGCTTATCTTCTTAATGGCATGGTAGAAAGAACACTAAACAGGTGACAAGGTCCTAGTCCCAGCTTAGTCACCAGCTAGTTTGGGGTGAGGGTGGAATGGGGCATGGAGTTTTCTTATCCAAAAATGAGGAAATCGGATTAAATGACCTAAGGCATTTTCTAGCTCTAAAAATCTATAATCAGCTATGTCAAAGCCTCACAGACTTAAAACTCCCATCATATCAGGTCAGAGGCTAGAATCTGTGTGTAGTGGTGTATAGGACACTGAACAGTTGATATAGTGAGTGCAAAGTCAAGGAGATTATGATGGAGAAAAGCACTATTTCATGGGATATTTGGGACATTCTCTCTTGAAGAAGAATTACCATCTGTGATGTCAGAGGCTTCATTTTAGTTGCCTATTAAATTCCCTGTAGATAGTTCTTTTTTTTTTTGGAGAAGGAGTCTTGCTCTGTCGCCCAAGGTGGAGTGCAGTGGTGCGATCTCGGCTCACTGCAGCCTCCGCCTCCCGGGTTTAAGCAATTCTTCTGCCTCAGCCTCTCGAGTAGCTGGGCCTACAGGCGCACACCGCCACGCCCAGCTAATTTTTTGTATTTTAGTAGAGACAGGGTTTCACCGTGTTGCCCAGGCTGTTCTCGAACTCCTGAACTCAGGCAATCTGCCTGCCTTAGCCTCCCAAAGTGCTAGGATTACAGGCGTGAGCCACTGCGCCCAGCCCCTGTAGAGAATTCTTACTTCCAAGTGAGAAGACCTTGGTTCTTGGGGGAGCAGAATATCTGACCTGCATTTTCAGGGGCAGAATGCAAGCCACTCTGGCACTGACTCTCAGAGTATTGTGGTACTGGACTCTCCCTTTCAATACTCTGGCTCCGCTAATGCCTGTGGCAGTTGGGACACAGGTTGCCCGTGCCAGAGTTGCTCTCTTCCTCCTCTAATATTTCTCACTTTGTCATCCTGGATTCTGAATCCCAGAGATCAAGACTAGCTGTAGTCCAGCAGAGGAGCAATAAATCATTGCTCCCACATCCTTTCCTCCAGGTTTCCTGCCCTTTAATTACCACATAGCCACTGCTGAGGCTGCATCTCTGTGCTGTGTGTCCTGGGGACAAAAGCCCTTGTTGATGGGATGTGTGCAAAAGCTGCTTTGTCTCTAGCCATTACGTTTTGCAGAGTGCCAAGCGTGCTGCCCATCCCTTTCTCTCGCCTCTATGATTTTATAGAGTCCGATTGTCAGGTAGTATATCATTAACAGGGCTTGTCTAAACTCTGGGGATTAGGTGGTGGGGTGGGCAGCCCCCACGTAGCTCACTCAGCAAGGTGATCTTCTTTAAGGAGGGAAGTTTGGGTTAGTCATTTTTATGTGAATTTTAGCTAGCCCCATTATTCCTGTGCTCCTGGTAGGAGCTAAGCAGGTTGTGTGATCCTGAATGGGCTCCCTTGGAGCCTTTTTGTCCCCCCAGTCCAACAGATACTTGATCACTTAACAGACACCATTAAAAGGGCCAGCTGCCTATCATTTGCCTTTTCATTATGAAACCCCAGAGAACTCAAGTTGGGGCCGGGGTAAAGAGTTTATAAATGAAGATGCCTATCTCCTTCATGCCTGGCAAGGCTTTTTTTTACTATTTGAGGGGAAGATTCAGGCTTTAGAAACAGAATGTGGGTGAAGCCAGCCTCTTGTACTTTCCTTGCCTGCTGTTTCTTTACTGTACCTGTGCTTTTAAAGGATTGAGAGTGAGGGGTGTTGTGTGGTAGGCAGCAAGAGTCTGGAGAGTCTCACTCCTACTCATCATTCCCTGCTGTTCCAAATCAAAGCTCACATCTCTACTTTAAGAGTAGTAAACTTCACACAAAACTCTGACAGCATGGGAGAATGAACTTCTTTGCTGGCAAAGAAGCAGATATGGTCCTAGAAAAAGAGAGGTCAAGCCTTTTCTTGGGTCTGTGGAAGGTGGGGGTTTGTGGGGGAGAAGACAGAAGGACCACAGATTGCCTGCAGCTGCTGAACCCCTTTATAGTATCCCATCAAGTAGGGGAGGTAGGTACAGGGGCATTATCTGAGATGGGCAGAGAAGCAGGACTCATTTCATGGACAAAATGTGCTAGGTGAATGAGTATAAGGTAACTGATAACTTCTTTTATGCTTAATATTTATTTGCAAAAATGTCTGAAGCTGCACTGCTAAACTAGGGACTTGGCAGTCAGTCTCTTTATTGAGGTTGCTTGGGTTTTAGGAATCTCTCCCCTCGCTAAGAATTGCCAGGCAGAAAGAGATTTCAATAAATGTTGTCACTGTAACGAGAGGTCAGCGCAAGCTTCACTTTGTTTGAATAGTTAGAGCAGTTAAGGGCTTTTTTTCTCTTTATGAGCTCTCCTCATCTAGAGGAGTACATACAGTATAGCTGCTATATCTGGTGACCAGTTAGAATGGATACATTTTCCTCTTAGCAATGATGTCTGAAACAGATACATGTCTAAAGCTTGATGACAATAGAAGCTAGCAGCTGAGGGTGGAAGGGGGACCCTCATTTTCACCTGTAAATTGAGCAAATTTGATGGGGAAATCACCATGTGGGAGTAAATTTGAAACACCAAGATGTCAGTTTTATAGTCAGATTTCTGAGCTTAATTGCTATTTAAGAAGTGGCAAAAAGAAGTAGCTATTTCAAAACCTTCCATGAACAGATAAGCAGACACGTGCTTGGGAAGGTGAGTGCTTTCCTCAAATATACCTACCTTACCTGCTTTTTAAAAGACCTTGGTGGCTGAGACTTACTCACTCTAACCTTCTGGATTTTTTTTAGAGCTAGTCTGTTTTTATTTAACTTTATTAATCATGGTTTGAATAGCTTGTTGATGTCTTTTTTTTTTTTTTTAAAGCCTTGATAAATTTGCTGAAGTTCCTTATGTCAAATGAGACTGTACTTTTGGCCAAACACAACATTTTTACATTAGCCCTTATGGTGAGTATCAAAACAAATACTTCTTTTTCTGAAGCCATATGCTAAGGCAGAAATGCACTGGTTTGAAACAGGAGCTGGTGGTCTGGGGACTAAGCCATAGAGGGAACCAGACCTATATATATTTTTTGGATCCGAATCTGGACTGGTGGTCCCCACTCTCACCTATGTCTTTGGCAAACTCTGCATGACTCTCTTTCCTTCATGAAAATATATTGTCTGGCAGGGGTGGGTATAGGTTAGATCTCTGTGTATGAATAGTGAGCCTTGGTCCCAATTGAGAGACTGCTGTATACTACTGCGGTCTCTATGTTGGTAAATAGCAAACCCTCTGAAGGTTCCATCATGGCTGCACTTGGTTTCTGAGGGACATTACAGATGCTTGCTTATCTGGCTGGTTATTTGGGATAGAAGGAGGCCATTGTGCATTTTGACTATCTTCTTAGGATATTATACAATGTGTTCTTAAATGTTCAACATTAGAGGGAAAAAAAGTCTTGATTCGTAGCATTTGCTGATTTTCATTGTAGAGCTACACCCACCATGGCCAATTTCAAGCTATCAATGTGACATCAGAGTCATGCAGAGTTGGGAAGCAATGTGCAGTAGCACACCATTATATGATGTTTGCACCACACAGATATAATAGTTATAAATCTCCAGAGCATAGGTTAGTAAAAGGTAGAAAATAATTAGGAAGTGATAAGTTTTTAATATTTATTACTTTCATTTTAATATAATTTATTTAATTATAAGTTTATATGAGTGAAATTTTTAATAATGGCTGTGTTTAACAACTGGCTTACAAAATTCCTGAAAATTTTACAGTCAACTCTTGCAAGACAGTAAGAGCTGGCTACAGCATACCACTGATAATTTTTAGTCTTCATAGCCTGATGCCTATATATGGGCCTTTCCTTCTTTTTTAGATTGTGAACCTATTTAATATGTTTATCACATATGGCGACACATTTCTGCCAACCCCCAGCAGCTATGATGAACTTTACTATGAGATTATCCGCATGCACCAGAGCTTTGACAACCTCTACTCCATGGGTAAGCTGCCTTTTCTTTTTACTCCTCTCTCCACCATTTGTCTAGCTTTTGGCATATAAGAGGAAAAGACTACGAAAGATTCTCCTCTAGTTGTTTGGTGCCCTGTGTGGCACAGAAATATAGTAGTCTCCTCTTCTCAGGCAATAGGAAGGTACATGTGGGCCTTTTTGCCTTTAGGAATTCAGATTTCATCTCAGTGTAAAGCTGGTTAGCAGCCCTTTGTTGATGTTGCTGAGAGAGAGAGAGAGAATAGGGAGGCTTGTGGATTCATTGAATGCCAGAGAGAAGGAGGTGAAAGAGTGGGTGGGAATTGACAGCAGCAAATAAAAGAACTTGGATCCCAGAACATTGTGTAATTTGCGGATGTCCAGGATTTTAAGGAATCTTAGTGTACCTATGTATTTTTAGCATAACTTACAAGTGGAAGTGGGCATTAGATAAAAATCTTTTTTTTGCAAATCTTTTGGTGATTGGCTCACTGAAAATGTACTCTCAAGCTACAGCAAGTATAACTTATTTCTGAAAGAATTCATGTGTCCCTATAAGTTTGGAATAGGGGCCTAGTTAATTCTACCTGTAGTATAAAGGTTAAGGAAAAATCTCTGTAGATTGCACAGAAACAGCCACTCAGTAAAACTATCTTATTTTTAAAGCGCAAATTTATTAGCTTTATTGAAGTATAATTGACATATAAACTGCACACATTTTAATTATACAAATTTTAATAAGTCTTGACATATGTGTACGTATGTGAAACTATCACAATCATCAGGATAATAACCATATCCGTCACCTCTGAAAAGTTTCCTTGTATCTCTTTAGAATCCTCTCATGTCTCCTTCACCACCTTCACCCACTGTGCCTCATCCCTGGGCAACCACTGATTTGCCTCTGTCACTGTAGATTGGTTTGCTTCATCCTTTGTGATGAGATTAATTGTGAAAATCCCAACCTCTCCTTGGGACTCCTGTATCATGAGGAAACTGGAGAGGATTTGGAAAAAGTACCAGGAGAAAGAATAGAAGCAGCAGTGGAAAAGAAGGATTGCCTGGGAGGAAAATATTTTTTTTTCTAGTATACTTTATTTTTTAGAGAAGTGAAGGAAAACTTTTAAGAGAACTTTATAAGAGAACCTTTGCTATAATGTCTTAGGCAGTGCAAGTAGGGCCTTGTATTAGTAGGATGTTTTCAATGGCAAGTATCAGAAAACTCGGACTTAAAACCATCTTAAAGAGTAGGAAAATTATATGACAATTCTAGAATGGTATGATCAGTTGCTCAACAATGTCTACAAGGACCCAGGTTTTTAAAATATCTCCTCTCTCTCATTGTAATAGCTTTAGCATCAAGTCAGTTGCCCATGCAACAGCAAATCTCAGTTGTCCCATCAAGACCCATCTCTTTTTTTTAGGAGCTTGGCAGCCTTACATAAGAACTCTCTAATAGACTTCACGTTGGCTAGATGTGCTCAGGTTACCCTAGTGTGGTTTGCATCTGCCTGGCTTCACCAACTTCCTGAGAATGTAGAATGTAGAATTTTCCAAGGGTAAAGAGCAGCCCCAGAGGTTTTAGCACTCATTGGTAGATGAATAAAGATGCTTTTCAACGAGAAAAGGAAAGAGTTGGAGTGGGGGAGATATTTTATAAAAGTCTGACATACCTGCTCAACTGGGCCATATGTAACTAGTCAAATGAGATAAACCCTTGTAGCTACAGCAACAAGATAAGAGAAGATACCTGTGAATGTCCAAATCTGCCAAGGGAGTAAAAATGTTAACTAGGAGGGCACAAATAGGAAAGTGAAACACAGCAAACAATAGGAGATAGCATGTTTCAGTGCTCTGTTTTATATAAAGTATAAACTTATGCTGAAAAAAACTTGTTTTTTATTAACCTTTTTGAGGTTAATAAAATTTTGCCGTAATTTACATATATGGCAAAAACCACCCTTTTAAATGTACAGTTTTGAGTTTTGACAAATTTATATAGTAGTGTAATTATCACAAAAATCAAGATATAGAAGAGTTTCACTATCCAAAAAATTTCATATGAGGTCACCTCCTTTGTCTACGCACAACCCCTAGCAACCACTGATCTGTTTTCTGTTCTCTTGGTTTTGCCTTTTGCAGAACATCTTATAGATGGAATGATATAACCTTTTGAGTCTGGCTTCTTTCATATAGTATTTCATTTGAAATTCATCCTTGTCATTGCATCTATCAGTAGTTCCTTCCTTTTTATTACAGAGTAATATTCCATTGTATGAATTGCCATCTTAGTTTATCCATTTATCAGGTGAAGGACATTTGGAAGGTTTCCAGTTTTTAGCGATGATAAATAAAGCTCCTGTTAACATTCTTGTACCTTATTGAATACAAGGTTTTTTTTTGTTTTTGTTCTTTCTTGAGACAGGGTCTTTCTCTTTCACCCATGGTGGAGTGCAATGGCACAATTATGGCTCACTGGAGCTTTTACCTCCTGAGCTCAAGCAATCCTCCCACTTTAGCCTCCAAAGTAGCTGGGACTACAGGTACATGCCACCACGCCTGGGTCATTTTTGTATTTTTAGTAGAGACAGGGTTTCGCCATGTTGCCCAGGCTGGTCTTGAACTCCTGGGCTCAAGCAACCTGCCCATCTCGGCCTCCCAAAGTGTTGAGATTACAGATGTGAGCCACTGTGCCCAGCATGAACCCAGGTTTTTATTTCACTTGGTTATGTACCTAGCAATGGGATTTTGGGGTATTGTGGTAAGTATGTTTTAACTATATAAGAAACCGCCAAACCGTTTTCCAAAATGCATGTTCTATTTTACATTCTCTCCAGCAATGCATGAAAGTTGTCGTCATTCCATATCATATCCAGCACTTGATATTCTCCACTTTTTTGTTGTTGTTGTTGTTTGCTTCTAGATATATAGTGCTACCTCACTGTTTTTAACTTTGCGTGAATAATGATGTTGAGCATCTTTTCCTGTCCTTATTTGCCATCTATATATCTTCTTTGGAGAAGTATTTGCTCAAATCTTTTGCTCATTAAAAAAAAAAAAAAAAAAAGGCTGGGCACGGTGGCTGACGTTTGTAATCCCAGCACTTTCAGAGTCCCAGGCGGGAGGATCAAGACTAGCTTGGCTAACATGGTGAAACCCTGTCTCTACTAAAAATACAAAAATTAGCCAGGCATGATGGCACACACCTGTAGTCCCAGCACTTTGGGTGGCCAAAGTAGGCAGATCACTTGAGCTCAGGAGTTCGAGACCAGCCAACATGGCAAAACCCTGTCTTTACCAAAGATACAAAAATTTATCTAGGTGTGGCAGTGCATGCTTATGGTCCTAGCAACTTGGGAGGCTAAGGTGGGAGGATCACTGGAGCCCAGGAGGCTGAGGTTGCAGTGAGCTGAGATTGTACCACTGCACTCCAGCCTGTGTGACAGAGTGGTACCCTATCTCAAGAAAAAACAAACACCAGTGCACACCAAAGTTTATAATAGCACCATTCACAAGTGCCAAAAGGTGGAAGCAACTCAAATGTCCATTGACAGATGAATAGATAAACAAAATATGGTATATACACCCAGTGGGATATTATGCAGCCTTCAAAAGGAAAGAAGTCCTGTTACATGTTGCAGTGTGTATGAACCTTGAGGATATTGTGCTAAGTGAAATAAAGCAGTAACAAAGGGGTAGTACTTATATGAGGTATCCAAAGTAGTTAAATTCACAGATATGGAAAGTAGGATGATGATTACCAGGGGCTTTGGGAGGAGACAAAGAGAGTTGCTTAATGTGTGTAGAGTTTCAGTTCTACAAGATGAAAAAGTTCTGGAGATCTGTTTTACAGCAATGTAAATGTACTTAACACCTAAATTGTATGCTTAAAAATGGTTAAGAGGGGCGCCTCCAAAAGTAGAGTATCTTAGTTATTCACAGTCAGTTAAAGATTGAACTTCTCCTCTTTTCCCCCTTCTTACTACTGCCATTGATGAGTCTTTTTTAAAAAAGTGGTTAAGCGGGTAAATTGTATGAGATGTCTTTCTTTTCTTTTCTTTTCTTTTTTTTTACCACAGTAACAACAAACCTAAACTCTAAAGTTTATTTAGATTTTACCAATTTTTCCACTAATGTCTTTTGTATTCCAGGATCCCATCCATGTTACCACATTACATTTAGTCATCGTGACTCCTTAGTCTTCTCTGGTCTGTGACTGTTTGTGTTTCCTTGTTTTTTATGACCCTGATAGTTTTCAAGAATGTTCCTCAATTTGGGTTTGTCTTGTGTTTTACTCATGGTTTGACTTGGATTGTGGATTATAGAGAAAAATGTCACACAGTCCAAGTACCCTGACTTATCACTGATGATACTAACCTTGATCACTTGGTTAAGGTAGTGTTTGCTGTGTTTCTCTACCACAGAGTTGTAATTTTTTCTACTTTTTCATAGTCTGTTCTTTATTTTGTTTTATTTTTGTTTTTATCATGTCTTATTCTTTGGAAGCAAATCACTAAATGCAGCCAACTTGAAAGTTGGGGGACAGGGAGGTTAAGCTCCACCTCCTGCAGAAAAGGGTATCTATATAAATTATTTAGAACTTTTCTGGAAGAATTTGGTTGCTGTTGCTACTGCTGCTGCTGCTGTTCTTATTCCTCTTCTTCCTCCTCCTCATCCTCCGCCCCCCTCCCTCCTTCCCTCCCTCCCTTCCTTCCTTTCTTCTTCTTCTTTTTTTTTTTTTTGAGACGGAGTCTCGCTCTGTGGCCCACACTGGAGTGCAGTGGCACAATCTTGGCTCACTGCAACCTCCACCTGCTGGGTTCCAGGGATTCTCCTGCCTTAGCCTCCCAGGTAAATGGGATTACAGGCCCATGCCTCCACACCTGGCTAATTTTTTTTGTTTTTAGTAGAGATGGGGTTTCACCATGTTGGCCAGTCTGGTCTTGAACTCCCAACCTCAAGTGATTTGCCCTCCTCAGCCTCCCAAAGTGCTGGGATTACAGGTGTGAGCCACTGTGCCTGGCTTTCTTCTTTTTTTGGAGACAGTGTCTTGCTCTGTCACCCAGGCTGGAGTGCAGTGTCAATCACAGCTCATTGCAGCTTTGAACTTCAGGGCTCAAGCAGTCCTCCCACCTTGGCCTCCTGAGTAGCTGGGGTTACAGGTGTGCGTCACCATACCTGGATAATTTATTTTTGTTTTTTTGTATAGATGAGGTTGCCCTATGTTGCCCAGGCAGGTCTCGAACTCTTGGGCTCAAGCGATCCTCCTGCCTTGGCCTCCTAAAGTTCTGGGATTACAGGCATGAGCCACTGCACCCAGCCAGTATAAGTTTTAATCAAAAGCTTACTGGAGTTTTGATTGGGATTATGGCAAATCTATAGATCATTTTGGGGAAAACTGATATCTTGATAATGTACCTTACAATCCCTGACAAAATATATCTATTTATTGAAGTCTGATTTTTCTCACGAATGTTTTGTTGTTTTTACAACATGAAAATCTTGCATATATTCTATTAGATTTATCTTAATGTATTTCATGGCATTTGGTGCTGTTAGTATTTTTGAAAATTTTAATTTTTAACTGTTTATTGCCAATATGCAGAAACACTACTTTTTAAAATTTTTTTAATATGACAGCTTTATGAGATATAATTCACCTACCTTATAATCTGCCCATTAAAGCATACAATTTGGTGAGTTTCACTATAGTCAGAGAGTTGTACCACCATCACCACAATGAACTTTGGAGCATTTTCATCACCCCAACAGGAAACCTACCCATGAGTGGTGACTCCCCATTTACTGCAATCTCCTGAGCTCTAGGCAATCACTAATCTATTCTCTGTGTCTGTAAATTTGCCTATTCTGGACATTTTATATAAATGAAATCATACAATATGTGGTCTCTTGTGACTGGCTTCTTTTATTTTGAATCTTTTCAAGGCTTATCCATGTTGTATCCATGAAGTAACAGTACTTCGTTCCCTTTTTACTGTGGAACAATATTACATTGTATGGATATACCACATTTTATTTATCCATTCATCAATTGGTAGACATTTAGGTTGCTTCTACTTTTTGCTGTTATGAATTATCCTGCTATGAGCATCCATGTACAAATTTTTGTGTGGGCATGTTTTCATTCTGTTGAGTATATACCTAGGAGCAGAATTGCTGGGTCATATGATAACTTTGTGTTTATAACCTTTTGAGGAACTGCCACACTGTTTGACTGTCCTCACTTTTCCAATGTGGGTGTACCATTTTACACAAGCAAGAAACAATGCTGATTTTTAATCTTGTGTCCTGTTATCTTGCTATTTTTGATCTTGTATCCTGTCATCTCACTTATTGGGTTTATTAGTTTTTGTAACCTTTTTGGGATTTTCTACATAGACATTCATGTTGTATGTGAATGTTGTGTGCCTTTTATTTCTTTTTCTTGCCTTATTGTACTGGTTACAGCCTCCACTACTATGTTAAATTAGAGGGTAAAGATGGACATACTTGCCTTGTGTCCAATCTTAAGGTGAAAGGATTAAGGTTATCCTCCATTAAGTGTGATGTTAGCTGTAGGTTGTTCATAGATGCCCTCTATCTGGTTGAGGAAATTCCCTTTTATTTCCTGACAATTGTTGTCATTAATGAATGTTGAATTTTGTTAAACATTCTCTAGCATTTATTGCCATGATTACATGGTTTTCCTACTATTGTCTGTTAGTATAGTGATTGATTTTTAAATGGTGACCAACCCCACATGATTATAACATCATTTTTACATATTGTTGTATTCGATTTGCTAGTATTCATGAGGTATATTGGTCTGTAGTTTTACTTTCTTACAATTTCTTTTTCTGGTTTCAATATTAGTTAATTTTGGCCTCATAATATGAATTGGGAAGTGTTCTCTCATTGCTCATCTTCTGTTTTCTAGAAGAATTTGTTTAAGAGTGGTTTATTTCTTAAATGTTTGGTAAAATTTGCCAGTGAAGCCACTGCGTCTGGAGTTTACTTTCGTGGAAGATTTTAAACCATAAGTTCAATTTATTTAATAGATACAGGACTATTTAAGTTATCTATTTAGCAGTGACCTTTGGAAGCTTGTGTCTTTGAAGAAATTTGTTTTATTTTGTTGTCACTTTTATGGGGCATACAGTTGTTTGTAATATTCATTTTTAATGTCTGTAGGGTCTGTACTTAGCTTCCCTCTTTCATTCCCTATATTGGTAATTTATATTTTCTCTTTTTTTTTTTCTTCATCAGTTTGGATAGATGTTTATCAAGTTTATTGATTTCCCCTCCTCAGAGAACCAGCTTTTGGTTTCATTGATTTTTTTCTCTGCCATTTTTCTGTTTTATTGATTTATGCTCTTTATTTTCTTCTTATTGCTTGCTTTGAGTTTAATTTGCTCTTTTTTTGCTAGTTTTTTAGGGTGCAAGCATAGTTCATTGATATGAGACTTTTCTTTTTTTCTAATATAAATATTTTGTACTATAAATTTCCCTTTAAGTACTGCTTTAGTTGCAGCTCATACATTTTTTTGTTGTATTTTTATTGTCTTTCAAGTTCAGTGTATTTTCTTATTTCCCTTGAATTTCTTCTTTGACTTTTGAATTTTTTTAGAAATGTGTTGCTTAATTTTCAAATACTTGGGGATTTTCCAGATATTCTTCTGTTAGTAATTTCTAGTTTAGTTTTGTTTTGGCCAAAGAATATTGTTTGTATTATTTCAATGCTTCAAAATTTATTGAGACATGTTTTATGGCCCAGAGTATGGTCTATCTTGGTAAATGGTCCATTCCACATGCACTTGTATTTTGTTCTTGGTGGGTGGAGTGTTCTGTAAGTTTCAGTTTGGTTGAGTTGTATGATAATATTGTTCTCTGTTTTCACAAATTGTTCTGTCTACTTATTATAAAGGGACAGAGAAGATTGTTGAAACATTCAGCTGTAATTGTGGGTTTGTCTGTTTTCCCCTTTTGGTTCTTTTTACTTTTTGGTTCATGTGTTTTGTAGCTCTGCTGTTAGATAGATACACATTTAGGATTATTATATCTTGGCAAATTGACTCTTTTATCATTATATAATATCCTCCTTCACCCAGGTAGTATTCCTTGTTCTGAATTCTGTTTTGTCTGACTTTAATGTAGCCACTTTGGCTTTTTAAATTATTAGTATCTGCATGCATACCTTAACTTTTTTTCTTTTTAGAAGTGAGTTCTTGCTATATAGCTTGACTACAGTGGCTATTCACAGATGTGATCATAGTGCAATACATCCTCAAACTCTTGGACTTAACTGATCCTTCTGCCTCAGCCTCCTGAGTAGGTGGGACTACAGGCACATACCACTGTGGCTGGCTTATATATTTTCCTGTTAGCTATATTTTTATATTTAAAGTGTCTGTCTTGTACACAGCTTACAGTTGGGTCGTGTTTATTATCCAGTCTGATAATCTCTGTATCTTATTTGGCATATTATCTATACATATTTACAATGCGATAATCAATATAGTTTCTTTCAGTTCTACCACGTATTTTGTTTGCCCCTCCCCGCACTTTTTGGCTCTTCTGTACCTGCTTTTCTGCTTTCTTTTGGATAATTTGAATATATTTAAATATTCCATTTTAATTTATTAGCTGGCTTTTGGGCTATATTTGTATTTTTTAGCAGTTACTCTAAGATTACATTGTATGTACCTTTTGCAGTCTAAAGTCAGGATTGTACCACTTCAATAAAATGTAGAAACTTTGCTACTATATAGGGTCTATTTATTTATTTATTTATTTATTTATTTATTTATTTATTTTTGAGTTTCGCTCTTGTTGCCCAGGCTGGAGTGCAATGGCATGATCTCGGCTCACTGCAACCTCTGCCTCCCCGGTTCAAGCGATTCTCCTGCCTCAGCCTCCCAAGTAGTTGGGATTACAGGCATGCGCCACCACACCCGGCTAATTTTGTATTTTTAGTAGAGATGGGGTTTCTCCATGTTGGTCAGGCTGGTTTTGAACTCCCAACCTCAGGTGATCCGCCTGCCTTGGCCTCCCAAAGTGCTGGGATTACAGGTGTGAGCCACTGTGCCTGGTCTTTTTTTTTTAGTTTTTAGGAGATGGGGTCTTGCTCTGTTGCTCAAGCAGGAGTGCAGTGGTGTGATTATAGCTCACTGCAGCCTTAAACTCCTGGGCTCAAGTGATCCTCCTGCCTCAACCTCCTGAGTAGCTGGGATTACAGGTGTGAGCCACTGCACCCAGCTGGATATAGAATTTTTAGTTGGTAATTTTTATCTTTAAGTACTTTGAAGCTATTATTCTCCTTTTTCTGGCCTCCATGGTTTCTGAAAATAAATCTGTAGTCATTTGAATAATTGTTCCATTGTTTGTAGTATGTTGTTTTTCTCTAGCTTCTTTTTTTTTATTTTTGAGACAGAGTCTCGCTCTGTCGCCTAGGCTGGAGTGCAGTGGGGTGATTTCAGCTCACTGCAAGCTCTGCCTCCCGGGTTCAAGCTATTCTCTGCCTCAGCCTCCCGAGTAGCTGGGATTACAAGTGCCCACCACCACGCCTGGCTAATTTTTGTATTTTTAGTAGAGACGGGGTTTCACCATCTTGGCCAGGCTGGTCTTGAACTCCTGACCTCGTGATCCACCTGCCTCAGCCTCTCAAAGTGCTGAGCCACCACCGTACCTGTCCTTCTCTAGCTTCTTAAAAGGTTTTTTTTTTTTCCTTATCTTTGGCTTTCAGCAGTGTGATTGTAATATATCTATGCACAATTTTTCTTTGAGTTCATCCTATTTGGGGTTTGCTGAGCTTCTTGACTCTCACCAAATTTGGGGAAGTCTTTAGCCCTTCTTTTTTCACTGGGGACAGAAACTCTGCCCCAATTTCTGTCTCCTCCTTTTCTGAGACTATAGTATCACAAAGATTAGACTTTTCCATATTGTCCCATATGTTTCTGAGGCCCTGTCCCTCCCCTCCCCCATTTGTCTCTATTCTTCGTATTTAATTATTTCTATTATACTTTATGTTCACTGACTCCTTTGTCAGTCTATTCTGCTATTAAGCCCACCCAGTGAATTCTTTATTTCACATAGTACATATTTTACTTCTAAATATGTGTCACCCTGGCTGGAGTGCAGTGGTGCACTCTTGGCTCACTGTAGCCTCAAACTCCTGGGCTCAAGTGATCCTCCTACCTCAGCCTTCCAAAGTGCTGGGATTACAAGGCATTAGCCACTGTGCCCAGCTTTACTTCTAAATATTTTAATTGGTTCTTTGTTATGGCTTCAGTTTCTTTGCTGAACTTGTATCTTTCCATTCATTTCAAGTATGTTTACCTTTTCCTCATGGAGCATAGTTATGATAACTGCTTTAAAGTCCATGATAATTTTAACATATGTGCCATCTCAGATATCTGTTTTTTGTCTTTTCTTTTGAGAATTGGTCACTTTTTTTGTTTTATTATATATTCTGGTTCTTTATGAGTAATTGTGGATTACCTCCTGGACTTTTTTTTTTTTTTTTTTTTTTTTTTTTTTTTGAGGCAGAGTCTTACTCTGTCGCCCAGGCTGGAGTGCAGTGGCCCACTGCAACCTCTGCCTCCTGGGTTCAAGCGATTCTTCTGCCTCATTCTCCCCAGTATCTGAGATTACAAGTGCCTGCCACCATGCCTGGCTAATTTTTTGTATTTTAGTAGAGATGGGGTTTTGTCATGTTGGCCAGGTTGGTCTCGAATTCCTGACCTCAGGTGATCTGCCCACCTTGGCCTCTCAAAATGCTGGGATTACAGACATGAGCCACCGAGCCTGGCCTCCTCCTGGACATTTTTAATGTTATGTTGTATACACTCAGAGATTGGTTATAATCTTCTGGATTTTTTTTTTTCTTTTTTGAGACAGAGTCTCGTTCTGTCACCTAGGCTGGAGTGTCACCCAGGCACGCTCTCAGCTCACTGCAACCTCTGCCTCCTGTGTTCAAGTGATTCTTTTGCCTCAGCCTCTGGAGTAGCTGGGATTACAGGCATGCACCACCACGCCTGGTTAAGTTTTGTATTTTTAGTTGAGGTGGGGTTTCACCATGTTGGTCAGGCTGGTCTCGAACTCCTGACCTTAGGTGATCCACCCGCCTCAGCCTCCCAAAGTGCTGGGATTACAAGCGCGAGCCACCGTGTCCAGCCTAATTTTTGTATTTTTTGTAGAGACAGGATTTCGGCATGTTGCCCAGGCTGGTCTTGAACTCCTGGACTCAAGTGATCTACCCTCCTTGACCTCCCAGAGTGTTGGGATGGCAGGCACGAGGCACTGCGCCTGGCCTCTCAATTTCTTTCTCCAGAAAGATGAGGATTCCTTTTGAGTTTTAGCCATCCACATAGTTCCACTATGCAGCTCTGGAACTGGCTGACCCTTGGGGCAAAGCTGTAAGAGAAAATAGGAAAAATAAAACCTGGAAACTGACCCTCTTGTGAGCGTTTCTCCAAGTTTTGACTTCCCTCTATAATCTGTCTGCTTTTGTTTAATTTTCAGAGCCCTCAGATAATTACTTTTCATGTTTTGTCTAGAGTTTTTAGCTGTAATCAGCAGGAGATAGAGGCTTTAGTGGGCTTACTCTGCCATGCTGGAAGTAGAACACCATTTTTTAAAAAGATATTTTTGTTTAATATAAAATTTTTCATTCATTACTTTAAAAATCTCATTTGATTATTTGCTGGCTTACATAGTTGCTAGTAAGAGGTCCGTTGTTTTCATCTTGTTTCTCTGTGCATAATATCTTTGTTTTTCTCTGGATGCTCTTTTTTTTTTGAGATGGAGTCTCACTCTGTCCCCCAGACTGGAGCATAGTAGTGCCATCTGGGCTCACTGCAACCTCTGTCTCCCGGGTTCAAGCGATTCTTGTGCCTCAGCCTCCCGAGTAGCTGAGATTACAGGTGTGCACCACCATGGTTGGCTAATTTTTGTATTTTTAGTAGAGACAGGGTTTCGCCATGTTGGCCAGGCTGGTCTCGAACTCCTGACCTCAGGTGATCCACCCGCCTCAGCCTCCCAAAGTACTGGGATTACAAGCGTGAGTAACCATGCCTGGCCTCTGAATGCTTTTAATATTTTCTCTTTATCATTGGTTTTCAACAATATGATTATCACATGCCTTGGCGTGGTTTTCTTTATTTTGCTTGGGGTTCTTAGAACTTTTTGAATCTGTACATTTTTAGTTTTCATCAAATGTGGAAATGTTTTGGCTATAATTTCTTCAAATTTTTTGACCCTGCTCTTCTGTTCTCAGTTTGGACTCTCTCTCTCTCTCTCTCTCTCTCTCTCTCTCTCTCTCTCTCTCTCTCTCTCTCTATATATATATATATATATATATATATATATAGGCTCAAGCAATCCTTCTGCCTTAGCCTCCCAAAGTGCTGAGATTATAGGCATTAGCCACTGTGCTTAGCCGTGGGTTTCTTTTTTAATATTTCCATTTCTTTCCTCATCATTTTCAAATTTTCCTCAGTCTTCCTGAATATATCGAACGTATTTCTAATAGATTTTTTTTTTTTTTTTGAGATGGAGTCTTGCTCTGTCACCCAGGCTGGAGTGCAGTGGCAGGATCTCGGCTCACTGCAAGCTCCGCCTCCCAGGTTCACGCCATTCTCCTGCCTCAGCCTCCCGAGTAGCTGGGACTACAGGTGTCCGCCACCACACCCGGCTAATTTTTTGTATTTTTAGTAGAGACGGAGTTTCACCGTGTTTGCCAGGATGGTCTCGATCTCCTGAGCTCGTGATCCACCCACCTCGGCCTCCCAAAGTGCTGGGATTACAGGCATGAACCACCGTGCCTGGCCTCTAATTGCTATTTTATTGTCCTTGTCTTCTCCTTCCATTGTCTTTCTTCACGTCTAGGTCTGTTTCTACTGACTGATTTTCCCTCTGCTTATGCTTCGTATATTTTTTTGTTTCTTATGGTTCATATGTTTTTGTTTCTTTGCATGCCTGGTTATTTTTGTTATTAGAATTTAGAAATTGTGATTTTTATGATGTGGATGCTGGATTTTGTTCTGTTTCTTTTATGTAACATTGGACTTTATTCTGGAATTTGATTATGTTATGTGGAATCAGTTGGATCTTTTCAGGGTTTGCTTTTAAGGGTTGAGGGTAGATCAAGAGCAACCTTGAATGTAGGCTAATTTGTCCCATTACAAATGCAGTACCCATTTCCAGAACCTGCCTGATACTCCATGTGTTACTAGGTCTTTCCACTCTTGCTGGTGGAAACATAAGTTATTTTCTTTGTGGAGCGTGCCGTGAGCTCCTCAGTTTCTTCTCCTTTCTAGTGGTTCTTCGCCCTCGGCCTTGGGTAGTTTCTTCTTCCATATGCATAGATCAGTGTCTGCAAGAGATGTAAGGGATCTGCAGAGCTGTCTGTCAAACTCCCTCCTTGCCAGCTTTCTGCCCCACATCCTCTAGATGTCTTGGCCTCTCCAAATGCTGATCTCTATGTCTACAACTTGGCAAGACTTCTAGCTTCTGTTTAGATTCCTCTTCCCAACCCTGCAGTGTGGGAACTTTTCTGCAGGGCAGTTGTAGGGTTCACCTTCTTTGTTTTCCTCCTTTTAGGGGATCACAATTCTATGCTGCTTGTTTTCCAATGTCTGACAACCATTGTTTCATATGTTTTGTCCAGGTTTCTGTTGTTTAAGGTAGGAGGGTAAGTTACTGCATCTTGGCTAGAAGAGGAAAGACATTTTTTTTTTTTTTTTTTGAGATGGAGTCTTGCTCTGTTGCCTAGGCTGGAGTGCAGTGGTGCAATCTTGGTTCACTGCAACTTGTGCCTCCAGGGTTAAAGCAATTCTCCTGCCTCAGCCTCCTGAGTAGTTGGGACTACTGGCATGTGCCACGGCACCCAGCTAATTTTTTTTTGTATCTTTAGTAGAGATGGGGTTTCACCATGTTGGCTAGGCTGGTCTTGAATGCCTGACCTCAAGTGATCCACCCACTTCAGTCTCCCAAAGTGCTGGGATTACAGGCATGAGCCACTGTGCCCGGCTCACTAAGACATTTTTGATAAAGGCACACACTTAATCTTCCTGTTTGGCTGCAGTGAAGCCCACTGTATGGGAAGGACTTCCACAGAAGCTACCCAGAACCATAAATGACATTATGTTTTAAGCTGTCTTTTCTTGTTTTTAAAATCAAAGGTAATTACCAATACTAAAGAAAAAGCATAGAAAATAATTAAAATCTTATAATTCCTTGGTTCTAGTACTACCACTGTTTTCACTGTTGTATATTAACCCACATGCATGCATAGTTTTACAGAGTTGTAATCATGATATCCTTCTAGCTTGTGTTTTTTAACATACAATTCATTTTTTTTGTAATTTTCATGTCTCTTTTTAAATGGCTGCATATTATTTTTGTGTACTATAATTTACTACATAAATGATGGCTTTAGTTTGAGGCTTTTAGGGAATTT
Organism: Homo sapiens; assembly: GCF_000001405.40. Classification (NCBI taxonomy): domain Eukaryota; kingdom Metazoa; phylum Chordata; class Mammalia; order Primates; family Hominidae; genus Homo; species Homo sapiens. The sequence goes on along the minus strand of NC_000010.11, from coordinate 101,942,151 downwards.
TGAAATAATTTTGTGTTTCAGTTTGGTAGCTTAGAAAAGAATGTAAAAACCAATGGTGTTTCCAAAGGAAATGTAGTGATGAGGTCATCTGGGTGCCTGTTCAGTAAGGAACAGAGCTGACAGGATATTACAGAGAAGTAATCCGTGGACAGAGTTCAATACCTCTGTGAAAATGTGAGGAGGCAAAATTCAGCTCCATTTCATAAATGTCTAGGTTCTACCATCAGAGAACTTGTGATTTTTGTGGGGGATCTGGTGAAAAACCAATGCATCTAAATAAATTTCACAATTGAGGTATAATAATAATAAAATTAAAAAAATAAATTTCACAATTGAGTTGAACAATAAATGTATGGCTTCCTGAAACAATTTTGTTCATTACATGAATAAATTCTCACATGCACTCAGTGAAACCTGAGTTTAGACTGTAGAGCTCTAACTTGGAACTATACCAAATTCCCTTGCACTAAATCTTATAAATTAAAAAAGCAGCACTGTTGATGTGTTTTATTAAGTCTTCTGTCTTCTTTTTCATTAAATTGCATGAATTTATAAATGTGAGACATTGCTGGAACAGACGTAGAGCAGCCAGATGAGCTTTCTTTCCCCCATCACAGCCACAGGCCCTCCCTCTGATAGAGCTTCTGCTGCAGCTCTTCAGAATCTTGGTCAGGCGTACATAGTGATGGTACTCAGCTATGAGGGTCATATACAGATTGGTCACACATTTCTTAATGTTAGTGAGGCCCTACTTTTTTTCTTTTGGGAAAGTCCAGGTACATTCATTCATTCATTTGGGAGGTAGTCTGTTGAAATTAATAATAGCTAAAACTTATTTACTATGTGGCAGGCACTAATCTAAGAGCTTTATATATAACAATTCTTTCATATAGGTATTGCTGTTATTTTCTAGTAGGTGGTAGGGGCTGGACTTGGACCCTGACCATTGGCTTCAGAGATCTTGTAGTTACTTCTCTACATAAATGTAGGCTCTTGAGTCATTTCCCTCCAGGTTTGAATTCCAGCTCCATTACTTACAACTTGTGTGAATGACTGCAATCAGTTACCGTACTTGTCTCCTCTGAGTCTTGGTTTTCCTCATCTGTATGCTACATTACATATAACCTAAGTTGGTCCAGTGCCTGGCACATAGTAAGCTCTCTGCATATTTAGCCCTTATTAATTAGCCATTCATTAAAACATACACTTAGAGTGCCTACCATGTGCTTGCTCTTTCAAGGAGCACTTGTGCTGTTTTGTCTCTTTTCTAAAATGGCATGTGTGGCTCTGAAGATCATAGCTGATAGAGGATATATTCAGGTCTATATTTCTATTATCTTTCCTCTCTGTGTGAGTTTGGAAAAGGGAGAGAATTTGGTCACACAAGGGAAGAACGTTCTTGTAGATTCATTTTGCAGGTCAAACAGTTAAGTCAGAGGAGCAAAAAAAGGTTAATCTGTTCTCACTCATAGGTGGGAATTGAAAAATGAGAACACTTCGACACAGGGTGGGGAACATCACACACCGGGACCTGTTGTGGGGTGGAGGGATGGGGGAGGGATAGCATTAGGAGATATACCTAATGTAAATGACGAGTTATTGGGTGCAGCACACCAACATGGCACATGTATACATATGTAACAAACCTGCACGTTGTGCACATGTACCCTAGAACTTAAAGTATAATTAAAAAAAAAAAGGTTAATCCTTGATTGACACATGACCATCCTCTATGTGGATGTGTCCTGTTTGACTGAGTTTATATGTTAAGGAGTTTATGCATATACATAGAGCAGGAAGGGACATCAACTAAGCCAGCCAGTTCCACTAAATCAGCCCCCACCATTAGGGAAATGATAGATATGGCAACAAGTTTACCCTCACATCACCACCCCAGTGCAGATTGTAAATGCATGCAAAAATTAAGTTATGGAACCCGGTTAGCAGAGGGGAGGGAAAACCTAAGGCAGAGAAGGAGTAGAGTATTTTGATAGAAAGTGAAAAGAAGTTAGAGAAAAAACTGGAGTGAAAATAGTTGCGAGAATTCTATAAGCCCTTGTATTTTTATCTAAGCTGAGGATGTTTTTAACAGAAGATTGGCGCAGGCTTTGTTTGGTTATTCTGAGAGTGCTATTCTGAGATGTGTCTTCATTCCTCATGTTTGTGTTTTATGCCGGGGGTTTGACAGATCTGTGTTCTTTCCTTCTTTGCAGTCCTGAGGCTTTCTACCAATGCAGGCCAGTGGAAGGAAGCAGCTAGCAAGGTGACCCATGCATTGGTTAATATCAGGTAAGGAATGAGAAGTATCTCTTGCAGAGTTCCTTGGCTCTTCCTGAGGTTTATTGTACCTTTCTAAGTAAAGTGTGTTGAACACTACTACTATTTTAAGCCTTGATGTCTGTAGGAGTGGAAGAAAAATTGTCGTACTTGATCAAGAAAAGCAGGAGTACACGAGGCTTTTATTTTATCATATTGAAACAGCTCAAAGTGCTGGCTGTTCTGTGAATTTTTTTACTGAGAGATGGTTATAAGCCCTTTTCAGGCATGCTAGTTGCCAGAGTGTTCTCTATGTATAGGTCATCTGAAAACTTTTCTCCAAAGATTTTCAGCTTTTCTCCATGACTTCAGTGAATGATTCATGGAGATCTAGAATGTTGACCTTTTACTTTACGTGACTATTTCTATTTATGGTAAACAGAGGCAATTGGAGTCCATGGGGCTGAGTCATTTTAGGTTGCTTATGAAACAGCAAGACAATTACAGAGTGCTGTATGTATTGCATAAAGTTGTGTCAGGCATGGAGTTGGTCAGGGTCTTGAGGAGGCACCACCCATGCACAGGTGTGAGCTGTTGGTAAATGGAGAAGAGAAAGTGCTTTCACCATTGGGAAACCTAAATTCGACTTTTCTTCTGTTCGTTGCTCCCTTTGTGCCTTTGATTTTTCATTTTCTCAACAGTTATTACACTGTTCTTATAAACAATTGAAAAATTAACATTGAGTAAAAGAGGCAAACCCAACAGATGGGGAACTTGATTTAGCTCCAGATGTAAGCCTTGCCAGACATTCCTAGTAATAGTAATGCACATTTACAACTTGGTATAGATTCTAATGTGTGACAAAGCTGGTCTGTGATTTTTTTCCTATATCTTTTCTTTCTTTTTATTTAAAGGTAAAATGCCCTGTCCCTGCAGTGATTTACTACCCTGTTTGGCACATCTGGGCATAAAAGGAGAAGTGTGAAATTTGTGTGTTAAGAGGGCTGGGATGAGGGAGCATGGGGTGAGATGTGCTAACAAGATTGCAGTGAAGGTTGGTCTGCCTTACCTGTCACCAGACTCATTTTGCATCAAACACAATTTTATAAATCTCACAAATAAATGCATATCTGCACCTAGCAAATAATCCAGATACTGTGGTGAGGCCTTACGATAAATGCGATTTTCTGTAAGAATCAGGAATTACAAACTGCCTTCTCCCAAATATCTGTTTATGACCCAAGGGCAGCATGACAAATGTGGGTGTTTGAATGAAGCACCAGGTCACCAGGTTCTGGGCTAGGGTATGAAGTGCATATGGGTATAATTTATGTTGTGTTGACTCATTCATGTATTTATGTAGGCCTTCCAGGCAGCTCCTTTTCATCTGGGGCCTGTTTCCTTGATCACATTCCTTTATACTTGCCTTATCTTCTGCTTTTCCTTTCAGTGGTTTCTGGCTTGGCTGCTGTCTGTGTTCTTCCCAAGGGCCATCAAGCAGCTGATTTAAGCTTTTGACCTCTCCTTTTTCCGACAGCTAAGAAAGGACTGGGCTGAGCCTTGTTACCATGTAACTTCTTTCTTCTCTTTGCATGACTGTCAGGCATATACCTTCATTTTCATTCCTTAAATTTCTCTGATGAACTTGCTGCAATAATCACATCATTTTTACTGTTGCTAATAACCGGACTCAGTATACATCTAAAGTAGCAAAAAGATCCAGTCATGGACAGGTTCAGTGGCTCACGCCTGTAATCCTGGCCCTTTGGGAGGCAGAGGTGGGAGGATCACTTGAGCCCAGGAGTTCAAGACCAGCCTGGCCAACATAGTGAGACCCTGTCTCTAAAAAACAAAATAAACAAAGATTAGCTGGGCATGGTGGCACATGCCTGTAGTCCCAGCTACTCAGGATCCTGAGGTGGGAGGATCATTTGAGCCCAGGAGGTCAGGTTGAGGCTACAGTGAGCCAAGATCATGCCACTGCACTCCAGCCTGGGTAACAGTGAGACCCTGTCTCAAAACAAACAAATCAGTTTTCTTAAGAGATTATTGGAAAGAAGTGTTTGAATGTCACCACAGTAAGGCCAGATCAGGGAAAAATACAGGTAGTACTAAGCCTGCAAATGTTTACCCTTTTTTTTTCTGACATCTATTCTCACTTATTAAATGCCAGACTTTGTGCTACTCTTTCTTATGCTACCTTCTTTAATCTTCAAACTCTATAGGGTGTATTATGTACTTTTTAAAATATACTTTTTCCCAGTGAGGAAACTGAGTCTTAAAGATGTTGTATATTGTGGAAGGCCCCATATTTGTTCCTTGGCAAAGCTGAGAATTAATAATAGGTCTTCTTCTTCTTCTTTTTTTTTTTTTTTTGGAGACAGGGTCTGACTCTGTCGCCCAGGCTGGAGTGCAGTGGCGCGATTTCTGCTCACTGCAGCCTCCGCTTCCCAGGCTCAAGCAGTCTTCCCACCTCAGCCTCCCAAGTAGGTGGGACTATAGGCACGTGCCACCAGACCTGGCTAATTTTTGTATTTTTTTGTAGAGATGTGGTTTCACCATGTTGTCCAGGCTGGTCTCAAACTCCTGAGCTCAAATGATCCACCTGCCTTGGCCTCCCAAAGTGCTGGGACTGCAGGCATGAGCCACCATGCCCAGCCTAATCATAGGTCTTCTAAGTCCAAGTTCAGGGCTGCTCTTTCTTGCAAACCATAATGCCTCCTTCTGTAAAGCTGCATTGAAGACTTAACATGGAGGGTTAAACAGAAAACTCACCATGATGTATTGAAAGGAATATGGAAATTTGAGTTGGAAAAACTTATTTTTTTCTTTTGTCTCTACCACTTATTGTGTGACCTTGAGCAAGTTACTTAGCTTCTGTGGGCCTCTATCCACCCTCTGTAAAGTGGGGGTGCTGGTGATAGCAACTATTTCACCAGGTAGTAGTTGTGAGAATTATATAATGTAATGCATATGAAAGCTCCTAGTGAACTATAAAATACTGCTTATTTCACTTGTGTCTTCAAGGTTCATTCCTGTTGTAGCATGTGTCAGAATTCCCTTCATTTTTAGGGTGAATAATCTTCCTCTGTCTGTATGTATCACATTTTACTTATCCATTCATCCGTTGATGGACACTTGAGTTGCTTCTACTTTTTGGTTATTATAAATAATGCTGGTATGAACATGGGTATACAGATACCTGTTTGAGACCCCACTTTCACTTTTTGGGGACATATCCCCAGAGGAGGAATTGCTGTGTCATATGATAATTCTGTATTTAATTTTTTGAGAAATTGCCATAGTTTTTTTTTTTTTAGGTTTAGCATTTTGACCCTTCCTCAGAGTGTTTCCTAAGTACATCTTCATTTCTTCATTTTTCCTTTCTTTTTTTTTTTTTTTTTGAGACAGAGTCTCACTCTGTTGCCCAGGGTGGAGTGCAGTGGCGTGATCTGTACTCACTGCAATCTCTGTCTCTTAGGTTCAAGTGATTCTGCTGCCTCAGCCTCCTGAGTAGCTGGGATTACAGGCACGCACCACTATTCCCGGCTAATTTTTGTATTTTTAGTAGAGATGGGGTTTCACCATGTTGGCCAGGCTGGTCTCGAACTCCTGACCTCGTGATCCACCCACCTCGGCCTCCCAAAGTGCTGGGATTACAGGCATGAGCCACCGCACCCGGCCAATTTTTCTTTTCTATAAAAGTTAAGATATTACCTTAACCTTGAAAGGTGTTTTGCTTTCCTTGGTAGGGAGAACTTGATAGCTTTGAATGAGGGCAGTCCAGGGAGTTTTCTTTTCTCAGTCAGTATTCTCTTAGCAGAGAGCAAAAAATAGTATGACTTGGAAGTACGTACTCCAGTGAACCAATGGTAATGAGTGCTGCCTTAGGCTCCTTTGCCTTTCGCTAATAGCTTGTGTTATATACCCATGACACTACTTTCTGTGGTTTAGAAAACAACCTGTGTCAGAAAATCTGACCTGTGGTTATCCAGGAATACTGTGGGATATTTAACACCAAGTTGATGATCAAGGATAGAGATATAAACACTTAGTAGTAAAATTCTGATGTTGTGCAGCATTTGTTTCTGCTGTTTATAAAAGGTATTTGTGCTGATCCCACACCTGAAAAGGATTTTTAAGGCAGAGTGAACAAACTCTTAGCCACCTCTTCTGTAGTATGTTCTTTAATAACCATGAGAAGGGCTTGGGTTGCATGTGAAGTCTTTAGACAGCAAACAGCTGTGAGGCCTTCCAGACTAGTTTGCCAGTTGACAATAGCTCCAAATTATGTCTTTGAGATCTGGAATGCAGTGCATCTGATGACTACTGTAAGGTAGTGTCTCCCTAGCAGGTGAAAGGCAGCAGGAAGGCTGTAGACCTTTCTGTTCTAAGAATACTTAGTTTAGATTGTGACAGTGAAAGTTAAAAGTACTTCGTCACACTCGGAGCATAAATTTGCTCAAGTGTCAGTCTTTTTGCTTTTCACTTGTCTTTCATGGCTTAGTCATGCTAGTTCTTTAACTGTCAAAGTTATTTGTATTTAAACAATTTGCCTCTCCCTGTTTGATCCTTCAGTGAGATTCTTAAAATGCAGCTGCTTAGAAACTGCTGTCTTTATTGGAACACAAACAGGGCCCTGTATGTTTTCTTCTCTATAGGAGAGTTGTGTCGTTGCTTTGCTATACAAAAAATGTATATATATATATATATATATATATTGCTCCACCTTTGAGATTCCGCTTCTTGGTGTAATTGTTGCTTCAGCTGCTTCCACAGATCTAATGGTTCACAAAGGAGTACTTTGAGGGGCCAGTGCAGGGCTGCTTGGTGAACTGCAGCACAGTAAAGGAGTCTTGGTTTAGGAAATTCAGACATTGTAATTAAATAGTAAGATTTTTAGTTGGGGGCTGCTGTGTTTTAGAGGAGTGTGACTTTAGTATCTAAAACCCGTCCTAAACTTATCCTGAAATTTGGAAACTTTTGTCTGAAGACTTATATGCTAAATATTTCCTGCCAACACTTGGCAGGCAATCCCAGTGAGGTCTTGTACTTTAGGAAGATGTCTGCTATTAACCTTATTAGTCAAAAGAGAGAAAGATAGTAAACTAAAATCTGACCTTCATCTAACCAAACAACTTTCAGGGTAAGTAATTTGAGGCCCTTAATGAATCTCTTCAAATTAAAATTTTAATGCTTTTCACTTAATGAGCATTTTATTAGGACCGAGTTCAAAATCCTGTTCTCTGATTGCTCACAGAAAGAAATAGTGACTGAATCACACTGCAAGTAGGTGATTCTCCTGATCTGTAATTTTCTTAAGTGGATAAGTTTTAACTATGGTTAATGTATTAACTTTTTTCTTTATTTGGAATGCCTTAAGCTGACATTCAGTATTTCTTCAAGAATGACTTTTCAGATATTGTTATGATTAGTGACAAGCCTGGGGTTTGGAATGAGAATTTAGTGTGTTTCTTTTAAATCTCTTAATTATTCACCTAGGGAGTTTGCTTCTTGTCTTCCTGTTCACTTCATGGTCTTTTTGTTCCAGTGCCAAAGTGGTCCCCTCACCCACCCTTCTTACTTGCTTATGTAGCTGTTTTCTTTCACCCTAAAAAACACTCTTCCCCTCATACATGGGTGCGCACATGTGCACGCGCATAGACACACACACACATGGTTAAGTGTACACTGCTGGGGAGGCTGAGGAACAAGAATAGCTTTCAGCAGCCTCTGAGATAATGGGGTTATTGAGTATAACATCCTTTGGAATAGGCTGTGTACAGAATTCTGAATGTCACAGGAAATAAGCCTTCAAGCAGTAATCACTGTCGATAGCAAAGTTAGGGTTAGGAAGGGATGTGAGGTCTCCCCAACTTCCTTTGCCCACTCACCTGTTTGGGCTGAAATCTTTGCTGCATTGCTATAATTCACTTAACAAAATGGTTACCAATGAGAGAGAAGCAGTTTCATGTCCAGGCACTTCAGCTGAAGGATGCAACTTAGTCTAGTGAAAAGTAAATGTGGACTAAATTGATTAATGATAGAAGCAGAGCCATTGGGCTGTTGACTCTTGACTAGCAGGGAGTACATGAACATAACCTTCTATTCTGCAGTTGTCTGCTCTGAGGTGGCAGGTAGGCTCATATTATCTTCACTGAGTTAGAATTTATCAATCATGACCTTTTTTTTTCTGTTAATCAGACCCTGCTGATCTCCCATTAGAGAAAATGAAAAGCATTATGCAGATTAAAACAAAGCACCAAAATGAAGCTGGTATAATATTGTTTACCCAATGACTGGGAGCATTACATATCATTGTAATGGTTGCTGTACCCTAATCTCTTAAGACTACAGCTAGAATTAAAAAACCAAATACTGAATCCCATGTGGTTAATCATCTGTTTTACCTTAGTTTGGTTTATGCTGCAAAATGAAGTTTTACAATAGGTCATAGCTGGACTTGGTGAACTGCAGTGAGGTAAAGAAGTCTTAGTTTAGGAGATTCAGACATTCATAATTAAATATTAAGATTTTTAGCTGGAGGCTGCTGTGTTTTAGATGAGTGTGACTTTAGCATCTAAACCCCCTCCTAAACTTATCCTGAAATTTTCTTAGAGTCTTTTTCTATGTTTGCCCTATTTTTTATTACTTGTGATAAAAATACACATAACATAAAATTTACCATTTTAACGATTTTTTTTTAAATTGAGATAGAGTCTTGCTCTGTCGCCCAGGCTGGAGTGCAGTGGTGCAATCTCCGCTCACTGCAAGCTCCGCCTCCTGGGTTCACGCCATTCTCCTGCCTCAGCCTTCCGAGTAGCTGGGACTACAGGTGCCCACCACCACGCTAGGCTAATTTTTTGTATTTTTAGTAGAGACGGGGTTTCACCGTGTTAGCCAGGATGGTCTCGATCTCCTGACCTCGTAATCCGCCTGCCTCAGTCTCCCAAAGTGCTGGGATTACAGGCGTGAGCCACCGCTCCTGGCCCATTTTAACCATTTTTAAGTGTACAGTTTAATGGTAAGTACATTCACATTGTTGCACAACCATCACCAACATCCATCTCCAGGGCTACTTCTTTTTCTTCAACTGAAACTCTGTACCCATTAAATACAAACTCCCTATTCCCTCTTTCTCCCAGCCTCTGGCTATTATCATTCTGTTTTCTGTTTCTATGAATTTGACTATTTTAGGAACTTTATATAAGAGGAATTATAAAATATTTGTCCTTCGTGACTGGATTATTTTGCCTAATATAATATTCTCAAGGTTCGTCCGTGTTGTAGCATGTAGCAGAATTTCCTTTTTAAGGGTGAATAATATTGCATTGTATGAATATACCACATTTTGTTTCTCCATTTTCGTGTCAACGGACACTTGGGTTGCTTCCACCTTCTAGCTATTGTGACTAATGCTAGTGTGAACATGAGTGTATGTAAATCTCTTTGAGACTCTGCTTTCATTTCTTTTGGGTATGTACCCAGAAGTGTTATTGCTGAATCATATGGTAATTCTCTGTATAACATTTTGAGTAACTGTCACTCAAAGTGGCTGCACCATGTTACTTTCCAATTTCTTCACATTCTTCCCAACACTTGTTTTCTGTTTCTGTTTTTGTTTTTTGCTCTGCCTCTCTCCTGTTTTCCATTTTTTGGTTACTAGCCATCCCAGCGGGTGTGAAGTGCTATCGCATAGTGACTTTAATTTCATTTTTTTAAATAACTAGTGATGTTGAGCATCTTTTTATATGCTTATTGGCCATTTGTATATCTTCTTTGGAGAAATGTCTATTGAAGTCTTCTGCTCATTTTTTAATGGAGTTTTTTGGTGTTTTGTTGTTGAGTTTTAGGAGTTCTTTATTCTAGATATTAATTCATTATCAGGCATATGATGTGCAGATATTTTCTCCCATTCCATGGGTTGCCTTTCATTTCATTGATGGTGTCCTTTGATGCACAAGTTTTTAATTTTGATGAAATTTAACTTAGCTATTTTTTCGCTTGTTGCTTATGTTTTTGTTATCACATCCAAGAAATCATTGCCAAATCCAATGTCATCAGGTTTTCTCCCATGTTTTCTTCTAAGAGTTTTATGTTGTTTTAGCCCTTACATTTAGGTCCTTGATCCTTTTTTGTTTTTTGAGGTAGGGTCTTGCTACGTTGCCCAGGCTAATCTTGAACTCCTGGGCTCAATTGATCCTCCTGCCTCAGCCTCCCTAGTAGCAAGGACTACGGGTATACACCACTACACCCAGCTTCCTTTGATCCATTTTGAGTGAATTTTTATATATGATATAAAGTAAGCATCCAACTTCATTTTTGGGCACGTGGATATCCAGTTTCCCTAATGCCCACTGCTTTTTTTTTTTGTGACAGTTTTGTTCTTGTTGCCCAGGCTGGAGTGCAATGGTGCAGTCTTAGCTCACTGCAACCTCCACCTCTTGGGTTCAAGCGATTCTCCTGCCTCAGCCTCCCGAGTAGCCAGGATTATCGGTGCCCACCACCACACTGGCCTAATTTTTTTGTATTTTTAGTAGAGACAGGGTTTCACCATGTTGGCCAGGCTGGTCTTGAACTACTGACCCTCAGATGTGAGCCTCGGCCTCCCAAAGTGTTGGGATTACAGGCGTGAGCCATCGCACCCGGCCCCCACTGCTTTTCTGAGATAACTACAGCTCAGATTTCTTAACTTGAGTCAGGCTGAATTTGGAACTTAACTGTGATTAGAGATAGAAATGGAGCCTCTCCCGTTTTTTCCTACATATTTCCATTCCTTTTTGTTTCTTAGGTTTGCTCATTCCTCTGCTGTTTAAGAGATAGCATAATGTAGTGGTTAAGAGTGGGGACTCTAGAGTCAGGTTGTCTGAGTTTGAGTCCTTGCTGTACCATTACTTTGGACAAGTTATTTAACCATTCTTTCCTTGAGTTTTCTCAGCTATAAAGTGAGGATAACAATGGACCTATGTCATTATTGAGATTACTAAATGACAATATATATAAAGCATGTAGAATAGTGCCTGGCACATATTCAGTGCTATATACATGTTTATTATTATTATTTTTAAAAATTTGTTGTCCTGATTGTGCAAGTCTGGGAATCTTATCAGCCCCTTCCATACCCAACTTTGTTCAGTCCTTTTTCTGTACTCATCTGGGCTTAGTAGGGACCAGAGACACAAAATAATATTTATTTACAAGCTGACATCAGGGGCAATACTGGAACTTAGGCTGTCAGCCTGAGCCTTTGCATCATTGATGGGAAAATAGTTTGGGTGGGAAGAGTTTGTGTTTTCTATCACTTTCAGTCCTTTGAGGAGATGTCTGACCATGCAACCTTGGCTATATCATTGTGGTAAAAGAATGTCTCCAAAATGAATACACGTATACCTGAGAGGCTATTAACCAACATGTTCTTATCTCTGGTTGGCAGGATTATAGGTGGTTTTATAGGTTGGTGCAAAAGTAATGGCAAAACTGCTATTACTTTTGCACCAACCTAATAAGTTTTCTTTCTTGTATTTTAATTTATTAAAACATTTAGCTGTGAACTTTTTTTGTAGATACTCTTTATCAGGTTGAAGAAAGTCCTTTCTGTTCTTAGTTTGTTGGCTGTTTTTATCATCAAAGGGTGTTGGATTTTGTCAAATGCTTTTTTTGCTTCTATTGAGATGATTTTGTGGTTTCTATTTCTTATTCTATTGATAAAACGTACTACATTAATTGATTTTCAGATGTTAAACCTTGCATTCCTGGGATAAATCCTACTTGGTCATGGTGTATAATTTTTATATTTTGCAGGACTCAGTTTGCTAGTACAGGATGAGCATCTCAGATCTGAAAATCTGAAATCTGAAATGCTTTAAAATCTGAAACTTTTTGAGTACCAACATGATGTTTAAGGGAAATGCTCATTGGAACAATTTGTGTTTCAGATTTCTGGATTAGGGATGCTCAACTGGTAAGTATAATGCAAATATCCAAAATTTAAAAAAAAAATCTGAAACCTAAAACTCTTCTGGTCCCAAGCATTTTGGATAAGGGATATTCAGCCTATGTTTTATGTCCATATGCAATATCTGCAGACCAAAGAGGTATTGCTATCTCATTTTTTGTTCCTCTGATCCTTCTTTACTGCTTTCTTTTGCATTAAGTGAATATTTTCTAAAAAGCGTTTTTATTGCTTTAATTTTTTTTCACTATTTTTTGCGTTATTTCTTTAGTGCTTGCTCTAGGGCTTACCATACATATCTTAATTTATCGGAATTAGCTTCAGATTTATACTAAATTAATTCCAGTGAAATATAGAAATGTTACTCCTATGCAACTGTAAATAACATACACACACAACACCCACTTCAATAAACTTTATTTGCAGAGGACACTCTTTCCTGAGAAAGTGAGGACTCACTAGAAACAGGACTCTAATTTTGTCCACTTTATCATTTCTGGAGCAAGGACTAGATGATAGTGGGGAAAAAGTCTGTATTTAGATTTTAGATACATACATTTCCTTTGTGGGAGATTTTCTCACATGTAGGTGTTAAACACAGCATTTTAGATCCTGCTTTATTCCTTGGTGAGCTAATAGCCCACAGCTATTTCTTTTCCTTTACTCAAAATGTGAGCATTCAGTGCTCATTGGCTCTTAAGGTCTGCATATTGAGCTTTATAACAAAGTACAAGTACAAAAGTAACAGGAATAATATAATTTTGAAAGGACACAGTACTTAGATAATGTAGTCAAAGAAGGAGTTGTTAGGTGTGTTCCTTTATGTCTGGAGTCTTTAGAACTAGAGTCTAGTTCCTTTATGGTTTGTAGAAGACATTCTTGTACTGTGCTCTTTTTAAAAATTTATTTTATTGGCCAGGTGTGGTGGCTCATGCCTATAATCCCAGCACTTTGGGAGGCTGAGGCCGGTGGATCACCTGAGGTCAGGAGTTTGAGACCAGCCTGGCCAACATGATGAAACCCTGTCTCTACTAAAAATACGAAAATTAGCCGGGCATGGTGGTGGGTGCTTGTAATCCCAGCTCCTCGGGAGGCTGAGGCAGGAGAATGGCTTGAATCCGGGAGATGGAGGTTGCAGTGAGCCGAGATCGCACCATTGCACTCCAGCCTGGACAACAAGAGCGAAACTCTGCCTCAAACAAAAACAAAAACAAACAACAACAACAACAAAATATCTTATTGTATTGTATTTTTTGTTTGTTTGTTGTACTTCGAGAGACAAGGCCTCTCTCTCTTGCCCAGGCTGGAGTGCAGTGGCATAATCATAGCTCATTGCGGCCTCAAACTCTGGGGCTCAAGTGATCCTCCTGCCTTAGCCTTCCAAGTACCTGGGACCATAAGCATGTGCCACTGTGCCTGGCTTGTGCCCTGTCTTTTGTATCTCGTTTTCTCCCACTAAGGTAGGGCCTGCCGATTGTGGCCCGTTTTTATTGGCTCAAATTAGGAACTATTTCTAGAATATTGCTCCCAGGAGAAAGGGAGTCAATCTTGAGCTCAGCCCTCTGTCCTGAATCAAGCTACCTGACTATGAAAAAGATCTCTTTAGTGGTTCCAGGTGCATTCTCTGAGAGTATCATTTGAAGCCTTGTAGATATGGGGCCTCACCCTGTGTAAAGTCTCAGATTTTATAAGAACGTGAACAGCCAACCTGAGGAACCTTATAAGAACCTTTCATTATATTTGTGAGTTAGTTGGGAGAGATCTTGTATGTATCTGGTGACCTTACTTTAACTATTGTTTTGGCAAATGATTAAACATTCCTTTTTGTTGGTTAACTACACTGACATTTTCTCTTTCTTATTTTATTTTATTTTTGAGACAGTCTCGCTCTGCCCAGGCGGGAGTGCAGTGACGCAGTCTTGGCTCACTGCGACCTCTGCCTCCCAGGCTCAAGTGATTCTCGTGCCTCAGCCTCCTGAGTAGCTGAGGTTACAGGGATGTGCCACCACACCCGGCTAGTTTTTTGTATTGTTGGTAGAGATGGGGTTTCACTATGTTGGCCAGGCTGGTCTTGAACTCCTGACCTCAAGTGACCCACCTGCCCTGGCCCTCCAAAGTGCTGGGATTATAGGCGTGAGCCACTGCATCCAGCTCTTCTTTTTCTTTTTCTTTTTGTAGTGACAGGATCTCACTATGTTGCCCAGCCAGGTTGGTCTTGAACTCCTGGGCTCAAGCAGTCCTCCTGCCTCAGCCTCCCAAAGTGCTGGGATTATAGGCTGAAACTTAGTGTTCATCCTCTTTCTTAATGAATTATGCCAAATACTTACTTGAGCCTTTTGGAGGTGGCTGGGAAGGACTGCCTGTGTGACTAAGACAGTGATAATGGAGTAGCTGCTTCCTGATGTCTAGTGGTAACTCAGAGTATGGACCTTGAGGTAAATTTAAAGGGCTGTGTTCTGAGCAGACAGTTACAGATGAAATTGCCAAGAACATTGGAGAAGAAATGGATGATTGGCAGTTTGCTGCAGAATATTATAGCTCTTGGTCCCAGGTAGGTAAGTAAATGGCCCCCTGATGGCAGGAGAGTACATTCTCTCCTTCTCTTTAGGTCCACTGTCTCACTTTATTATTTCTGTAAATATGTATTTAGACAGCAGAGGCCTTGGGTTTGCACTTGTGCCATTAGTAATTGATTGGATCTCCTACCTATAATTTTATAGTATGATAAATTAACTTTAATTTTTAGTCTTAGCTTTAACTTTTTATGGGTGTCTGAAGTGAGCCATCTGACATATGCCTTTTATTCTGCTAAGCTTTTAATTAGCAGGACCTACCATATGTTATTTCCAATTTCTTTAGGTAAGCATCAAAATTATGGGAAGAGAGAGATTGAGAGGGGGAGAGTGAATGAGAAGCAGTGTAGAAGAAAGGTATTTCCAGTGGACTCATTCTATAATGGGGTCATAGGGATGAGAAGGGGCTAGAGTCTATATACCAATCCAAACCCTATCATTCCTGGGCGTTTGTTCTTTCCCGGCCAGCTCTCCCGAGCCTCTGGCTCTCTGGAGATGGGCTGCTTTGGCTGGCATAACTATCCCTGATCCTTTAGGGTTGTGCTACTCCCTAATTATTATTAATTCCAAGGTAGGAAAAAAAATTTTGTTTTCACCTGAGAAAAGGTTAATTTTTTTCCCCAAAGGAACTCTTCCTAGGAAATGTAGCCATTGAATTATAAAATACTGGCTACTAGTTATAACTTTTATAAGGTCTAGCCACAAAGTGTATAAACAGGCATAGTTTAGGTCCCTAATTCCTTTCTCTTTTCCATTCTATATCTAGGGTACTTAAAAAATAAATTATTTTAAAACCATGTGCAGTTTTTCATCTTATCCCTTATTTTTCCCTCTCCACATATCTTTCCCAAAAGTTAGAGTAGAGCTCTGGCCATATAACTCAGATATTCAATCACTCTAAATTCTCATGTTTGGCTGCATGTGGTGGTTCACACTTGTAATCCCAGCGCTTTGGGAGGCTGAGGCAAGAGGATCACTAGTTTAGCCTGGACAACATACAAAAAATAAAAAAATAATTAGCTGGGCATGGTAGCACATGCCTGTAGTCTCAGCTGTTCTGGAGGCTGAGGCAGGAGGATTACTTGGGCCCAGGAGTTCGAGGCTGCAGTGAGTTATGATCACACCACTGTACTCCAGCCTGGGCGACAGAGTGAGACCTTGTCTCCAAAAAATAAAATAAAATAATAAAAAATAAATTATCAGGTTTATATCAGAATGGCTAAGGTACCAGAGCTCGTCTTTTCTATTGGGCCTTGCCCCTGCAGGTTAGTAGTTCCTGGATCACAGAACCTTAAACACTGAAAGAACCTAAGAGGCCATCTATGTCAGTCTCCTTCCCAAAGCATAAATCTCATTTGTTGGAGATATATTCAGCTTCTGTTTGAATACTTAGAGAAACAGTGCTTAATACTTTAGGTTCCAGACCATTCATTCATTTTTTATTTATTTATATTTTTTTTGAGAGGGAGTCTTGCTCTGTTGCCCAGGCTGGAATGCAGTAGCACAATCTCGGCTCACTGCAACCTCCGCCTCCTGAGTTCAGGCAATTCCCCTGCCTCAGCCTCCCTGGGTAGCCGGGATTACAGGCACCTGCCACCATGCCCAGCTAATTTTTTGCATTTTTAGTAGAGATGGGATTTCACCATGTTGGCCAGGCTGGTCTCGAACTCCTGTCCTCAGGTGATCTGCCCGCCTTGACCTTCCAAAGTGCTGGGATTACAGGCTGAGCCACGGCCCCCAGCCCGTTCATTCTTTTAAATGATGAGTATCTCATATGTTGCAGTCTTTCTCTTTATAACCTGAACCTGTTGATTCCATTTCTGCCTTTAGTTACAACACTAAAAAATTTACCCTGTTTTCTAAATGTTAACTTCTTCAAAGGAGTAACATGTGTACTACTGCTGAACATTCTTTCTCTCTCAGCTATTCTTCATATGCTATGGTTTCAAAATCTCTGACATACTATGATTGTCCTTTGGACATATTCTTACTTCTTAATTTATCTCCTAAAATATGGTGTTAGGGTCTGCCTTATACCAAATAAGCATTCAGTGAATGTTTCCTGCATTGAATGACATCTAGAACTGGAACCTAGATATGTAGCTCAGATTACAAGGAGACTATTTATACGCATGATATGGACATATTTTATTTGCAGCCTCCAATTGCATTATGTTATTCAGCAGCTGAATCACATTGTTGGTTCATAGCAAACTTGAGTCCCACTAAAACCTTCAAATCTGCTTAAAGTGACCTGCCTTCAAGCTAGTTCTCTCCCGTCCTACACTTGTTCAGTTGATAGTGGTATTTTGTTTTGGTTTGTGTGGTGCTGCTTTTTATTTTATTTATTATTATTATTTTGTTTTGTTTTGTTTTTTGAGACGGAGTCTCTCTCTATTGCCAGGCCAGAGTGCAGTGGCATGATCTCGGCTCACTGCAACTTCCTCCTCCGAGGTTCAAGCAATCCTCCCGCCTCAGCCTCCCAAGTAGCTGGGACTACATGTGCGTGCCACCACACCCAGCTAATTTTTGTATTTTTAGTAGAGATGGGGTTTCACCATGTTGGCCATGATGGTCTTGAACTTCTGACCTCAGGTGATCCGCCCACCTTGGCCTTCCAAAGTGTTGGGATTACAGGCATGAGCCGCTACTCCTGGCCATATTTTATTTTATTTTATTTTAATGCTACTTGCTTATTATTAAGAAAATGTAAGCAGGCTGGGCGTGGTGGCTCACGCCTATAATCCCAACACTTTGGGAGGCCGAGGTGGGCAGATCACGAGGTCAGGAGATTGAGACCGTCCTGGCTAACACGGTGAAACCCCGTCTCTACTAAAAAAAAAAAGCCAGGCATGGTGGCGGGCGCCTGTAGTCCCAGCTACTTGGGAGGCTGAGGCAGGAGAATGGCATGAACCTGGGAGGCGGAGCTTGCAGTGAGCTGAGATCACGCCACTGCACTCTAGCCTGGGCGACAGAGCAAGACTCTGTCTCAAAAAAAAAAAAAAAGCAATGCAGAAAAGCACAAAGACCAAAGTAAAATAAAATTATCTAAAATCTCACCCTTCAAGATAGCTACTATTGTTATTTTGGTGAATCTCCCCTCTGAACATCTACAGTTCGCTTTTTTCTTTTTAAACTAACCTATATGCAACACTTTATTTTTGTTAAATGTATTTTGTTGGTTTCAGCCCATCATTCTAGCTTCTCAGGGTATTTTTCGAATCCTGATTATGTCATTCTGTGTATTTGTTATCTTTTGCAGCTTTGTATCATCAGCACATTTAATAAATACGCCTTCTACATCTTTATCCAGATGCTTTGATCTATTCCTGACTCTGCTACTGATTTGGTGGATAATTTGGGACTAATCTCTCCCCTTTCTGGGCTTTGGCCTGCTGTTATATGAAATGGCCTTGAAGACTGAAAAAATTCCTTACTTAAGAATCAACTGCAAAGCTCTTTGTGAAGAATGAATTTGTGAAGAAATCTGTGGGTGGGGGAATCATCAGGGCTAGACTAGAAAAATAAGACTCTTTTATGGAAAAGTCAGGGATGACAACCTTCATAGGGTGGTTTAAATCTTCCTGTAGCCTCCTACTCTCCCAAAACCGCAACAGAGGGATTCACCATTTGGATAATTTGAAAAAATAAAATAAGATTGTAGCAAGCATTAGTTCTTTTGTTGAGAAATTAGACCATAACAAGTAAAGGGCAGTAAAAAAAGACATTTTTGGAGTGAGAGTAGGTGGGAGAATTTTACTGAGAAAGAAGATGCTCTTCACTGTTTTCTCTTTTAATTAGTAGTAAGCTTGGGGGTTACAATACAGGCTCTTCTGAGTTGGGGTCCTTAGGGAGGGAAAAGTGTGCAACTCACTGCTGCTTGCAAATTCTCCCCTAAACAAGCCTTGCTAGTGTGTGCATTTCTCTGCATTCTTAAAGAAGGTGTGATAATCTGAAACTGAAACTGAGGCAGCATTTTAAGCAGGCAATTAATGACATGGTAAGATTTTTTAGCTCCAGTAGATTAATTGTTAAATGAATTGTGTCTGCATTTTACTGTCATTTTACTGTGCTATCAGCCTAATTATAAATATAGTGTTACATAGTGGAAGATAATAATAAGCAGAATTATGCACTCAGTGATCAGATTTCAGGAATTTCTAACACTGAGGCCTTTTCTTCTTAAACTGTCTCTTGCTGTTCTTTTCATGTAGGTTTTGATTAATTTTACCTCGATTATACATTTCTCCCTGGAGTCCAGATATTGTGCATGCTCTAGCAAAGTGGGCTCCTGTTGTAAGAGGTTTAATGAGAGTTTTTTTTTCTAATTGGTTTCTATATAATTTCTTTTAAAACCACTAACATGTGAGTGGGATGTCAAACATGGAGTGTACTAATGCATTTTCACTACCCAGTGTACCGAAGGACATTAATTTCTCTCTCATTAGACACCATTTTCATATGATGAAAATTCTCAATCTCAAGGAAGCTCCAAAGACAGTTGGTTCCCATTGTTCTCCCCTCACATGCATTCATCTTGGTGACACATCTGAAAAGGCAGCAGGAGTAGCTATCTGTAGTTGGATCTCATTTCTGACCAGTTTTGAATGTACTTCATCTTTCTTGTGAGATAATTTACTAGATGGGATTCAGATAGGGATGGATTAAAATCTGTTCCTTTTACCCAATTAATCTGAACTAATTTCCTACTTATGCAAAAAATGAACTATTTGATAAATTCTATTAATGAATATATATAATAAAACTTGACATAGAATGAACATAGATGAACCACTCACCTTAAGAAATAGAAGGGGCTGGGCACGGTGGCTGTATTACACTTGTAATCCCAGCACTTTGGGAGGCCAAGGCAAGAGGATCACTTGAACTCAAGAGTTTGAGACCAGCCTGGGCAACATAGCAAGACCTTGTTTCTACTAAAAATAATTTTTAAAAAATTAGCTGGGTATAGTGGTATGCACCTGTAATAGTCCCAGCTACTCTGGAGGCTGAGGTGGGAAGATTACTTGAGCCCAGGAGATCGAGGCTGCAATGAGGTATGATTGTGCCACTGCACTCCAGCCTGGGTGACAGAGTAAGACTCTTTCTCAGAAAAACAAAAAAGGAATAGAATGTTACCAACTCACTGAAACTCAATCTTTATTTCCTTTTTAATTGAGATATTGATATATGGTAAAATTTAAAAATCTTAGAAGGTGTGTAACTGGACACCTTTTTAAAATTGATGTATAATATTTATATGTTTTTGTAGGGTACACGTGATATTTGGTTACATGCATAGACTGTATAATGAACAAGTCAGGGTATCTTGGGTGTCCATCATCACCTTGAGTATTTATCATTTCTGTGTTGGGAACAGTTCAAGTCCTCTCTTCTAGCTATTTTAAAATATATAGTACATTGTTGGTAACTGTAGTCACCCTACTCTGCTATTGAACATTAGAACGTATTCCTTCTATCTAACTATATGTTATATCCATTAACGAACCTCTCTTTATCCACTCTATCTGCACCCCTGCCTTCCCAGCCAGCCTCTGGTGTCATTCTACTCTGTACCTTCATGAGGTGAACTTTTTAGCTACTACCTATGAGTGAGAACATGCGAAATTTGTCTTTCTGTGCCTGGCTTATTTCACTTAACATAATGACCTCCTTTTCCATCTGTGTTGTTGCAAATGACTTGATTTTATTCCTTTTTATGGCCAAATAGTATTCCATCATGTGTATATACCACATTTTCTTTATCCATTTGTCCATTCGTAGACACTTAGGTTGATTCCATATCTTTGCTATTGTGAATAGCTGCAGTAAACATAAGAGTGCAGGTATCTCTTTGATATACTGATTTATTTTTCTTTGGATAAATACCCAGTAGCGGTATTCTAAACAGCTTTTTATATATGTATACCACCTATGTAAATCACCATCCAGATCAGGACATAGAACCCCAGAAAGTTCAACCTAGAAAGTTCCCTCATGACCCTTCTTTTCCAGTCAGTAGTCCCTTTCCCCAGAACTATGCCCTCTCCTGATTTCTGTCACCACAAATTAGTTGTACCTGTTCTGGAACTACATATGAACAGAGTCATATAGTGTGCCTTCTTTTGTGTCTGACTTCTTTCACTCAATATCAGGTTTTTGAGATTCATCTACTTTGTGGTATATATCAGTAGTTCAATCCTTTTAAAAAACGTTTTTAAGATTTTAAATTGTGGTAAGAAATATAAAATTTGCCATCCTAATGATTTGTTAAGTTTGGTAGCATTAAGTATATTGACATTGTTGTGCAACAGATCTCTAGAACTTTTTCATCTTGCAAAACTGAAATTGTACTGATTAAACAACTCCCCATTTTCCCCTTCCCCAGCCCCTGCCAACCACCATTCTACTTTGAGTCTCTATAAATTTAACTATTTTAGATACCTTATAGTGGAATCATAGTGTATTTATCTTTTTGTGACTGGCTTATTTTGCTTAGCATAATATCCTCAGGGTTCATCCATGTTGTAGCATATGTCAGAATTTCCTTCCTTTTCAAGGCTGAATAATGTTCCATTGTATGTATATACCACATTTTGTTTATCCAGTTATCTGTTGGTGACCCTTGGGTTGCTTCTGCCTTTTGGCTACTATGAATGATACTGCTCTGAACATTGCTTGTGCAAGTATCTAGTAGTTAGTTCCTTTTTATTGCTGAGCAGTATTTTATTATTGCATAACTGTACCACAGTTTATTTATTGTTCATATTTCTTTTTCACTTGGATTCTCATAGTCTCTGATCTCACCTGTCATCTTGCCTGCCTCTTTCTGTCTCGTTTTTCTCTCTGTGCTTGTCCCCTCGCTGGCCCCTCTCATCACCACAGAAAAACATTTAAGCTCTGTAGGGTAGCCTGCATTGCCATTCTTCATCTTATTTCTAGAATCTCTGTCCTTATCTGTCACCTCACTGCAGCTATGCCAGACCACCTGGAGTTCTCTGGACAAACCAGAGACACTTAGAATTCTCTGGACAAACTGTTTTATAGTCCAGGCCTTTTGGATATACCATTCCTCCCTGCCTAGAATGTCCTTTCCCAACTTGTCAACTCACCTCCTGAAATAGTGCATTTTGAGCATCACTTCATCCTTAGAGCCAGGCCTGGCCACACTACAGCAGCAACTGTCTACTTATCTGTTGTCCTCTTGACTAGGCTGTGAGCTCTTTGAAGGCAGGAAGCATCTATGTCTCACTCATCTTAGTGACACATTGACTCTTTCTCGAAAATAGATAAACAAACATAGAGTTCCTTTCTCTTAGAGAAGTGAGGATTTAGGATATTGGTTGGGCCTGATCTAGGATTAGCTGGGAGTAATGGTACTTCAGTTATTGGGCTGATGGAGGGAGCCAACAAGGGCAATTCAGAGACAGAAGCTCAGAGAAACACTGAACAAAAATGCCAGGCGGACTCTCCAGAAGAGAAATTGACTGAAGGGCCAGGCAGAGGATAAGAATCTACGTTAAGCCAGTGGTACAGCCCAGAAATACTAGAGTAAAAGGTTTGAAGGAAAAAGGTAAGGGTTAAAATCTAGAAGAAATGCTCTGGGATAAATAGGATATCTGCAACAGCATTTCTTAAATAGTGAGCAGAGACAAGGTGGAGTGTGAAAAGCACAACTCTCCCGGTACAGTTTAGTAAGTATTGAATGTTTCGTAGGATCCAGCATTGGAGATCAAGCAGGTCAGTAAAGAACAAACCACTGTGCCGCAGCCACCAGAAGCCTGGAACTTTGCCATGTGCTTCAGCCTACAGGGGTCTGCTAAGAAGAGAAGCAAAGCCCTCTAAGAACAGCACAGAGAGAAATAAAGTCAGCGAGAGATGGGACTATTAAGGGAAAGGCTTATAAAGTGCTGTGAGCTTCGTTGGCAAAGAAAGGGCTGTTCATCTAGTCTCGAATGTAGCCAAGCAGAGAGGGAGCTGGGAAGAAGGAGATATGAAGATAGCCTTAGCTAATGTGTGTCACTCTGCCTTTGAATGACCATTCAAAACATCAGCCTGTTGGTGTTCTTCAAACTGGTGAGGCTGTTGGGGGCTCAAGGAAAATGGGTCATTGTTTAAGACAAAAAGAAAGGAAGGGACGGAGAGAAGGAGAGAAGAAAGGGAGGGAAGGAGGGAACAAAGGAATTTCTTTGAGTTAAATCTCACTGCGTTGATATGCCCCCTCCCCCTTTTTGCTTGTTCTGAAGACCAAAAGCTCTGTTTTCTTCTGCTGAGGGTCCTCCCTTTGGGGTTTTGGTAATATCTGTGATCTATAATTGTTACTCTTAATACTAAATATTTTCACAAGTCATTTAATTATCTATAGATTTGACTAAACTGACCTAGATTTAGATTTAGGTTAAGCCTTCCATGCCTAATGCCACATACCTGTGCCCCACAAACCTGAGCTCTTTGAGTGCTGCAGGACTATAACTTGATTTGAAAAGCTGGATGTTCTTTTTCATCAGAAATCAGTGTTCTACTAAGCCTGTCAATTCATTGTCTCCTAGACAATTTTGAATTGGGATAACAAATTAGAGTTAGGGATACATTACAAATGATAAATGTGACTTCCTTAAAGGGAAATCCATTTGTTTTGCTTAGTGTTTCTGTGATTAATTACTTGCCAGATTAAATTGCTCCATAAAAATGCATAGTATTTTATTCGATTGCTCTTCATGGTGATTAATCAGGCCATACTGTTGCTTCGTATGTTAATTATGCTGACATTTTATTCTGTTCTCTAGTTTAATTAATACAGCATGTATTTGAAAGACTGTTTTTAGGATGGGATACTATCTGTTTTAGGGGTAAGAAAGTCCAAACTTGCTTACAGGCTGATGTTAGGGAATTAACACTTCCAGTTTTCTAAGTGGCCACATTTTTTGCCATGATAGGCAAAAAGTAGACTAACTATGAATGAGTTGGGGAAAGCTCTGTTTGGTTTTCCTATAGTTATTAAAGATAATATACTGGATGGCCAGGCGCAGTGGCTTACGCCTGTAATCCCAGCACTTTGGGAGGCCGAGGGCAGCGGATCACTTGAGGTCAGGAGTTCGAGACCAGCCTGGCCAACATGGTGAAACCCCGTCTCTACTAAAAATACAAAAATCAGCTGGGTGTGGTGGTGCACACCTGTAGTCCCAGCTACTTGGGAGACTGAAGCAGGAGAATCGCCTGAAGCCGGGAGGTGCAGGTTGCAGTCAGCCGAGCCAAGATTGCACCACTGCACTCCAGCCTGGGCCACAGAGCAAGACTCTGTCTAAAAAAACAAACAAACAAACAAACAAAAAACCCCATGATATACTGGAGATTCTTGGCTCAATTGAAAATTGATTATTAAGAACACAGAGAAGAAGCTGTTGATGCAAAATGAACTGCAAAACGACTGTAAACCTAAATGCCAGTGTGGGGGCTGGGGTGGTTGGGAAAGATTGTTATTTCCTGGGATGCTGCAGGGTGCTGATGAGGAACAGGCATATTTAGCATTTGTATTAATGAACTAGGGCTGAAAGTAAACAAAGTATTAATGAAGTTTGTAAGTCATACTGATTTGGAGGTGTTTCCTATACCCGGGAGGGCAGAGAAATGATATTGATGGACCAGAAAGAGAAGCATCACAGAAAATAACCCAGCTATTCCCTTGGGAAATTGCATATCTGCTAAATAGAAATAGCATAAATAGAGTCAGGCAGATATTTTCCAAAGTAGACCTTCCAGCAGTCCACTCCTAAATGTTTACCCAAGTGAAATAAAAACTTGGATTGGACAAATGTTTATAGTGGCTTTATTTATACACTGTCAAAACTGTGGACAACCCAAGTGTCTCTCAACGGCGGAACAGATAAACTATGGTACATCTATATAATGAAATACTATTCTACAGTAAAAAGGAATGAACTACTGATACATGCAACAACCTGGATTAATTCAGTTGCATTATGCAGTATGAAACTATCCAGATCCAAAAGGTTACATGCTGTATGATTCCATTTATATGACATTCTGGAAATGGCAAAACTATAGGGACAGGGTATAGGTCAGTTGTTTTCAGAGGCTGGGGTTGGAAGGAGAGGTTGATTACAAATGGGCACAGGGGAACTTTTGAGGTGATGAAACTGTTCTGTATCTTGACTGTGGTGGTGATTATCTGGATGTATGCATTTTTCAAAACTTGCAGAACTGTATACTTGTATCAGGGTTTTTCAGAAAACAGACCAATAAAATATACATAGTTATACAAGAGGAAATAGGCTATGGGAATTAGTTCACATGATTATGGAGGCCAAGTTGTTTCACAATATGCTGTCTGCAAGCTGTAGAATCAGGGAGCTGATGCTGTAGGCTTCCAATTAAAGGTTGAAGGACTGAGAACTTGGGTGGTACTAGTGTAAGTCCTAGAGTCCAAA
This sequence comes from Homo sapiens, assembly GCF_000001405.40. Classification (NCBI taxonomy): domain Eukaryota; kingdom Metazoa; phylum Chordata; class Mammalia; order Primates; family Hominidae; genus Homo; species Homo sapiens. The sequence goes on along the minus strand of NC_000010.11, from coordinate 101,916,922 downwards.
AACTGGAGAACCAGGAGCTCCTGATGTCTGATGTCTAAGGGCAAGAGAAGATGGACGTCCCAGCTCAAGAAAAGAGAAACAGAGAATTTGCCCTTCCTCTGCCTTTTGTTCTATTCAGGTGGGCTTTCAACAGACTAGATGATGGCTGCTTATATTGGTGAGGGTGGATCTTCTTTACCCAGTGTATGGATTCAAATGCTAATCTGTCTCCTGGAAATACCCCTGTCAACACACTCAGAAATAATGATTTACCATTAAGGGATCCCTTAATCCAGTCAAGTTGATAATAAAATTAACCATTACAACACTAAAAAGGGTAAGTTTTGCTGTATGAAAGTTATTCCTTAATTTTAAAAATCAGAAAAAGAATAGTTCTTCACAGGGAAGGGTAAGAGATTCAACTTCTGACCATAGTTTCCATACTTTATGTGTGGCAACCTTTTGAAAATAATTTGAATGACAGGAGTTATAATTGGAGGATTTGTATTTTCTTCATATTTCTTACAAATTCCCAGGTTTGTTTTGTTTGTTTGTTTTTGAGTGGGAGCTGGGATGGGGGTGGGGGGTAGGTTGCTGATGGTTTTCCTTAGGTGTTTGCATTATATAAATCTATATACTGATGAGAGGGTTATTTTGAGAAGGAAAGCACAATTAAGATCTTGGACCTCATTGATAGCCATCAGACATAGATCATTTCCCCACTTTATGGATTGAATCTAATTATTTGAGTTCTCTGGATTGAGCTTTCATTTTAAAGCTTTGTTATTTCTTCTGTCTGGGCCCTACTACTGTTGAACTGTGTATTATAAGACTTGGAATAGGCCAGGCGTGCTGGCTCACACTGTAATCCCAGCACTTTGGGAGGCCGGGGCGGGCGGATCACGAGGTCAGGAGATCGAGACCATCCTCGCTAACACGGTGAAACCCCGTCTCTACTAAAAATACAAAAAAATTAGCCAGGCGCCGTGGTGGGCGCCTGTAGTTCCAGCTACTCCGGAGGCTGAGGCAGGAGAATGGCATGAACCCGGGAGGTGGAGCTTGCAGTGAGCCGAGGTAGTGCCACTGCAGTCCAACCTGGGTGAGAGAGCGAGACTCCGTCTCAAAAAAAAAAAAAAAAAAAAAGGACTTGCAATAGTGCCAAGGGATATTGCTGTCCCAGAACTAACTTCAGAGACAACTTCCACTCCCCTCTGTACTTAGACTGGGGCAGAAAGCTTCATCACACTGTGGGTTTGTAAGGCAGATTTGCACAATATCAGGGACCCAGGGATAGGTGAACCATGAATGCTAAACTATTGCAGACAGCTACTGTGCCTCCTTCCTCCCTTTCTGCCACGTCTCCAGTGATCTGAACTGTGTGTATACAGTGTTTGCTTCTCATGGTCAACTTGAAATGCCTTCCCAAATGCCAAACTATCTCTATTCAGTTGCTCAGGAAGGGGGCATACATGGTGATAGTAGTATTGCATTACTTGCAGCAATAATACTGAATATTGCTCTGTGGCTGCAACTTAGTGTGCTCACTGCTGACTACTCTGAGCAGATGTGTAGCCATCATTTTGTCTCAGACCAGGTAGGTTACATTTAGCAAGATGCTGATTCCCTAAGTGACTTGCTGAACAAATGTCCCTGGGTCTTTCAGCTGAATGATTTTCAGCACTGGACCTGAAGAGGCTGCTGGGGCCCTCAACCAAGACCCCATCTGTTAAAGCCTCTTATTGATTTGTATCCCTTTTTATAAAAATCTGTCCCTTCTCCTCCTCCTAGTGTGATAAATAATGCAGATATACTAGATGAAGTCTACTATTGGAGCAGGACTTGAATCATTTTGGTTAGAGTTGAACTAAACTAAACAGAAATGAGACTCTCAAATAGCCATCTATGTCAAATGGTTTCTTATTTTCTTATCCTTATTTATCATGGTTACGAATACTTGCAGAGTGTAGAAAGTAACAAAAAGCTGTAATTAACCTTGTAAAAATAAGTTTTAATAGGGAAATAAATTATAAGAATTATAAGATGGCATTATAAGTTTGCTTTTTTTTTTTTTTTTTTTTTGAGATGGATTTTCACTGTCACCTAGGCTGGAGTGTAATAGCTGTGATCTTGGCTCACTGCAACCTCCACCTCGCAGGTTCAAGCGATTCTCCTGCCTCAGCCTCCCAAGTAGCTGGGATTACAGGAGCCTGCCACCATGCCCAGCTCATTTTTGTATTTTTAGTAGAGACGGGGTTTCACCATGTTGGCCAGGCTGGTCTCGAACTCCTGATCTAAGGTGATCCACCTGCCTCGGCCTCCCAAAGTGCTGGGATTATAGGCATAAGCCACCGCACCCAGCCCATTTTAAGTTTTTGACTGAGTAAACAGGTGATAATAAAATGCTGTGAGATAACGGTTTATGTTAGCAGGGTATCGTATCTTTTTTTTTTTTTTTTGAGACAGAGTCTCGCTCTGTGGCCCAGGCTGGAGCACAGTGGTGTGATCTTGGCTCACTGCAACCTCTGCCTCCTGAGTTCAAACAATTCTCCTGCCTCAGCCTCCCGAGTAGCTGGGATTACAGGTACCCGCCACCATGCCCGGCTAACTTTTTGTATTTTTAGTAGAGACGGAGTTTCACTATGTTGGCCAGGCTGGTCTTGAACTCCTGACCTCATGATCCTCCTGCCTTGGCCTCCCAAAGTGCTGGGATTACAGGTGTGAGCCACCACGCCCAGCTCGGGTATCATATCTTAATCCTGTGTTTTTATGCCCCTTCAGCCCAATTTACTGACTATTCATAATAGATACACAGCACTTCATCCAGCCGGGAAATGAAGGTTCATCTTGGCCAACACTTAATTAGTCATTAATTATTTATTGTTCATTTCCTGTGTACCCAACCCTGTGTCCTTAGTTTCTGACCTACATTGGTAGTACTACCACATGGCAAGATTTCATAGGGTAGAATGCCATTGCAATTAAGACTTTGGAGGAACAGCTGAAGGCCAGGGTACAATCCTGCTGTACCCGAGTTAGAATGTGACCAGAATAGCTATACTTCCATTATAGCTCTTTTGAAAAGCTCCAGGAGATGACAGACCACTGCTTACCACCCATTATTTGCACCTGGGAAGTTTCTGAAGTGTTCCCTCCCTTTTGTGCAGTCATGGCAGCTCCGGGAAGGAGGGGACCACTTTACGCACCAAACCAAACAGGTCTGCTGAGGACATTTGCTCACTAAAGTCTGGGAGCCTTTGGCTCTGGTCAAGACTGATGTGGGCCTGGTGCAGTGGCTTACGCCTATAATCCCAGCACTTTGGGAGGCCGAGGCAGGAAGATCACTTGAGCCCAGGAGTTTGAGATCAGCCCTGGCAACATACAAGACCCCATCTCTACAAAAACATTTAAAAAAGTAGCTGGGTATGTGACGTGCACCTGTAGTCCCAGTTACTTGGGATGCTGAGATGGGAAGATCATTTGAGCCTGGGAGGTTGAGGCTGCAGCGAGCTGTGGTGGCACCACTGCATTCCAGCCTGGGCAATAGAGAGAGACCCTGTCTCAAAAAAAAAAAAAAAAAAAAAAGAGAGAGAGAGAGAGAGAGAGAATGTACTTCCTTCTGTCTGTCCTTTTAACCAAGAGCTTTCTCCTAGACCAAGAATTCCTGGCCAGGTGTGGTGGCTCACACCTGTAATCCCAGCAGCTTAGGAGGCTGAGGCATGAGGATCACTTGAGCCCAGGAGTTCAAGACCAGCCTGGGCCACATAGTGAGACCCCCATCTCTACTGAAAAGAAAAGCTTAGCTAGGAGTACTGGTGCATGCTTGTAATCCCAGCTACTCAGGAGGCTGAGGCAGGAAGATCCCTTGAGCCCAGGAGTTCAAGGCTGCAGTGAGCTATGATTGTGCCACTGCGCTCCTGCCTGAGTGACAGAGCTAGAACCTGCCTCTAAAAGAATTTAAATATTTCCTTTTTTTCCCTGTCTTTGGTATCCTTTTATAGATAATATGTACATATGGAAGTGTGTTTTGACTTCAGGGTTTTGTTTATCCATCATCTGAGAAATGCAAAATCCATTTCTGATAAAAATTCTCAGCATACTAGGAATAGAAGAGAGCTTCCTCTGTATGATAAAGGGCATCTGTGCAAAACCTACAAGCTGTCATATTTAATGCTGAAAGACTGCGTGCTTTTCCCTAAGATTAGGAACAAGATGGATGTCTGCTGTCACCACCTCTATTCAGCATTATGCTGGAGGTTCTAAACAGTGCAATCAGGCAAGAAAAAGAAATAAAAGCCATCTAAATTGTAAAGGAAGATGTAAACTGTCTTTACTTGCAGCAACATGATTGTCAATTTAGAAAACCTGATGGAGTCTACAAGTTACTAGAATAAATGAGCTCAGCAGAGTTGTAGGATACAAGTTTGATGTACAAAAATCAATCAGAAATGGTATCTAATGAAATTTTTCTCTTTTTTAGTATCATGAACTCAGCATGTTATGTATTTCAGTTTATTATTCTTGTGCTCAAATCTTTTTTTTTTTTTTTTTTTTTGAGACAGAGTCTCACTCTGTCGCCAGGCTGGAGTGCAGTGGCACGATCTCGGCTCACTGCAACCTCTGCCTCCCAAGTTCAAGCGATTCTCCTGCCTTAGCTTCCCAAGTAGCTGGAATTACAAGCGCCCACCACCACACCCGGCTAATTTTTGTATTTTTAGTAGAGACGGGGTTTCACCATATTGGCCAGACTGGTCTCAAACTCCTGACGTTGTGATCCACCTGCCTCGGCCTCCGTAAGTGCTGGGATTATAGGCGTGAGCCACCACGCCCAGCCATGCTCAAATCATTTTCTTTGGACATTCATGGGTGTACATTCATACTGGATTCCATGTCTTTTTTGTTGTTGTTGTTGTTGAGATGGAGTCTCGCTCTGCTGCCCAGGCTGGAGTGCAGATACACGATCTCAGCTCACTGCAACCTCCGCCTCCTGGGTTCAAGTGATTCTCCTGCTTCAGCCTCCTGAGTAACTGGGGCTACAGGCGCCCACCACTCCCAGGTAATTTTTGTATTTTTAGTAGAGATGGGGTTTCACCATGTTGGCCAGGCTGGTCTAGAACTCCTAACTTCAAGTGATCCACCCGCCTTGCCTCCCAGAGTGCTGGGATTACAGGCGTGAGCCACTGTGCCTGGCCCCATGTCTTTTTTATGTTTTATTTTAGAGATGGGGTTGCTCTGTCGCTCAGGCTTGAGTGCAGTGATGTGATCATGGTTCACTGCAACATCGAACTCCTGGGCTCGAGGGATCCTTCTGCCTCAGTCTCCTGAGTAGCTGGGACTACAGGTTCATACCACCATGCCCAGCTACTTTATTTTTTAGAGATGGAGTCTTGCTGTGTTGCCCATGCTGATCTCGAACTCCTGGCCTCAAGCCATCCTCCCGCCTCAGTCCCCTGAGCAGCTGGGATTACAGGTACAAGCCTCTGCGTCCAGCCTACATCTTTTTGACAAGACTCTGGTAGTCTTTGTTAGCCTTCTTGCTTTCTGGCACAAGATGTCGCAGGATTATCATCTACACTTCCTGCTCCAGACCTGGAATCAACCATTTCTTCACAGAACCCTCACTTCTTTTATGTGGGAGGTTTCATTATGTTTGACAGCAGAGCAGAGAATTGCAGCCTGGCACCCATTGACAGCTTATAGAGTGTCAATAAATCCCCTCAAAATATACCCAGAACTGTGTTCACACACTCATTTTCTGAAGACTTGAACATAACATTGATCACCTTCTGTCTCTTTTTTTTTTTTTGGTACGGAATCTCACTCTGTCACCCAGGCTGGAGTGCAGTGGCATGATCTTGGCTCACTGCAACCTCCGCCTCCTCTGGGTCAAGCGATTCTCCTGCATCAGTCTCCCGAATAGTTGGGATTACAGGCGCCTGCCACCTCATCTGGCTAATTTTTGTATTTTTAGTAGAGATGGGGTTTCACCATGTTGGCCAGGCTCATCTCGAACTCCTGAACCCAGGTGGTCCATCCGCCTTGGCCTCCCAAAGTGCTGGGATTACAGGCATGAGTCACCGCGCCCAGCCCACATTCTCATTTATTAACCAAAAAAAAAACCTGAATGTGTGTGGGCATGGCTTGGGCTTGACCTGGATTGTGAGAAAATCATCCCCTTGTATTACACCTTGAGTTGTTGTTTTTTTTTTTTTTTTGAGATGGAGTCTTGCTCTGTCACGCAGGCTGGAGTACAGTGGCACGATCTCAGCTCACTGCAACCTCTGCTTCCCAGGCTCAAGCGATTCTTATGCCTCAGCCTCCCAAGTAGCTGGAATTACAGTTGTGTGTGCCACCATGGCTGGCTAATTTTTGGGTTTTTAGTAGAGACGATGTTTTGCCATGTTGGCCAGGCTGGTCTCGAACTCCTGACCTCAAGTGATCTGCCCGTCTCGGCCTCCCAAAATGCTGGGATTACAGGCATAAGCCACTGTGCCCAGCCCACCTTGAGATTTTAGGTTCTTTTTTCAAGAATTCAGAGTGTATATGGTAAATGGTGGCAAATAACACAATCTAAATAATCTAAATACTAACTTTAATATTTATTCTCCCAGTTCAGTGCTGGAAAGCTACATTTGGAGTAGCTAGGTTATCAGACCATAGGTGTTGGAAACAGAAGGGAAAAGCTTGTTCCCCTTGGTTGTAAATCTCCGGGATGAAGGTCAGTTTGGTTGTAATTCTTTCTTCAAGTGTCAGCAGCAGATGGTTAGAGACAGCATTTATTCACCAAGGACTAGGCATTTTGAAGAAAATTCCAATCTCCAGTGTTTTTGACTTGCCAGGGCCGCATCACTGTATTGATTTCCTGCATTGAAGGCCACAGGAAGAGCAGGTAGACAAGTAACAGGGAAAGCGTTTTTGCAACAAGGTCTACATAGCATAATTCAATAGAAATACGTTGTGAGTCACATGTAACTTTAATTTTGAACATATAAAATTAATTTTTAATAGTTATTTTACCCAAAGTACCCAAAATATTATTCTTCTAACATATAATCAATATGAAAACATTAATTTAATTTTAATTTTTAATTTTGGTGGGTACATAATAGGTATATATAGATATGAGATACGTGAGATGCTTTGATACAGGCATGCAATGTTTAATAATTGTGTCATGAAAAATGAGAGACTGGGCATAGTGGCTCACTCCTGTAATCCCAGCACTTTGGAAGGGCAAGGCAGGAGGATCACTTGAGCCCAGGAGTTCGAGACCAGCTTGGGCAACCTGATATTTACAAAAAATACAAAAATTAGCTGGGCCTGGTGGCACGCGCCTGTGGTTTCAGCTACTCAGGCGGCTGAGATAGGAGGATTACATGAGCTTGGGGAGGTTGAGGCTGCAGTGAGATGTGATTGTGCCACTGCACCCTAGCCTCGGGACAGAGTGAGACCCTGTCTCAAAAAAAAAAAAAAAAAAAAAAAAGAGGAAGCTTGCAACATACCTTCCTCTGGTCTCTTTTTTTTTTTTTTTTGAGATAGGGTTTAGGGTTTCACTCCTGTCGCCCAGGCTGGAGTGCAGTGGTGCAATCTCGGCTTACTACAACCTCTGCCTCCCAGGCTCAAGCAGTCCTCTTGCATCAGCCTTCTGAATAACTGGGATTACAGGCGTGCGCCACCACACCTGGCTAATTTTTGTATTTTTAGTAGAGACGGAGTTTTGCCATGTTGCCCAGGCTGGTCTCCAACTCCTGGCCTCAAGTGATCTGCCCGCCTCGATCTCCCAAAGTGCTGGGATTATAGGAGTGAGCCACTGCGCCCAGCCCTGGTCTCTTTTTTTCTTTTCTGTTCTGAACATGGTACTATCTTCTGCATTTCCACTCAATTCTGTGTCCATAGTGTGCCTTCACTTTTAAATTTAAAAATCTTTCAATACTTACTTTTTAAAACTAGAAACAAAATTTAATTATAATTAAAATAATAGTAGGGCCAGGGGTGGTGGCTTACACCTGTAATCCCAGCACTTTGGGAGGCTGAGGCGGGTGGATCGCCTGAGGTCAGGAGTGCGAGACCAGCCTGGGCAATGCAGTGAAACCCCTTCTCTACTAAAAACACAGAATTAGCCGGGTGACGTGGTGCATGCCTGTAATCCGAGCTACTCAGGAGGCTGAGGCAGGAGAATCGCTTGAACTCGGGAGGCGGAGCTTGCAGTGAGCTGAGACTGCGCCATTGCACTCCAGCCTTGGTGACAAGAGCGAAACTCTGTCTCAAAAAAAAAAAAAAAAGAAAAAGAAAAAACCCACAGTGGTAATTATTTTACTTTAATTAGCAGTTCTGATTTATGTAATCATAACTGTAACTTGGTGGTTTTCAACTGATATGATTTTACCCTCTGGGGGACATTTGCTATATTTCAGTTGGCACAACTTGGAGAAAGGAGGATGTATTACTGGCATGTAGTAGGTAGAGGCCAGCTATGCTGCTAAACATTCTACAGTGCCCAGGACAGCCACAGCAACAAAGTAGCCCCAAATGTTAGTAGTGCTCATGTTGAGAAACCATGCTGTAACTCACGTTATCACATAAAATATTAAGTAAATATATTACATTGTTAAATTAATATGTAAAAAGTAAGTCATTTTAACTGAATCCATTGACATCAACTAGATTGATGATGTATTTACATGCATTACTAGAAACAACACACCTGCCCAACACATGTACTGTAATACAGCAGTAATATCTTATACAATGCAGCAGTTAAAGTGAAATGTAGCCCTACCAAAACAATACAATTGTATTTAGTGGAACAAAATTTAAACTACTTTAGTTTTTTTCATTTAAATTAATAAAATTTAAAATTCAGTTCTTTAGTTGCACTGGCCATGTTTCAGATGCTTAGGAGCTACATGTGGCTGGTGGCTACAGGACGGGTCTAGAGGAAGATCAGATATGATGGGTTGGCTAAAAATTCCTTACACTGTAAGGCAAGGGATGAGGATGGTTGACTTGTTACTGCAGGGCTTGAAGTGCGGCATGGGAGCTGGGTTTAGCCTGGTTTCTATAGCCACTATTTTCCTATACTTGATTTCTAAAAATAGAGAAATCAACACATTGTTTTATTAGGATACTACCTTGGGTTTTAACCTTGCATTTTCCAAGATCGGTTACTGCTGAAAAACAGGCCTGACTCTGGTAGTATAATAGATTCCCAGCTATTTCTGTGTACCACTAGGATGAAACTGTGGAATCAAAACTATTATCCCGGCCCAGCACGGTGGCTCACGCCTGTAATCCCGGCACTTTGGGAGGCTGAGGCGGGTGGATCATTTGAGGTCAGGAGTTCGAGACCAGCCTGGCTGAAATGGAGTAATCCTGTCTCTACTAAAAATACAAAAAAATGAGCTGGGTGTGGTGGCGCATGCCTGTAATCCCAGCTACTCAGAGGCTGAGGCATGAGAATCACTTGAACCCAGGCGGCGGAGGTTGCAGTGAGCTGAGATTGCACCACTGCACTCCAGCCTGGGCGACAGAGTGAGACCCTGTCTCAAAAAAAAAAAAAAACAAAAACAAAGACAAAAACAGTTATCCCAGTTCCTGAGCTTCTATTCACACTTTGTTGAAATTAGGAAGAAAATGAAGATATATTATATATTCACTATAACTTCTCAGTAAATACTTTTCTTTTGCTTAAAAAATACCTTTCCATAGATCTAGAAGAGCAAGGAGTTCAAAATATAAGCAAATTATATCTATAAATGTATCTAAATAGGAACTTAAAGGAACCAAAGCTTGTTACCTTTGTCAAACAGGATGTCAGGTCGTCTCCCCGTTGGTAGACATTTAAAGCACCAGTTTGGTAGCTCTCTGAAGACTAGTGTTACGAAACTGTCTTCTTTCATCCCTGCTTGTTCCATCTTAAACTGAAGGCTTTAGTCTAGACAGGTGGAAAGTCAGATATAGAATTAGTTCAAGGGGAGGGTACCTTGTATCATGGGGCATGTAAGTGACTGTTTTTTTCCTAGAATAGAGAAACTGGTGTTAACTGGTAGGAAGTGCTGTTTATTTTGCCCTTAACTGTTTTGAAGCTACATATCTGATTCTTCACAGCTGCCTAGGTGAACAGGCTTCACAGTTTTTACTACCAGCATGGTCTTGCCTCTTGAACGTCATTCCCTACCCAGAGGTCCCACAAGTACTTCAGACTTGACATTCCAAAGAAAATGCCTTATTGCCCTACCCCTACAATTTAAGAACTTTTCTCTCCTATGTTTACCTTCCCAATTAATGGTGTCATCATCTGTTTAGTTGCCTAAAGTAGAAATCTCAGTTACTTTAAATTCTCTGTCTGCTACCCAGTCAGTAGGTTCTTTCAACCCTGCCTTCTAAATATCTCTCAAGTAAATTCTTCTTCCCCAATGCTACAACCACTATTTTATTTCAAGGTCTCATAATCTCTCATGTTATAAGAGCCTCCTAACTGTTCTTTTTGCCTTCAGACTTTTTCTTATAGCAGCCACTATTCAATTTGTTCAGTCACAAGTTGGATTTCAGAAGCATAGGTCTTTACACTGCTGGTGGGAGTATATGTTAGCAGCATCACTTTGAGGGCAGTTTGGCAACAGCTAATAAAGTCAAAGTTGCCCAAACCTTATGACCCAGTAACTTCACCCCTAGGTACATTTCCTTGAGAAACTTTCTCAAACAAGGATGTATAAACAACAACGTTGATTGCAGTATTAATCCAAAATAAATACCAAAAGAAAAAACAAAAGGAAACCAGTTACATTTCTATGAACAGGAAAATGGATTGTGGTATATTTATACAATGAAATGTGATACAACACTGAAGATGGACTAGAGCTAAACAAATCAGAATAAGTCTCACAAATATAATATTCATTAAAAAGTAAGGTGCAGAATGTAACATGTACGTAACATTTAAGAACACAAAGTGATATGTTATTTAGAGACACGTTTGTATTTAGTAAAAGGATAAACACTCTGTATAAGAATGATACTCCGGGAAAAGACGGACAGACAATCAAAAAGGGGTTCATGGAGGGTTTGAAAGGTAGTTATAATTCTTTCTACAATTAGATGGTAGGTATATAAGCATTCAGCGTATTCTTTTTTGCACCTTTTTGTACATCTGAAATATTTCATTAGGAAACCACCAGATTTTAAGTCTTGCTTGATTCTTCATCATTGATAGGGATAGGATAATGTCCAGACCTTTTTGCATGACATTTGATCCCAACCTACCTTTCTAGCCTTATTTGTTGTCACTCTCCCATCTATCCTAAGATCTGTCCCAATTAGACTTGGCCATAGAGTCTCAAATTTCATACCTCTGCACATGCTTTTACCTAGAATGTCTTCCCTCTTCACTTTTCACCTACCAAAATTCTGTTTATGCTTCAAAATCTAGCCCAGATGTAACCTTCCTTGAAAGCTTCCTGGATTCTTTGAGAGAGAATGATTCACACCTGCATTGCCAAAGGGTTTTGTACATTTCTCTCTTGTAGCATTTATCACATTGTGGTATGGTTGTTTACATGTCTGTCCATCACTAAATGGACAGAGACCATGACTTTTTTACTTCCGTAATTCCTGCCCCAGCACAATCCAATATGTTACGATAAGTGTTGAGTGAATGGGTGGATAGCAGAATGAATGATTTAATCTTCCAAGGCCTTTACATTGCCATCATTGTCTTCCAGAATCATCACCTGACCTGAGGTCTTAAGCTACAGAAATGGATATTGAGATGCCTAAGAAGTCCTATAGGACTTTGCTTCTGATTGTGTTTCCCAAATGTGTCTGTGGAGCCCCGTTATAAAAGTCTGCTTCAGATCTTAACAGACAATAGGAAATATAGTCTTAATAGCTCCTGGATTAATCCAGTATAGCCAGGAAGTATGCTTTGAAATTGTTAGAGTCCCTTTCTCAGTGATGAACTGAGTTGTTTTTTCTTTCTTTCTTTTTTTTTTTTTTTTGAGATGGAGTCTCTCTCTGTCCCCAGGCTGGAGTGCAGTGGCGTGATCTTGGCTCACTGCAACCTCTGCCTCCCGAGTTCAAGTGATTCTCCTGCCTCAGCCTCCTGAGTAGCTGGGACTACAGGTGCACACCACCACACCCAGCTAATTTTTGTATTTTTAGTAGAGACAGGGTTTTACCATGTTGGCCAGGCTGGTCTCAATCTCCCGACCTCGTAATCTGCCTGCCTCGGCCTCCCAAAGTGCTGGGATTACAGGCATGAGCCACCATGCCCAGCCAACTGAGTTTTTTTTTTTTAATCCCAACACTGTAGAATTTACTGACTTCCAATTCCCTCCAGAGTAACAGGAAGACGGCCGAAAGGCTTTAATTATCCAAAATGGGGCTTTGAGACAACTAAAGCCACTTTGAAGTAAATTATTGATAGCATTATGCATTGTTTTTCTTTCTTTTTTTAAGTAACAAGTCAAAGTAATTAGTGCTATTTTTATCTTTGCAGATTCACTGAATTATAAGGGATTTTAAGGCTGCCTTAAAAAAAACTCCTCACTGGCTGAGTGCTGTGTTGCTGTCATTTATGTAAGCTAGAGGCCCTGCTGAGGGAATGTGTGTGTGTTCTGGGGCTGTTTCACATGCCACTGGTGTAGGTGTTTGGACGCCTTACTGCTCTTGGCGGTAAGGTGTTTGCTCAGGCTCTTCGTGGCATTAAAGGTTCTCTTCTGTGTTTCTCACTGAGGACCTTCCCAAATGTATATTATTAATCTTATAAGCCAAAAGAGAACCAAGGACACTCTTATAACAGGCAGCTGCAAAGCCAAGCCATTTAGTGTCGTCAGTGTGGTTTGGTGGAGATCAGAGACTGGAGGCTTCAGTGTGGCTTTAAGTGGAACAGCTGCATCACCAGCTGGAGACTGACAGCCGCAGAGGGCGGGCACGGCACAGCTGAGATCCATCTACTCCCATGGGAGCCTGAAAGACCTGCCTCCAACTTAGAAAACTGCTTTGTGTTTACAGTTAGTTTAGGGGAGAAGAGGTAGAGAACCTGCCCTGGCCTGTCTCCATGAGCATCTTTGAGTCAGTACTGAGCAAACAGGTGTAAACAGGACCCCAACAGGCAGAGGTCTTGTGGCTTTCACAAAAGTTGTCCTGCTTCCCCTTAGATGGAAAATATTTAAAATGAGACACTGGGAAAGGAAGCTATAACTTTTATCTTTAGTTTACTGGAAAAATTTGACTATTTGTTGAAGGCATGAACCTAATTTTTAACTAGTAAGGTTTCTTTTGTTTGATTTAGTAAAAGTTCGGTATCAGTCTCCTTCCCTGTAAGAAAATGTGCCCACACATTCTCACCTTTCCTTGCCTAATTATAAACTAATTCATATTTTGAGACTCTGCTCAAGCACCCTGTCCTTCAGAATGTCCTTTCTAAGCCTGCAGGTTGGGCTAAGCACCCCTCCTCTGTGCTTCCATGATACCTTTTGTCTACTCTTTGTCTGCCTTAGCCTTTACCACATCATAATGAAATTATCTGTCTGTCGTGTGTGTCTTTTCCATTTATGAACTCCTTGATCTCTGGGATTTATTTTATTCACAACCTTCATTGCCTAGCGTAGTGCCTGCACATGATAGGTATTCATATGTTTGTCAAACAAACTGAATTATCAAGAGTCACTGGCAGTGCTGGCAAACCTTTAGCTTCAGATACTGTAGAACTTCCTTCTAGGGACAGAGATTCCTTGACTATATGAGAAAGCAGTCAATTTGCAGAGTAAGAGAGGAGAAAATATAGAAGTTCTGTTTCTAAAACAGTGCTTATAGCATAAACAAAGTTCTTTAATTACTTTAAAACTAAATTTCTCCTTTTGGTAGCGTCACCTTTCAGGAGGAAGAAAACTTACTGCTCTTTCTGGTATATTGAAGAGATGGCAGCTAATAACCTCTTTGTGAGCATAAAACAATTATACCAGCCTCCTGTGGAGACAATCTGCCAGAGCCAACCGCCTCACCCTCCGCATGGGCTTCATTTTCTTACTCTGGAATCTCATCGACTCTCCCCTAAAGACCTTCATCTTGTTGCACTATTATGATGAATGTTTGGAGCTGGCTCTCACCCCCTGCTTTACTAGCTATTACTGGAGGTGCCGTCAAAGAATCAGGCCCCAAATTTATCCTCCCATTAAGTCCTCTCCTGGGCAGCGCTGCTTGGTTCTGAGTAGCAGTCATCTAGTTTCCCCTCCTTTTCCCACCTCCCGCTGCCTTTGAATGTAAGGAAACTGCAGGCCCTGTTGCAGACAAAGAGCTGTGGTAGAAAGTAAGGTTGCAAATCACTTTCTACCACAGCTCTTTGTTTGCTCTTGTTCTAGACCTGAAGAGAAGTGCGCACGTATGAGTGCCTGTGCGTGCATCTGCTGTGAGACCTCCAACATCATTTTCTGTCACAAGCCCAGCCCAGAAGTGCCACAAGTGACATTTCTTCAGTTGGTTGGTTGTATCTGTCTCCCAGCAATGTCTTTAGGATTTCTTCTCCATAATAAGTTAGAGATGTATCGGTTTCTGGACACAGGGACCTTACCTACTTCTGTCTATTCATATCTGTTCCTCTGAGTAATAGACATATGGTCTTTGGCTTTTTAAACTAGTTATATGATTTTTTGAATTTGTCTCACAGCTACTCTTAACAGCCTTCCCCTTGTGAGAGTTTCTGTTGAATAAAAGCTTTCTGGGTCTCTGATGTAGTTGGTTGGCATTTGGTCAATTTGGGGCTTTCATTTTGACTCTCAAAATTATTTGCAGAAAGAAATAGGGCCAAAAGGTGCTTCAAGTGCCATTTGTAAATCTTAGGATAATTGATAAGTATTCATTTATTCTAGCAAGCAGTGGATTTTGTTAAATAATAGATACTGATTAGGTCTCAACAAATCTGACCCTGTTAGCTTTGGTGCTAACTCATTAATAAAGCTGATGTTGAGGCTGCCATTAACATTAGAAAAGCGATGTTCCCTAGTAATATTTCTTTCCTTGAGGAGAAACTATTTTGCAATGAAGTTTTAACTTCTTCCCTTTTCAGAGAGACTATCAACTT
Source organism: Homo sapiens (assembly GCF_000001405.40). Classification (NCBI taxonomy): domain Eukaryota; kingdom Metazoa; phylum Chordata; class Mammalia; order Primates; family Hominidae; genus Homo; species Homo sapiens. Next base: position 101,901,867 of record NC_000010.11, on the reverse strand, counting down.
CACTTAGGCAGAACGGTTCAATACTTTGGGCAGCTTGTTTATTCTTTATTTACTTCTTGATTTACCAAACTATCCCATTTTCTTTACCTCACTGACATAACTGCTACCCAGCCCCCCTGCTTTCTCCCATCCTCTCTACCTCTCAAGCCTCCCTTCTGTAGCCAACCCTACCACCTGCCACAGTATCCACACCCAGGCTTCTTATAGGAAGCCATCTCTGTGAGGGTCTGTCTGAAAGCAACATAAGTCAGTGCTGGAGCAGGTGAAAGCAGCCTGCTTTTTCAGAGCTGACGAGAAGGGCGAAGCTCTCTGTCACAGTGGGTGGGTGAGCAGCTAGGGCCGAGTAACGCCACGTCTCAGTGGTTAGCACCTGCAGGCTCAGAGCTGACAGTGCACTGTAATAAGATTCATCTTTGTTCACTTAACTGATGTGGGCTTTATGGTAAATGTTCGTTTGCTTAATTACTTTGGCAGACTTGCTGATTGCCTTTCCTGAGGAGTTCTAAAAGGTCCCCCTGGGATGGAGTATAAGCCTGTTTCCGTGTCTTTTAATTTCATTCTTTTCCTGGAGTACTTGAAAACCAGTACGTGATCCATATGGCCCACCCTCTCATCTCTCCTGTATGTGAACATCAGGACCACTGCTATCTAGTATGGAATCCATATGGCCCACACTGGACCACTGGGAAATCTTGACAGGTTTCTTCCTCCTTTGTGCACATGAGATCCTCCTCCTCCACCACTGAGGTATTATGTATGGCTCATCTAGTCTAGTTTAGGATTCATATGCCTCTTTTTCTCTAACTGGCATGGGATCCACAGAATATTTCCCTCCTTCCTCAGTCTAGCATGTGATCCACTAAAATAATTTCCCTTTATTTTTAGAGACAGGGTCTTGCTCTGTTGCCCAGGCTGGAGTACAGTGGCATGATCACAGCTCACTGTAACCTCAAACTCCTGGGTTCAAGCAATTCTCATGCCTCATCCTCATGAATGGCTAGGGCTATAGGTGTGCACATTATGCTGGCTAATTTAAAAAAAATTTTTTGTAGATATGGGGGTCTCACTATGTTGCCCAAGCTGCTCTTGAACTCCTGGCCTCAAGCAGTTCTCCCACCTGGGCGTCCCAAAGTGTTGGGATTACAGGCATAAGCCACTGTGACCAGCCAATTCGCCTTTATTTTTGAAGTGACGGGAAAAGAAGACTAGTCAATTGCTCATTTTCTTGCTCTCCCATGCTTAAAATTTAAGTGTCTTATAATAAATTGATTAATTGGGCTAATGGGAATGAGGTGTAATTAAAATATTTCAGGTTTTTGTCTCATGCCAGTTTTTAAAAAGTTCTTAATTCATATTCAAGAGATTGGAATGTTCACCATTAATCAAAATTAGATCAGTTTTGGGGGTTTTGAGCTTATCTCCAGTGCTTCAGAATTCCTCTTAGGTATGTGTTAGGATTTTCTTATGTTCTGAAAAGGGACAGAACATCTAATACACATTTTCTTATAGGCCATTTTGTTCCTTTATATTCATTTGGCATTTCTGAGCGTGTAGAGGAGCCTTGCTTCTGGAAATAGGAAATCCAGGAAAAGGGAAATAGGAAAACCAATTCCAAAGATTATTAGAGGTTTTCATTCTGTAGCCCCAGGAACTCTGCCAGTAACTTCGGACCTGCCACTAGAGAACAGAGTAAGGTAGTCAGAAGCACAGAGTGATGGATCTGAGCAACGATAGGATAATCTTATAGGTGTTTTATGTTTAGGAAAGTTTTGGAGCCTCTTTTCATTTATTGAAAGATTTAATAAAAAGTAGACATAAGGGGAATGGATTAAGTGATGATGCCTTTTATGGAAATGTAGATGGTCCATTTGACTTTTGTGGTTCTTTCAACACTTGTGGTTCATTCTTCTCCATTTACATTGGATCATTGGGTAAAGTAAGCAACTAGATGCACTGGTCAGTAGTTTATCCTTCTTGCTGGTTGTCAAAATGCCTTTTATACTAACTAAGGTTCCATTTTTGTGTCTTTGGTCCTGAAAAGAATGGCCACAGGGACAGTAGTATAATTTATGGAGGGAAATAATTGTCCTGAAAGGGTTAAGACCTAAACCTTAGGGGGTAAGTTAGAAGGATAATCCTAACAGGTCAGTTGCTGATGTTTTGATTAGATAGTTTCAAAGTGAAAAGGTTAGAAGGTATTCTTACTTGAGGTTTTATTTTGTTTAATGTTAATCAGCAGAGTCTTTGAGGCTTGTAATGCACTTCTGTTAACAGGCATCAAGGGAAATTGCTTTTTTTGTTGTTGGTGATTTGGGTGGGCTGAAGATTCATTGACTCCATGAAGAAGGAAGCTTAGTACTGCATGAAATGGGAGTCTGTGAGGCAATTCTGAAGGTGAAAGAAATGTTAGTTTAAAATTAAATAACTCAACCTCAGATGAACCATTTTAACTACTGCCACATACACTCAGTCATACCTTTACCCCTTCTCAAAAGCCAGTATTTTACCTGTATGCCTGAAGGTTTCCCAGGTAAAAGCAATTACGAATATGATGGTTTTCTTGTCTTTAATCTCAGATACCTGAGAACATACTCTGTAGTATATTGCATAGTAGTATATCACTGGACTGGTCTAGGAAAAGGGAAGCTGCCTTGGGGGAAAAAAAATTCCTTAGGGCTAGTTAGATGGTATACAGGAAAACAGAGAGGAAAGTTTTGGAAGTGAAATTCAACCAAAGAAACTACTACTCAGAGAGGTTGGTCTCTTGCCCAAAGTCACACAGTTAATAAGTGGAGGAATCCAGATTTTTTCAAATCTCCTTTCTCTAAAGCCTTGCTGTTTTCTGTATGAACCATGTTGTTCGGGGAAGCAATGGTATTTTAACTGGGCCTTCAAGGAAAAAGATGACTTAGGCTTTTTAGTGGTGATAACATTCTATGTGAAGAGATCCAGGTAAACAAAAGCAAGACATCCAGGTGTAAATATTTAGTAAGCATTTGAAAATACAGGGCTACAGCTCTTAATGAGGTTGGAGCTTAAGATCCAAATTTTTTACTAAGCTTGAGAAATTCACCCACAATCAGACTCGTTAATGTAAATCTGGTAGTCTTATAAGAGTAGTTTTAGGGTGAAACCTTCAAGAATCTTCATATACATACATATATGTGTGTGTGTGTGTGCGCGTGTGCGCGTATTGAGTATAACAGTTATGTTTCCTCCTTCCTTGGAATGAGAGTTACAAAAACAACTTTTGCTTGTTTTTCCCTGTTCTGCCTGAAAGATGTACATAGCAGCTTTTAGAGATAGCCTGCTTCCTTCAGGTATCTCAGTAATGAAACAATCGCCATGTTCTGAGCTTCTGAATGAAACTATTTATTTATTGTTTCATTAAAGACTCGTAGATGCTTCTGTCCATGGGAGATTGCATTTTGGAGGATTTGCTTTAGCTTTATATTGGATATGAGGAGGAATCCACATTTTCTTTTTCTTCTTCTTTTTTTTTTATTTCTTAAGACTGGGTCTTGCTCTGTCACCCAGGCTAGGGAGCGCAGTGGTGTGATCATGGTTCCCTGCAGCCTTGACATCCCTGGCTCAAATCATCCTCCCATCTCAGCCTCCTGAGTAGCTGGGACTACAACAGGCACATGTCACCATGCCCAGCTAATTTTAAAAAAAAAAAATTTTTTTTTTTGTGCTCCTGAGCTAAGCACTTCTCCCACTTCAGCCTCGCAAAGTGCTGGAATTACAGGGGAGAGCCACCGTGCCTGGTCCACATTTTCTCTTAAGCTATATTGCCTACATTGTTAAAGGAACATTTCCATGCTTATCTTTAATGCAAGTTCGACATTAACTATGTGTCTCAGTTAACAACCACCCGGCACTTGGGAAAAGAGAGCTGCTTTGCAGAGTCATGAGTCAGAGAGAATAAGTTTACAATGGACCAAGAAATCCCCAGCCGGTTTACTGTTCATCCTTACTGTTCCATCTATCCACTTCATTTTGCTTCAGCCTGTATAAGTGACCTCTATCTTCTGCAGTCAGAAGTTGACAGTTGCATTGGAGGGTGGCCCAGATTCCTGCTCTTAAAGGTGCATTGGGCACAGTGCCATCCCTCACTGTGGCTGGCTTTAGCAATTTCTCTTTACTATGATGTTGTCTATTTATTTTTCCTTCCCCTTTGGGACTTTCTAATTCAGTGGCTTTAGAGGCCCCGTATCAGAATAAAACACATTCCCCCACACCTCACCTCATCCTCCCCACCCTCAAACAAACACACAAACAAAACCTAGGCTTACTTTTAGAAGGTATTAGATTACTTAAAAAAGGAATGCCAGAAAGCTTTCCTCTAGCCTCTTGATATGACTTAAGAGGAAGAAAAGCTTTATTGTCATCAGTGTCAACTTTTGCTCCTTCTTTGGGAGGACAGCTGTTCATGTCTGAGCCACCTTTTTTCCTGGGATGAGGATAAAACATTTTAATTTTTATTTTCATACTTTGGGAGGATAGCTAGTGATTCTGGATCTCCAGAAGCAAAAGCTACTTACAGTGAAACTGGACAAAATATTGGTGAGCAAAATAAATTTGGTACCTGCTGTCTTGGAGCTTTTAGTTCAAGTTTCAGAGAAGCTAGAGGTTTGGTTAGAAATTACATTCTCTTTTCCCACTAAGTTCTGTCTGTGGGTAGAACTCCTTTCCCCTTCCTTGGGCCTTATTACTACCCATATTTCTTTAAATCCTCTTCCCAATTCTGTTTCCCTGAATAATGTGGGCAACTCCAACTATTGCTGGAAAAATAAATTGGTAAAGGATGTTGAGAATAAGAGAAACTTTCTTCTCATCCACCAACCCTGCCACCCCCCTCAACATCCTATTCCAGCAGCCAAAAGTTGACATCCTTTGCCACATGCAGAACTTTTGACTTAAGTATATCATACATATTACCATGAGTTGGACTCTTCTCACCTCCAGGTAGGGTCAGTCCTTCCTGAGCATGTGCCCTTCAGCACCAGTCTCACTCGTCATCTCTGCCACCTTTTGTGGTATTGCACCACAGAGCCCTCTCTCTCCAGAAGCTCCTGAAACTCCAGCTTCTGTAATTTATAGGATAGTCCATGGCCCAGTGAGCTCCTTTTCCTACTGCCATCAGCATTGCTAACATATGCAAGCTTTAGAAAAGTTTTCTTGGTGAGTGAATCACCCTGGGAATCACCACATTAATTCTGTGTGGAACTGGTTGGAGAAAGCAGCTTGCTCAAAAACTGCTGGGGCCAAGGAGGCCATAATCATTTATATATGATACAGTTCATCCACTTAAAGTGTACAGTTCATGTTTTCTGGTATAATCATAGGGTTGTACAACCATCATCACAATCTAACTTTAGAATATTGTGTTCCCCCTGAAAGAAACCCTATACCCAATAGCAGTCACTCCCTATTCTTCCCTAACCCTCCTTGTAGCCCTAAGCAACCATGAATCTACTTTCTGCTTCTACAAATTTGCATATTCTGGACCTTTCCTATAAATTGAAGTAGCTGTACCATTTTACACTTCCACCAGCAATGTATGAGAGTTCTTCTCCACATCCTTGCCAACACTTGTTATTGTTTTGTTTGTTTGTTTGTTTGTTTGTTTGTTTTTGAGACAGGGTCTGTGCTCTCACCTAGGCTGGAGTGCAGTGGCTCCACCTTAGCTCACTGCAGCCTCGGCCTCCTAGGCTCAAGTGATCTGCCCACCTTGGCCTCCCAAGTAGCTGGGACTACCGGCACACGCCACCATACCCGGCTAATTTTTTTTTTGTAATTTTGTAGAGATGGGGGTCTCCCCATGTTGCCCAGACTTGTTTTGAACTCCTGGGATTGCAGGCATGAGTCACTGTGCCCAGCCTTGCTATTCTCTTTTTATCACTATCCTAATGGGTGTGAAGTGGTATCTCATTGTGGTTTTGATTTGGATTTCCCTAATGACTAATGATATTGAGTATCTGTTCTTGTCTATTCAAATAATTTGTTCTTTTAAAAATTGTATTATTTGTGTGTAATTTATTGTTGAATTATAAGAGTCCTTTATATATTCTGGTACAAGTTTCTTATCAGACAAAATTTGCAAATATTTTCTCTTATTCTGTGGATTGTCCTTTCACTTTCTTGATGGCATTGTTTGCAGCACAGTTTAAACTTCAGATTGATCCACTTTTTCTTTTTCATTTGTGCTTTTGGTGTTTTATCTAAGAAATCACTGCCTGACCTCAAGTCATGAAGATTTACTTTTAAGAATTTTACAGTTTTTAAGGGCCGGGCGCAGTGGCTCACACCTGTAATCCCAACACTTTGGGAGGCTGAGGCAGGCGGATCATGAGGTCAGGAGATTGAGACTATCCTGGCTAACATGGTGAAACCCCGTCTCTACTAAAAATACAAAAAATTAGCCGGGCGTGGTGGCGGGCGCCTGTAGTCCCAGCTACTCGGGAGGCTGATGCCGGAGAATGGCGTGAACCCGGGAGGTGGAGCTTGCAGTGAGCCAAGATTGCACCACTGCACTGCAGCCTGGGCGACAGAGCGAGACGCCCTCTCGAAAAAAAAAAAAAAAAAAGAATTTTATCGTTTTTAGACCTTATATTTAGATCTGTGATCCATTTCGAGTTGTTTTATGTGTGGTATAAGGAAGGGATCTAACTTCATTCTTTTGCATGTGGATAACTACTTGTCCCAGTACCATTTGTTGAAAAGACTATTTTTTCCCTATTTAATTGCCTTGCCACCTTTGTCGAAGGGAAACCTTAATCTTTTCATAATGGCTATGTTTTCTCATTCATTGTCCACTCAAACCTTCCTGTATTTTCTCACAGTTCTGGAGGCTAGAAGTCCCACATCAAAGTCCAGCAGGGTCAGTTTCTGGTGAGAGCTGTCTTCCTGGCTTATGAGATGGCAGCCTTCTCACTGTGTCGTCATGTGACAGATAGCAAGAGAGCTCTCTGGTGCCTTTTTTTTTTTTTTTTTTGGCAGAGTTTCGCTCTTTTGCCCAGGCTGGAGTGAAGTGGCATGATTCTGGCTCACTGCAACCTCTGGCCCCTGGGTTCAAGCAGTTCTCCTGCCTCAGCCCCCCAAGTAGCTGTCAGGTTTTGACCAGTAAAAGTGAGAGAGAAGTACTGTTAGAATCTCCCAGAAACCCCCTCCCCAAAGGTTCAGAAAAGATGGTAGTAAATCCTTTTGGAGGTGCTATCAGTGAGAAGGAAAGCCTAAAGAAAATGGAGAGATTCCTCCTTCATCTATAAACGTGGTGCCTTATCTTTCTCCCGCCAAGAGCTAGTCAAGCATGAGTCCTAGTCTAGCGCCTTGGCCAGGTGGGATGGTGTGGAATCACAACCCAGGTGAGCCTGGTAGCCGTCAGACTTCCTGGGGAAGGAGAAGCGACGTAATTCAGTTACTGCAAAGGTGTGTCACTCAGCTTGGTCTGGCTTAGCCTGGTTCCAGTCTTCTGTCATTTCTGTGCCATGTCAGGACATATTTCCATTTCACTAGTACAAAGTACTAAGAACTTTAATGGGAAGCCTCCAAGCCCTGTCTGGAATTCCTTTCTAAGAGCCTGGAGAGAGAAGAGCCAGTGTTAGACTATTTTTCTTACTGCTTAGGGCGAATACCCTCCACCTGGCATCTCCAGGACATTAGGTTAGCACTCAGATTTTGCAGATAACAGTCCCAAAGAAACAGCAAAAAAAACATAAGGCCGACACATATACTGCCTTTGTGGGTACTGAGTTAGAGACTACTAACTGAATCTAGACTGTTCCACCTTACTCAGGTTTCTAAACAGTTTCTCAGCCTGCCTGGTGGGAGACCTTAATCACCTGCTTAGATCTGAAGTTCTGAGATGAGATTGTCACAGGGCAGGTTGGAAGATGATTTTATCTTCATTCCAAATATATATTCCCAGAGTGGTAAATACCCTCAGGATAAGTTTGCCCAAACAATATCAGCATGTATGTCCTGCAGTATGAAGAACAGGTCACCCATAGAGCCAGCTGACACCTGATAAGTGTAATGGTGAGAAGGGAAGGAAACAAGTGTACATTTTGAAGGTAATGCCTTCTAGGTTTTCCTTTCTCTCCCTCACTCCCTCCCTCCCTGCCTCCCAGTCCCCTCCCCTTTCTTTCCTCTTTCCTTTTCCCCTTCCCTCTCTTCTTCCTCTCTCTTTTTTTTTCCTGTCTTATGTCCTTGCTTTGTTTCCTTGTGAAAGAACTACTCAGATAGAAAGGCAAGAGAATTAGATCCCCAGCAATTCCATTCCCAGGGATTATTTCACTGTTCCAACCTCACTAGCTCCACTGGGTTGCCCCGGTGGCTGCTAACATTCCACCCAGACAGAAGCTAGGGTACTTGGACCTCTGTATTCTCCAAACCTAGGCAAGAATAAAATAATAATAATAATAAAAAACAAGAACAAAACCTCTAGTTCAGTTGAGACAGGAATTTAAAAAAAAAATTTCCTAAGAAATGTAAGGAAAGCCTGATTTAAAAAAACAAAAAACAAAACCTAAAAAAGCATAAAATGTGGATGCATTTACAGAGTGCAAAATCTTTTTCGAAGATACCTGTGGTCTAATGGTAGATTGATTTGACTACTGAAGCTCCTTTCCTTCAATCGTGTTGGTCCTGGACACTAAACCCTATGACTCAGACTCCACCCTGAGTGAACTTTAAATTGGTGCTGCTGCTAGGATCAGTGGGATTATCAGTTCTCTAAACTTGCTTCACCTACCTTCTCATTGGGTTTAGGGTCCTGGTTTTCCTTTCTGCTTATGGGCTGTGGTCATCTCTGCCAACATCCTTGAGCCTTGCTCTCTGATTGAGAAAAATGTTTGACCCCCACTTGGTCATAAAATTCTTTCCTACTTTGGAATTAGAGCAAACCTCAGCCTTAACTTGCAGATATTATCTCCAGCTCTCTTGGTAGTTTCTGGAAAAATAAGTTGTCAGAACTCTTTTCTTGCTCCTGACTCATGTCTGTCGTATTTGGTTTATTCACTTATTGAATATTTATTGAGCACAAGCTGTGTACCAGGCATTGGGTTAGATGTTTGGCGTTGCTTTTCCAAGTTTTTATTATATGTACTATAAATGTTATATATTATGTTAGATAAATTTTACAAATGTACCCTCTAAGATTTAGCCCTCTTTCAACAAATATTTCTTATATGGCTGCAATAGACTATTCCCAGGTACTATGATAAGTGCTGGGATTGGTATTTTTTTTTAAGTTTTTGGTTTATACTTTTATTACCTGAATTAGATTAAATGGTTCTATAATTCTTTACTATCAAGAAGCTATAAAATAGTGATTTGTTATGCTAGCTCATACATACACACACACAAACACACATACACACGTGCACACATTTTATTTTTTATTTTTGAGAGAAGGTCTCGTTATATTGCCCAGGCTGGAGCGTGGTAGCACAAACACCACTCACTGCAGCCTCATCCCCCTGGGCTCAAGTGATCCTCCCACTTCAGCCTTCCAAGTAGCTGAGACTACAGGCAAATGCCACCACACCTGGCCCTGGCTTATTATTATTATTATTTTTATTTTGTAGAGACAAGGTCTCACCATGTTGCTCAGGCTGGTCTCGAACTCCTGGGTTCAAGTAATCCGCCCACCTTAGCCTCCCAAAGTGCTGGGATTATAGTTGTGAGCCACTGCACCCAGCCCACGCACCCATTTTGTTGTTGTTGTTGATTTTGGGTGGGGTTTTTTGCGGGGAGACAGGGTTTCACTATGTCACCCAGGCTGGAGTGCAGTGGCACAATCTTGGCTCACTGAAACCTCTGTCTCCCAGGCTTAAGTGATCCTCCCACCTCAGCCTCCCAAGTAGCTGGGACCACAAGTGTGTGCCACCACACCTGGCTAAATTTTTTTGTATTTTTTGTAGAGACAGGGTTTCACCATGTTACCCAGGCTGATCTTGAACTCCTGGGCTCAAGTGATCCGCTCACCTTAGCCTCTCAAAGTGCTGGAATTACATGCGTGAGCCACCACGCCTAGCCCACACTACCCATTTTAATAAACTTTCTGTTTTGGAATAATTTTAGATTTATAGAAAAAGTAAAAAGATAATCCACAGAGTTCCTGGATACCCTCAGCCTAATTTCCGTCATTTTATGTCACCAAGGTACATGTATCAACACTAAGTAACTGGCATTATTATTAACTAAATTCCGTATTTTAATTAGATTTTACCAGTTTTTCCATTAATGTCCTCTTGCTGTGCCAGGGTCCATTCCAGGATATGCATTTAATTGTCATATCTCCCCAGTGATTTGTGACAATTTCTCAACTCTTGTTTTTCATGACTTTTAGAGTCTTAAGAAAGTACTGGCTGGGCACGGTGGCTCACACCTGTAATCCCAATACTTTGGGAGACCAAGGTGAGTGGATCACCTGAAAGGTCAGGAGTTTGAGAACAGCTTGGCCAATGTGGTGAAACCCCATCTCTATTAAAAATACAAAATTAGCTGGTCATGGTGGCGGGGGCCTGTAATCCCAGCTTCTTGGGAAGCTGAGGCAGAAGAATTGCTTAAACCCGGAAGGTGGAGGTTGCAGGGAGCTGAGATCGCACCATTGCACTCCAGCCTGGGCAACAAGAGCAAAACTCCGTCTCAAAAAAAAAAAAGGAAGAAAGAAAGAAACTACCAGTCAGCGTCAGGAGCAATGGCTCATGCCTGTAATCCCAGCATTTTAGGAGGTGAGGAGGGAGGACTGCCTGAGCTCAGGAGTTTGAGACCAGCCTGGGCAATCTGGCAAAACCCCATCTCTACAAAAAATACAAAAATTAGCCAGACATGGTGGCACATGCCTGTAGTCCCAGCTACTTGGGAGGCTGAAGTGGGAGGATTGCTTGAGCCAAGGAGATGGAGGCTGTAGTGAGCCATGTTTGTGCCACTGCACTCCAGCCTGGATGACAAAGTGAGACCCTGTCTCAAAAAAAAAAAAAAAAAAAATACCAGTCAGGTATCCTGTAGAATGTCCCCTGTCTGATATTTTTCTTGTGATTAGATTGAGATATTAAGTGCCCTTCTCATCAGATCATACCAAGGGTTACATGGTATCTACATGATATCACTGGCAATCTACAGCTTCATCATTTGGTTAAGGTAGTGTTTACCAGGCTTCTTTGCTATAAAGTTACTGTGTTTCCCATTTGCTACTCTAGTCTTTGGCAATAAATCACTAAATCTAGCCCACCCTCAGGAATGAGAAATAAACTTCATTTCCTATAGGGAGAAGTATCTACATATATTATTTGAAATTGTTCTATGAGAAAGATTTGTTGGCCAGCCGCTGTGGCTCATGTCTATAATCCCAGCACTTTGGGAGGTGGAGACCTGTGGATTGCTTGAGCCCAGGCTTGAGCCTGGGCGACATGGCAAAACCGTGTTTCTACCAACAAAATACAAAAATAATTAGCCGGGCATGCTGGCACATGCCTGTAGTCCCAGCTGCTAGGGAGGCTTAGGTGGGAGGATCGCTTGAGCCTGGGAGGTTAAGGATGCAGTGAGCCATGATTGTGCCACTGCATTCCAGACTTGGTAACAGAGTGACACCCTGTCTAAAATATAAATATAAATAAATATATATATATATATGAAAAAAAGAGATTTGTCTCTCTCTATGAATCATTTATATTCATATGGACTCATGTAAAACCCTGATCTAAAACCTGTGTTCTTTTTGCTACACCAGGCAAGAAATGACAAAGACCTATACCAAGGCACTGGTTTCAGGGAAATTTATTTCAGATTTCAGAGATTTTTAAGAGGTAGATTTGATAAGACTAGGTAATTTTGGATGTGACTAAGTGATGGAGAAGGGAGTGTTTTAAAATGACACTCAGCTTTTGGGTTGAATGGCCGGATATAAAATTTTGGTTTGAAACTATTTACTAACAAGTATGAAGATTGCTTCTATTTAGCCTATATGTTGTTGGCCCAGCTTTACTGAGTGCCCTGTTCTCCCAAGTCAGACAAGACAGCTTTTCTTTCTGATTGAAGCACCAGGGCCCCCTAGTGGACAGCCCTCTGGGTTCCCTTTCTCATCTGAAGGACTCAATATTTTTGTTTGGCTTTGGGTTTTTTCCGTTAGTTCATTTGCAGAGCAGAGATGCTTGATTCTATTTTCTGTCTAATAGTAAATCCTTCCCACTTCAGAGTTATCAATTCACCCCCATTTGTGACTACCTCATGTTCAATAAGAGGAAGTTACCCAGTCACAATCGGTCCCATGCTCTAGTACTCTAAACCAGAGGGTACTTGATCCTTATTTTTTAACAGATGTATCCACCTCTTCTATCTGGCACCATATTAATACGAATTCTTTGTTTCAGAGCCATCATCAACCACTTTAACCCCAAAATTGAGTCCTACGCTGCTGTGAATCACATATCCCAACTGTCAGAGGAGCAGGTAAGCCACTACTTTCCCCAGATGACCTAGTTGGTGGCTAGGATCAAGCAGTTGCCTTCTCTCTGATGGCAGGGGGATTCTGTGACTGAGCTTTTGTGGTAGTGACCAGGGCCAGGCTGCTGAGAGGAATTAGTGTGGGGTTGGTTGATAGTACTTTTAATACAGAGTGATGCTGTCTGCGTTTGTGCCATCTGAAGGGTTTGTTAATTATATAGAAGATATGTAGGTGAAAATCTGGTGAATTATTTGTTTTAGAGTGTGATAAGGCATTTCTTTTTTTAAAATTTTAGGCAGAGAGTCATTTTGATTTTTGAAAATAAGAAATGAGAACTTAGAAATGGATGAAACTGCCAATTAGAAAAACCCTGAGTTCAGCTTAATTTGAAGCTATTTGGCTCGTTAAAACATGAGCCCTCATTGGGACAGATTTTCCTTAGTAATTGAGTTCTCTTTGCCTTGAGCAATTATTTTTGAGGAGGTTTTTCTGTGGTATGGACTGAGTTAGAGATGCAGATAGCCTTGTGTCTTTGTTTTCTTTAAATCTGGCCTGATTTCCCCTTCTCCCAGAGTGCCTGCACTCAGCTCTGCATTATATAAAAGTACAGATGAGGCGTTAGCGTGGCATGGGATTGAACTTGATGTGTCAAAATGAAACTCTTGAGTCCTTTTTTAAAAAGCACTAAATAAGACATCCTATTCACATGGTTCCCTTTCCTTTTCATCCTACTCCCAAATTGGAGGGGCCAGGGTATAGACCCCAAGCCAGTAGGAAGACCATATGTGCCCTGTTCTTCCTTTTTTGCCAGTGCATCTTTGTAACCCTTGTTTGAGCTTCTTGCTGGCAGAGCCAGCCAGCCAGCTATGATTTGACCATGTGTTTCAGTGTTCCTCAAAGCTATTCAGTTCTCCCAGTGAAGCACCAAGCAAGCCTTTTTCCTAATAGACAAGCTTCTCAGTATTCCCACCAGTGGCTCTTTTCTCAGCCAGATGGATAGGACTCTATTAGTCTGTCAGTTGTTCCCTTTGACATATTTGTTCTCTTTTGTGAGCCCAGCTGTGAGAATCCATCCTCACATTTAAAACTGCTTTTATAAATGGCCTTCATTTCCTTTTTTCCTCTCTGCCTGTGGAGCTATCCTGAATCCTGTTCTTTGATGCTGTGCTGTCTGTGAGGTGCTTTGTGATGCTACCATTTTCTTGTTGGACTAGTTCACATTAATTTTACTATATCATTTTTATGCAAAATAATTCAACATCTTGAGTTTTATGCAGTAAGAGAAGGGGTGACTTTCCTACCACAGTGAGCTCTGGTTAGTCTAAAAGCTTTTTTTTTTTTTTAAAAAAAAAAAAAAGGAGACATTTACTCTGTCAGCCACGTGCAGTATTCATCCCCCAGCAGCTTGGGAAGGTCAAGCTGAAATCTTTCTCCAGCAGTAGCTGCCACAGACCAATAATAAAAATCCTTTCTGGCACACAAGGCAATCTGTGAAAGGATGATTAGCAAGCACGTGTCCTCAGCCTCCTCCAACTTCTTTCAAAGTTAAATGAAATGATGAAAGTGCCTCTCAAAAAGAGTGCGCAGGCCAGAGACGAAGCGATTTCAATGGAGAGGGATTTCATAGGAGAATGGGGAAAGGATAGCAAGATTGATTTACTTGGTCAATATGTAATTGTATACCTGCTGGGTGCGGTGGCTCACACTTGTAATCCCAGCACTTTGGGAGGCTGAGGTGGGCAGATTGCTTGAGCCCAGGAATTCAAGACCACCCTGTACCACATGGTGAAGCTGTCTCTACAAAAAAAAAAAAAAAAAAAAAAAGAGAGAGAGAGAGAAAGAAAAATTAGCCAGACGTGGTGGTGTGCACCTGTAGTCCCAGCAACTTGGGAGGCTGAGGTGGGAGCTGAGGTGAACCCAGGGAGGTTGAAGCTGCAGTAAGCTGTGATCATGCCACTGCACTCCAGCCTGGGTGACAATGAGACCCTGTCTCAAAATAATAGTAATAATAATAATTATCATTATTATTGTATACCTTCTATAATATAAGTTGTGGTGCTAAGGTAAGTGGGGATCAGTGGTGAATAATCTTAGTCATTGCTCTCATGGAGTCTTTGTGTACTCATTACCTCTTTTAATAGTCCTTTTCACTTGGGGGTTTGGAGGAGGGTGATACTATTCTGGGACCTTCTTGAGAGCCACCCTCAAAATAGTTGTTGCTTCTCTTCTCTAACTGATTTTGAAGGGTGCTAAATGACAGCATTACAGTACACTTGGTTTATTCTCAGCACTATCAGATTAGAGGTATTTGACTGCCTTGTTAATCTCCAGCATGTGTTGGAGCACTTCTCTCCCTTCACTTATGAGCATTAATGTGAATGTCACTTAATGTTAACAGTATTCATGGCCTCTCAAAGAGCTAGTTTTATGGATTGCAGTAGGGCCCTGCAGTTGTTAGCAGCAGACTGAGTAGAGAAAAAAGTCAAGAACTTAATCCTCAATAGATTCTAAAGTACCCCTAAAATAAAACCTAAAGAGCATGGATAGATGTTAAATGGAATTTGTTACATTTAGTAAGTTAGCAGAGAAGACAGGGCACTTTCCTATGTCTGCCTGCCCAGCCTGCCATTTTTTTCTGGCAAAGAGATTTGTGAATTCTTGAATTCTGACAACCCCTAGACACATTCCAGCCTCTGTTTGAGGCATTTCAAGGTGGTACTTGTAAATCCATTATTGCATATTAAACAAAGCCCAGCCTTTCACACTGGGGTTTCTTTTCAGACATCCAGAAGGTAAATGACATTTTTTTGTTAATTGTCATTGGCTTCATCATTCGTGATAAAGTTTTTAATCAGTTGATACCCTCAATGTGACTGAAGGATCATTCTTTTTTGTTTGTTTGTTTTTGAGACAGAGTCTCACTCTGTCACCCAGGCTGGAGTACAGTGGCACGATCTTGGCTCACTGCAGCCTCTGTCCCCTGGGTTCAAGCGATTCTCCTGCCTCAGCCTCCCAGGTAGCTGGGATTAGAGGTGCATGCCACCATGCCTGGCTGATTTTTGTTTTTTTTAAGTAGGGTTTCGCCATGTTTGCCAGGTTGGTCTTGAACTCCTGACCTCAAATGAGCCACCTGCTTTAGCCTCCCAAAGTGCTGGCATTACAGGCATGAGCCACTGCACCCAGCCTGGTCATACATTTTTTTAATGTAATAAACTGTATGTATTTTTATGGTATATATGCAGGTGCTATATTTGTCTGGGGTTAATTGTGAAGCTTGTTCATTTTTACCTCTTTTTTTTTTATATGTGGTAGAATATACATAACATAAAATTTACCATTTTAACCCCCTTTTTTTTTTTGAGATGGAGTCTTGCCCTTGTTGCCCAGGCTGGAGTGCAATGGCGCGATCTTGGCTCACCGCAACCTCTGCTTCTCGGGTTCAATCAATTCTCCTGCGTCAGCCTCCCTAGTAGCTGGGATTACAGGCACCCACCACCACGCTCAGCTAATTTTTTGTATTTTTTAGTAAAGATGGGGTTTCACCATGTTGGCCAGCCTGGTCTCAAAACTCCTGACCTCAGGTGATCCACCCGCCTCGGGCTCCCAAAGTGCTGGGATTACAGGCGTGAGCCACTGTGCCCAGCCCATTTTAACCCTTTTTAAGTGTACAGTTCAGTGGCATTAAATACATTCACATTGTTGTGCAACCATCTCTGCTCTCCTTCTCTCCAGGGCTTTTTCATCATTCCATACTGAAACTCTATATCCATTAAACAGTTACTCCCCATTTCCCCTACCCTGAGCCCCTGATAACCACTGTTCTACTCTGTCTCTATGAATTTGACTATTCTAGGTACTTTAATGGAATCATACAGTATTTGGACTTTTGTGACAAGCTTATTTCACTTAGCATCATGTATTCAAGATTCATCCATATTGTACCATGTGCCACAATTTTGTTCCTTTTTAAGGTTTAATAATATTCCATTGCATGTATATACATTTTGTTTATTCATCCATTGGTGGACATTTGGGTTATCTCCACCTTTCAGCTATTATGAATAATGTTGCTTTTGAACATTGGCGTATTACAACTATGTGTTGGAGTCCCTGCTTTCAATTCTTTTGTGTATATACTCAGAAGTGGAATTGCTGGATCACAGGATAATTCTATGTTTAACATTTTGAGGAACTGCCAGACTGTTTCTCAGATTGGCTGTACCATTTTACATCCCAATTTCTCCACATCCTTGCCAACACTTGTTTTCTGTTTTTTTTTTAATAGCCATCCTAATGGGTATGACGTAGTATCTCATTGTAGTTTTGATTTGCATTTACCTAATGATATATTGAGCATCTCTTCATGTACATATTAGCCATTTGTAGATCATCTTTGGAGAAATTCTTTTCAAGTCCTTTGCACATTTCTTAATTGGGGAATTTTTTTGTTGTTGTTAACTGTTAGGAATTCTTTATATATTCTGGATGTTAATTCCTCATTAGATATCTGATCTGCAAATACTCTACTCCATTCTGTGGTTTGTCTTTTTACTCTATTGTTAGTGTCCTTTATGCATAAGCTTTTAAAAACTTTGGTGAAGTCCAATTTGCCTGTTTTTTTTTGTTTGTTTGTTTTGTTTTGTTTTTGTTGTTGTTGTTGCCTGTGCTTTTGGTGTCAAATCCAAGAAGTCCAAGAAGTTATTGCCAAATCTAATGTTATGAAGCTTTTCCCCTATGTTTTCTTCTAAGAGTTTAGTTTTAGCTCTTATGTTTAGATATTTAATCCATTTTGAGTTAATTTTTATATACAGCATTAGGTAAGGGCATTTTGACCTCTTTTTGTATTTAACATACCTTTATGAATAAAGATTACGGAGAAGATACAACTTGCTTTTCTAAGAGCTATGAAACTACTCATAGTTTATTCCTTACTGGATTTGGCTTGTTTCTGGGACACCTTTCAAAATTGTCCTTCAGGCCCCTTGTCCCCTCTTCAACTGAGATTTAGTTCCTTTCTCTCTCCAGTGTGGCTTTTTAGTAAGCATGCATCCCTACCTGGTAGAATCATTTGATATGTCCAGGAAAATTGATCAGCCAAGGAATAAGGATTCCCAAAAAGATGAAACTAAGGGGTCAGACTGGAAGATTTAGAATGCATACCAGCTTAAGTGGTTTCTGACATTAGGAACTTTGAGTCTACTTTGATTCTCTCCATTTCTAAGGCTACTTTCTCTCTGCTTCCAGTTGTGTTCATCTCCTCTAGCTCTCTTCTCTTTTAAAGAGGACCGCAAATAATGCAACCTGAGCACATCAGTCACCCTTGTAAGCCTTCCGAAATTCTGGTCTTCAGCTTGTCCCTCGCTAGTGGCCTGCACCCTAATTTTCTTTTTGTTTGCTTGGCGGGTGTGTGTGTGTGTGTGTGTGTGTGTGAGATCTCCCTCTGTTGCCCAGAATGGAGTGCAGTGGCATGATCATAATTTACTACAGCCTCGACCTCCTGGGTTCAAGTGATCCTTCCATCTTATCCTGCTGAATAACTAGGACCACAAGTGCATGCCACCATGCCTGGCTAATTTTTTAAATTTTTTGTAGAGATGGAGTCTCACTATATTTTCCAGGCTAGTCTCGAACTCCTGGGCTCAGGCAATCCACCCACCTTTGCCTCCCAAAGTGCTGGGGTTATAGGCATGAGCACCAGGCTGCACTCTGATTTTCATTCCCCTGGGAGGATAGTTGTCATACAACTTGTGTTGCATAGATAAACCCCATGACCATTTTGTCTGTACTAAATAAATGTAGATGGCAGGTATTTAAGAGAAACTTAAATACTTGGGTTTGGATGCTTTGAGGATATCCTGTCTTGATGAGGCAATGCTACTACCTTCACAGAAGTATGCTGAAATGGAAGAGCTCTCCAGGGAGGTTCTTCTGCCTACCCCATCCTATCTGACACTCTTAGATACTCCCTCTCCTCTATTCTTACTTTTATTATTTTTTTTTAGAGACAAGGTCTTGCTCTGTCACCCAGGCTGGAGTGCATGGAGTGATCATTGCTTACTGTAACCTCAAACTCCTAGGTTCAAGCGATCCTCCTGCCTTGGCCTCCTGAGTAGCTAAGACTACAGGAGCATGCTACCATGCCCCACTAAATTTTTTTCAGTTTTGTGGAAAGAGGAGTCTCAATGTGTTGCCCAGGCTGGTCTCACACTCTTGGCCTAAAGTGATCCTCCCATCTTGTCCTCCCAAAGTGCTGGTATTATAGGTGTGAGCCACTGCACCCAGCCCTATTCCTACTTTTCAAACTAGGAAAAAGATTTTGATATTATCAGCTGCATCATATTAGAAATGCATCCACGTACGTGCTAGAGGTCTGCCACGAAGTTTCTTGGAATGATACTAATTCACAGGTGATGCTTAACCTAAGGTCCAAGAATAAATAGGCTTTAGAGAGTTAGTACACACCCTGAAATTGTGTGTGAAAATATGCATATGTCCTTTTTAAAATTATTATTATTGAAGAGGGTTCATCTTTCCTAAGATCCTCAACTGGTCTTTGACTTCCCTTTTACAACATTTTAAGAATCACTAGCTTAGCTACTTTGAAAAGTACCTCATACTTAGGCTGGGTGTGGTGGCTCATGCCTGTAATCCCAGCACTTTGGGCGGGCAAGGCGGGCAGATCACGAGGTCAGGAGTTCGAGACCAGCTGGCCAACATGTTGAAACCCTGTCTCTACTAAAAATACAAAAATTAGCCGGGCATGGTGGCATGTGCTTGTAATCTCAGCTACTCAGGAGGCTGAGGCAGGAGAATTGCTTGAACTTGAGAGGCAGAGATTGCAGTGAGCCGAGATCGTGCCACTGCACTCCAGCCTGGGCGACAGAGCAAGACTCCATCTCAGTGTTGGGTGGGAAAGTAAAGTACCTCATACTTTTCTTTCCTCCAAAGCCATCAGACCTTTGAAAATGCTCATTGAGGATCTTGAGCTTTTAGGCTGTTCACCGTTTGAGTTGGTTTACAAATGCTGTGACATGGTGATTTATATCTGCTCTTACTTCCTTATAGGCAAGAGAGGGCTTCATAGCAGACCTTTACAGAAGATTTTCTAGAGCCCTGAATATCTAGCAAACATAGTGGCAACTTAGGGTTCAAAGCAAAACCTTCTTTGAACACCTTATTCCTTAAGCTTTCAGTCACATTCCTGACCAATTTTATGCCTTTGAAATATCCCACTGGAAAGCAAGTAAATTATTGGCCCATTCTTGCATTCTTCAACCTTCATTCAGCTATCAGTATCTTGGTATTTAGTGCCTGCTCTTTGCCTCTGAGTGTGCTAGGCATTTGAGGGATACAAAAGGGCTTTTGCTATCAGAGGATGGAATAGTGCAAGAGATGGTTTAAGGCAACTTGTTATTGTTAGCTTACCAGTGGATCTATTCTGTTAGGGAAAGATCTCTGCAGACAATCAGAAAAGTGGTCAGAAAAGGCCATACGGAGGAGAAAAGAATGGAGTTTGGCCTTGAAAGAGGAGTGGTAGGGATTGGATAAAATGAAGAGGCATAAATTGTAAAGTGTACTCAAAACCAGGATCTGAAAAGGACAGAAAGAATAGAAAATAGTTCTAGCAAGTCATGTCTTTGGGTCACAGAACACCCAGAGGCTGGATGATTTAAAATATGTCAGTCATTTAATCACAGCCTCCATAATCCCTATCGCACTGACTCTCATCCCTGTCCTAAGTGTACTGCCTTTGGTTCAATTCACAAGCATTTATTAGGGGCCTGGTATGAGCCAGCCTCAATGGTAGACATATGATGAGGCCTATTGGGTAAATCTTTTTTTTAAAATTGCAGTTAAAAAAAACCCCACACATGTCACTACTTACCGTTTTAATCATGTTAAGTGTATGGTATAGTACACTTAACAATATGTCCATTGTTGTGCCACAGATCTCTAGAACTTTTTCATCTTGCAGAATTGAACAACTTCCCCCCAACCCTCAGCTGCCCTGGTAACCACCAGCCTGCTTTCAGTTTTTAAGAGTGGGCACACTTATCTTGAAGGTGGTGTTCTTTTCAACCAAGTGACCCAGGAGCTTGCTAAAAATCTCTCTACATATAAATTTAGAAATTTTCTGGGAAGAGCAGAAAGGTGTTCTGCTGGTACCCTCATATGTCACAGGGCCATAGGATGGTGTAACCAGATTCCTAAGTTTAAGTCTCCACTCTAACTAGGGCTTTGGATTTTGGATTCAGAGGAGACCTGTATAATGTTGTATAAGACATATCTTCAAAAGTATTATGACAAAACAGGTTATTCATTTGTGGGAGTAGGTTAAAGAAAATTAAGGAAATAACATGCTTTATATCTGAATGAGTGAAGGTTATGTTAGAAGCTGCTAAGTATTTTCTTATTTCCATCTATTGGTAATCTTGCTAAACCATTTTTGTCTTCTCCTGATCCTAAGAGTCATTATAAATAACTGCTGGCTCTTTAGAAATACAAATGATGCCTAGCTTTATTTTCCCAGAAAGGATCGAAGCACTCATAAGAGGAGAACCCCAGTTTGTGGGGAACAACATTGTTAGGGGCCCTGGGTGGCATCCATTACGTGAGAACATCCAGGAGAAGAACAGAAAGATCTTGGGGAAAGGGCCAGAGAACACAAAGACTTATGAGGAAAATGGAGCCTGATACTTCAGCTTGAGAGTCGTTGGTCCTTGGCGTACTAGTAAATGTTTAACAATTGCTGGGGGGCCGGGGGTTGTGGAGCTGTGAGTGGTGGGAGGGGAGCTGATTGGTAGTGTTCGGTGTGAATGCTCCCACCATGGCTACTAATGTGAAGCCAGCTGGCTGTCACCATTTTTGAAATTTAACAGTCAGCTCTCACAAGCCAAGCCTCTGTGTGAGCCATCTCCAGCACACCACAGGTTGTTGAGGAAGACTGTAAGAAGGGGGCTGTAAAGCTGTGTGGCGGGGTTTTCTGAGCAGGAGGTGAATGTGACCCACTTTCCCCATGGGAGCCACCTAAGTAAAAGTTTTCCCCAGGGAAGCTTTGGATCTCAAATAGGGTAATTGAGGCCTCTCTAAGCAGCCCACTCTGAGAATTCCTGTGGTGTTTTCTCATCTTAGAACAGGACCCGAACCATCACACAAGGCAGCCTTGGCAGAGACATGTGCTGAAGAGCTGAGATGTAAGACTCCCACGACAGCCATAACTCAGTTTTCTGTGCTTGGCATCATGTTTTTCTACAACAGCCTGTATTGTAGTCTTTCACTGCCTCCCTGTAGCCATGAATGATGGTTGCTTTGCGAATTCTCGAGTGTGAGCATGTGACACCGGCACTGGCCATCCAACCCTGCCTTCTTTGTTGCCTTTGTTTAGATTCTGGCATTTCAGCTGACCTGTTTGCAGAAAAATGTTTGATATGAGTTGTTCACCGGATTCACTACTGCCAGAAAGACACGTCAGAAGTGGGGATGAGGTGGGGTTTTACAAGCTGCTTATCCTCAGTAATCATCTTTATGTTATATAGGGCATCTTGAGAAGGCCCACATGCGAGGGTCAGCTGAACAATGATGTGCTGCTAGGATGACCACTGTCTTCCCTGGACCAGGAGATAAGCTGCACTGCCAGAGGCCCTAGATAGGAGAGAAAGTGTTTCAGATTTAAAATACGTGCAAATAGATAAAAGGAAAGGAACAACTGGTAGTTTTTGAGCTGCACACTTTTATATGGGTTATTTACTTAATTCTTATGTCATAGGTCGGGCATGGTGATTCATGCCTGTAGTCCCAGCACTTTTGGAGGCCGAGGTGGGCGGATCAACTGGGGCCAGGAATTTGAGACCAGCCTGGCCAACATGGTGAAAACCCATCTCTACTAAAAATACAAAAAAATTAGCAAGGCGTGGTGGTGGGCACCTGTAATCCCAGCTACTCGGGAGGCTGAGACAGGAGAATCTCTTGAACCCAGGAGGTGGAGGTTGCAGTAAGCCAAGATTACGCCATTGCACTCCAGCCTGGGCAACAAGAGTGAAACTTAAAAAAAAAAAAAAAAATTCTTATGTAAATTATTTGGGGTAGATGTACTTATCATTTTATAGATGAGTACACTAAAGAATCTAAGTAATTTCTTCAGGGTCACACAGCTATTAGTGGTAAAGCCATAGAGTGAACCTAGGTCTGTCTGACTACAAAGCCTGAGCTTTTTCAGTTTTATCAGGCTGGGGCATATGTGACAACCTAAGTGTGTCAGATATTCTGAAGGAAAAAGTACAGGAAAGTGGAGAAAGAAGGAAGGAGAGTGAAGATAATGGCTTATTCCCGGGGGATGGGGGAAGGTCTTAGACTGGGAAGGGCCCATTCAGTTGAGGACAAAAAACACTGACGAGGCGTCTGGGGACTGTGCCTGCCAGTCAGGCAGAAATGTGTAAGTGGAAGATCCTGGCACAGTATGGTAACTTTATAAATGAGAGAAGAGACTCTTTATTCCAATCAAGTGTCTCAGAAAGGTCCCTATGAGAAATAAAGTTTCTTCTACACACTAAAGGGACGTGATGACTTAATTTTTTTTTTTTTTAATTTTTAGAGACAAGGTCTTGTTCTGTCATGCAGGCTGGAGTGCAGTAACACAATTATAGCTCACTGCAGGCTCCAATTCCTGGGCTCAAGTGATCCTCCTGCCTCAGCCTCTCAAAATGCTGGAATTACAGGCATGAGCCACCATACCCAGCCAACTTTTTTTTTTCCTTTTTCTTTTTTTGTTTTTTTTTCTTGAGATGCAGTTTCTCTCAGTCACCCAGGCTGGAGTGCAGTGACACGATTCTAGCTGACTGCAACCTCGAGCTCCTGGACTCAAGCAGTCTTCCTGCCTCAGCCTCTCGAGTAGCTGGGACTACAGGCATGTGCTACCATGTCTGGCTATTTTTTTTTTTTTGATAGAGATGGGGTCTTACTATGTTGCCCAGGCTAGGCTGGTCTCAAACTTTTGGCCTCAAGCAGTTCTTCTGCTTTGGCCTCCCAAAGCACTGGGAATACAGACGTGAGACATGATGCCTTACCTAAAATATTTTTACTTACTTATTTTGGTAGATAATATACTGTTCAAGATCTAAAAGGTAGCACACGGAATTTTTATTTATTATTTATTTATTTTTGAAACAGAGTCTCTCTCTGTCGCCCAGGCCAGAGGGCAGTGGCGTGATCTCTGCTCACTGCAACCTCTGCCTCCTGGGTTCTAGCAATTCTCCTATCGTAACCTCCCGAGTAGTTGGGATTACAGGCGCACTTACCACACCTGGCTAATTTTTTGTATTTTTAGTAGAGACAGGGTTTCGCCATGTTGGCCAGGCTAGTCTCGAACTCCTGACCTCAGATGATCCATCTGCCTTGGCCTCACAATGTGCTGGGATTATAGGTGTGAGCCACTGTGCCCAGCCAGCACAGTGAATTTTAATTGTTTTTAAAATAGCGATTCCATTTTGTTTATAGAAAAAAAAAAGACTAAAAATGAATGTCCCACAGCCAAGCTGGATGAATGCAGAGGTCACTGGCAGAGAAGAGCTCAGCTTATTATTCATCTCTATCACTGTCAGCATTTTCTCCAATTAGGTATGAATTTTGAAATGACTGTCATATAAACTTCTGGGCTTTCTCAGGCAACTGTGAAGCTTCATTGGCAGTGCATAGAAGGGAACAGTGATGGAGGTAGTAGGAATTCTAGTAATTGTCAGCTTTAAAAAAATTTTTTTTTTTTTTAAAGACAAAGTCTCACTCTGTCACCCAGGCTGGAGTGCAGTGGCACAATCACAGCTCACTGCAACCTCCACCTCCCGGGTTCAAGCGATTCTCCTGTCTCACCTGAATAGCTGGGATTACAGGCACACGCCATCACGCCTGGCTAATTTTTGTATTTTTAGTAGAGATGGGGTTTCACCATGTTGGTCAGGCTGGTCTCAAACTCCTGACCTCGTAATCTGCCTGCCTCGGCCTCCCAAAGTGTTGGGATTACAGGCGTTAGCCACTGCACCCAGCCTAAAAAAATTTTTTTTTGAGACAGGATTTCACTCTATATCCCAGGTTGGACTGCAGTGGTGTGATCATGGCTCACTGCAGCCTTAATCTCCTGGGCTCCAGTGATCCTACCACCTCCACCTCCTGAATAGCTCACTGCAACCTCGAGCTCCCGGACTCAAGCAGTCCTCCTGCCTCAGCCTCTCGAGCAGCTGGGACTACAGGCATGTGCTACCACGTCTGGCTATTTTTTATTTTTTTTGGTAGAGATAGGGTCTCACTGTGTTGCCAGTCCCAGCTGAGTAGCTGGGACTACAGGTGTGCGCCACCACACCCTGCTAACTTTTAAAATTTTTTGTGGAGACCAGGTCTCCTTATGTTGCCTAGGTTGGTCTTGTACTCCTGGGCTCAGGTGATCCTCCCACCTCAGCCTATCCAAATGCCGGGATTACAGGTGTGAGCCACCGCACCTGGCCAGTAGTCAGCTTTTGAAGAGGTTACTGGAGACAGGAGTCCTTGCTTTCTTGGTTTAACCCAAGAATTATCTTTTATCCTGGTTACTAGATGAGAGTGTTCAGGTAGGAATTCCCACTTCAGTTTTTTTAGTCACCTTTTTTCCAGTAGATCTTGGGGAAGTTCTTTTTGTTTCCACTGCAACATCTTCCCTCAGGAAGTGGCTCAGAACTCTTTAAGATGTTCTTGGAAGAACATGGTTTGTCATTACAGTAACATCAGAGGCCACATGTGTCATTATGCAAACTTGTATCTCTATTATTAACTGTGTTGATTGGAAATGTTTTTCCCAAGTACCATAACAGCATTTTGACTTTTTATAGTAATCTTGTTGAAAAGATGTGGTCTTCAAAATGACCCACCTAGTTAGAGCCCACAGATGGGATTTCTGTTAAAAGATTCTGTTTGGGAGGGATAGATAAATGAGGTCTGGCAAAGAGACAGAGATCCCGTGTTGAATTACCAGTGAGTTAGGAACAAAGACAATGTTTTCTCTCTCCCTTTCTTAGATGTGATGTTTCCAAGAAAAGAAATTTCAGGTGGGGAGGACAGAGATGTCAGCCTCTTGGTTGGAGCTAGGGAGAGTGCCCTGCATGCAACAAGCCATAGAAAATAAGTTGTTTTTTTTTTTTTTTTTTTTTGAGATGGAGCCTTGCTCTGTCGCCAGGCTGGAGTGCAGTGGCGCTATCTCAGCTTACTGCAATCTCCGCCTTCCGGGTTCAAGCAATTCTCCTGCCTCAGCCTCCTGAGTAGCTGGGACTACAGGCGCGTGCCACCATGCCCAGCTGATTTTTTTGTATTTTTAGTAGACATGGGGTTTCACCATGTTGGCCAGGATGGTCTCAATCTCCTGACCTTGTGATCTGCCCGACTCGGCCTCCTAAAGTGTTGGGATTACAGGCGTGAACCACTGCGCCAAGCCAGAAGAGAAGTTCTAATGTGATATTTGTGTATCATGTTTCCCCAGCCCCATTAGTGTGATTGGATGCCTTGCTTGTGCAAGGTAAGGACCTGTGTGTGTTGGATCTGTAATTAGTGAAAAAAAGAAAAAAGCTTCACAAGGGGTGTCTAGGGCTTCAACCAAATAAAGTCAGGGAGGTGGGGGTGACTGCCCAGGGAAATTAAAGTCATGTCACCACCCTTTTAACCAACTGATGGCCTCTCACTAATCACCCACTGTGAGGTTCATTATCTGCTTCACCTTGCTGAAGGGCAGAGTCAGCCTATCAGATCAATAAATCTGAGGGCAGTGTAGAGCTCTTTGGTAGCAGGCTTGAAAGGCATGGATGGACTGGGAGAACTGGCCAGCTTAAATTGGGTCTGAAACTGGGTTTGGTCCTGAAGTATAGGAAATGAAAATAGAAAGGGGGGAAAAAACCTTCTGCCTATTATATACAGGGTGGCTGTATACAGGGAAGTTACCTTTTAAAAGGCAGAACAACTATCTGTAGTCTAAGAGATTTGTGTCTACCTTTTGGATCATTGTTTCCAAATAATTATATTGAGTGTTTGTACCCTGGAGAGAGATTCAGATTATCTTGGATAGAAAGTCACTATAAGCACCCAGTGGAGGGAGGGATGCTCACTCGATGAGGTCTGTGGTTTTGTTACAGTTCGCTACTCTAGTTCCTGTGCTTTTGGCTATTTTTTTTTTTTCAGTCACTTTGGGCTACTAAAGTGTTGTGGAAAAAAAGAACCAATTCTTGCCTCCAAAGGAAGCTCTCAGGACCTGCTTTGGTCTAAGAATTCTCAGCTTCTAAGTATCTTTAGTGCAGTAAGGCAGAGAAGGGTTGCCCTGGCTTAATGTTCCGCAGATTTATTTTCTTCCATGCAGAAGTACAGAAGTATGTACGCTGTGCCAAGCCAGGGGCTACAAAAATGCAAAAACCATACCTGCCCTTGAGGCCTTCATGGAGTATGTATCAGGATCACTACTTTCATTTTAGACCTTTGCCTGTGTGCACACCTTAGACCTCTCAGCTGATGTACATGAACGGAGTCTTCACAGCAGTCCCACCTGACCCTTTGTAAGCCTAAGAAGGACAGATAAACCTCCCCGTTCTCCTTGAACCCCCAGTGAAATATTGTCTCTTTGCAGATCCATAAACTATTGGCCCTTATTCAGAGTGAGTTGCCACAAGCAGAGCCATGATCATGTAGTATCTCTCATTCTTGCCTCAGTTTCATAAAAAAGGCAAAAGCAGAACCCTCGTTAGGTGTCCTTAGTAATGGCAGGACCCCAGAAGTTCCTCAGCTTAGCAAATGATTGAGCTTATTAGAAAGCCCAGGTAATTACACCCACTAAAAAACCTTCCTGTAGCTAGTCCCCAGCTGAGAATAGTTCCAGGCACTGTTGTTTGCTACCTGGAGTCAATTTAATTTGTCAGGGAGGATTATGGGGTTGTTCAGGGGTGGTGGGGAAGAGCACAATGGGAGGACTCATTAGCATTGTTGAAATACTAACTCCTAGCTTAGAGTTACTGATGTATCAGTCTGAATCATTCTTGTCCCAACCCAAAATGGAATATTAAGACCAAAAATGACACAAGCTTACTGCCCATGGCCATACATTTTTTTTTTGACTAGTCCTGATTTGCTGGACTTTTAAATTTAACTTTATTGAGGTATAATTAACATATAATAAAATATGTTTATGTAACCACCACCACAATCAAGATGTAGAACATTTCCATCACCCAAAAAATGTTCTCTTATACCACTTTGCAGTCAGTCCTCACCCCAAGTCTGGGCCATAGACAACGGCTGATATGATTATTTTCACTGTAGAGTAGATCTGTCTTTTTAAAAATTTTATATAAATAAACTAATGCAATATGTACTCTTTTATGTCTTCTTTCTGAGATTCATATACATCATGACACTCCTTGGGTGTTTACTCAAGAGAAATGAAAATATATATCCACCCAAAGATCTGTACACAGATGTTCATAGCGGTATTATTTAGGATGACCAAAAAGTAGAAACAACCTAAATGTCCATTAGCAGTTGAATGAATAAACAAAGTGTGATTCATTCATACCATGGAATATTATTCAGCCATAAAAAAAGAAGGAGGTACTGATACATGTTACAACATGGATCACTCTCAAAAACATTATGATAAGTGAAAGAAACAGTCACAAAAGACCACATATTGTGTGATTTCTTTTATTTGAAATGCCCAGAAAATCTATAGAGACAGAAAGTAGATTAGTGGTTGCTTGGGCTACAGGTGGGGAGCAGGGTGGGGAGGGACTGCTAATGAGTACGGGATTTCTTTTTGGGTTGATAAAAGTGTTTTAAACTTAGATCATGGTAATAGTTACGTAACTGTGTGAATATACTAAAATCATTGAATTGTACACTTTAAGCGAATGAATTTTATAATATATAAACTATATCTCAATAAATATGTTGAAAGAAAAAAAGAAACTGCCACGCTGGGTTTTTTGTTTGTTTTTGTTTTGTTTTGTTTTTTTGACAGAATCTTGCCCTGTCCCCCAGGCTGGAGTGCAGTGGCGCGATCTCGGCTCACTGCAACCTCTGCCTCCTGGGTTCAAATGATTCTCCTGCCTCAGCCTCCTGAGCAGTTGGGATTACAGGTGCACACTACCACGCCCAGCTAATTTTTTTTTTTTTTTGTATTTTTAGTAGAGACGGGGTTTCACTATGTTGGTCAGGCTGGTCTTGAACTCCTTACCTCATGATCCGCCCACCTCGGCCTCCCAAAGTGCTGGGATTACAGACGTGAGCCACTGTGCCCGGCCTGCCACGCTGTTTTCAAAAGTGGTTCTACCATTTCTCATTCCAATCAACGAACATACGAAAGTTCCAACTACACCATGTCTTTGCCACACTGGGAATTATGAGTCTTTAATTTTAGCCATTGGGTATGTAGTATACTTATTACAGCTTTTTTTTTTTCTTTTTTGGGATGGAGTCTTGCTATGTTACACATGCTGGCGTGCAGTGGCGTGATCTCGGCTCGCTGCAATCTTCACCTCCTGGGTTCAAGCAATTCTCCTGTCTCAGCCTCCCGAGTAGCTGGGATTACAGGCGCCTACCACCCCACCTGGCTAATTTTTGTATTTTTAGTAGAGATGGGGTTTCACCATGTTGGCCAGGCTGGTCTTGAACTCCTGACCTCAGATGATCCACCTGCCTTGGCTACCCAAAATGCTGGGATTACAGGGATGAGCCACCATGCCCAGCCACTTATTACAACTTTTTAATATTATTAGTTTTAATTTGCATGATGACTAGAGCAAGTTCAAGTGATTCTCCTGCTTCAGCCTCCTGAGTTAGCTGGGTCCACAGGTGCGTGCCACCACGTCCAGCTGATTTTTGTATTTTTAGTAGAGACGGGTTTTCACCATATTGGTCAGGCTGGTCTTGAACTCCTCACCTCAAGTGATCCACCCACCTTGGCCTCCCAAAGTGCTGGGATTACAGACATGAGCCACTGTGCCCGGCTAGAGCAGCTTTTTATGTGGCCATTATATATCTTCTTTTGTGAAGTGTCCAGATCATTTACCTATTTTTAAAATTTGGTTGTTCTTCTTTTCTTAAATTGTATTATTTATGAGTTTTTATATATTTTTGATGCAGGTTGTTACACACACACACACACACACACACGTTGTTACACAGACACACACACACACACTCTCTAAATATTTTCTCCAAGTCAGTAGCTTGCCATTTTTCTTTGCATATTCTCAGTGATGTCTTTCAAATACTAGATATTTTTAAGATCAATTTTAACTTAAGTAGATATTCATGAAGATTAATTTACTTTTTAAAGGAGTCATGCTTTTGTGTTTTATTTAATAAATCTCTGCCTACTTCTGGTTGCAAAAATGTTCATTGTACTTTCTTTTTTTCTTTTTTTTTGAGAGTCTTACTCTGTCGCCCAAGCTGGAGTGCAGTGGCACATTCTCGGCTCACTGCAACCTCTGCCTCCGGGTTCAAGCAATTCTCATGCCTCAGCCTCCTGAGCAGCTGGGATTACAAGCGTGCACCACCACACCCAGCTAATTTTTGTATATTTAGTAGAAACAGGGTTTCACCATGTTGACCAGGCTGGTCTTGAACTCCTGGCCTCAAGTGTTCCACCCACCTCGGCCTCCCAAAGTGCTGGGATTACAAGTGTGAGCCACTGTACCCGGCCTCGTTGTATT
Source organism: Homo sapiens (assembly GCF_000001405.40). Classification (NCBI taxonomy): domain Eukaryota; kingdom Metazoa; phylum Chordata; class Mammalia; order Primates; family Hominidae; genus Homo; species Homo sapiens. The sequence goes on along the minus strand of NC_000010.11, from coordinate 101,871,708 downwards.
TTCTTCTGTAAGTTTTGTAATTCTGGCTTTTACATTTAGTTCTGTGATTCATTTCAAATTAACCTTTTTTATGGTGTGTGGTAAATGTTCTTTCCCCCCCGCCAAATATTCAGTTATGTTGCCATTTGTTGAAAAGACTACTCTTTCTCCATTGAGGTACTTAGGCGCATTGTAAAAAAAAATCAATTGAACATGTATGTGCAGTTTATTTCTGGACCGTCAGTTCTGTTCCATTGGTCTATACGTCTAAATTTATGGTCTACCATGTCTTGATTATTGTATGTCTATAATAAATCTTGAAATCAGCTAACCCTCTAATTTTGTTTTTTTTAAATGTTTTTGAATATTCTAGGTCCTTTCCATTTCTGTATAAAATTAGCTTGTTTCTGCAAAAAGACTGGTGAGATTTTGATTAGAATTGCATTAACTCTATAGATGACTTGGAAGAGAATTGATACTTTTAATAATACTGTTTTCATATCCATAATGGAGTAAACATAATATACCTCTCCATTTATTTAGGTCTGTTAAAATTTTTGTCAGTGTTTCGTAGTGTACTTGTTTTATGCCTATTTTGCTCAATTTATCCCTAAATATTTCATTTTTATGTCATGTAAATGGTATTTTAAATTTCAATTTCCAGTCGTTTGTTGCTAGTTTATGGAAATATACTTGTTTTTTAATTGACTTTTTTTTCCTGCATCCTTGATAAACTTATTTATTAGATTTTTGGGTTTTTTGGTTGTTTGTTTGTTGTTTGGGTTTTTTTGAGACAGGGTCTTACTCTGTCATCCAGGCTAGAGTACAGTAGCATGATCACAGCTCACTGCAGCGTCAACCTCGTCGGGCTCAGGTGATCCTCCCACTTCAGCCTCCTGAGTAGCTGGGACTACAGGCTACCAGGCCTCCCAAAGTTCATTGTTTTCTTGTGATGTCTTTGTTTGGTTTGGGTATTAGAGTAATATTGCTCTTAAAAAATGAGTTGGGGAAGTATTCCTTCCTCCCCTGTTTTTAAAAAGAGTTTGTATAGGATTGGTTTTATTTCTTGCTTAATGTTTAGTAGCATAATCAGTGAAGTCATCTGGACCTATAGTTTTCTTTGTGGGAAGAATTTATACCCAATATTTTATTAGGGAAAATTTCAAACATATAGTAAAGTTGGAAAAAATTATATGGTGAATAGCCACATAACCCTCACCTAAATTCTGTTATTTACATTTCACTCTACTTGCTTTATCACATGTATAACCCATAGGATAGATCTCCATCCATCAATCCATCTTTTTTTAATGTGTTTCAAAGTAAAATGCATATATCAGTATACTTCTGTGGAAAACATTTTAATTGTTAGTTGAATTTCTTTAATAGATTTAGGAATAGTCAGTTTACTACTTGTTCTTGAACCAGTTTTAATCATTTGTGTCTTCAAGGAAGTTATTCATTTATGTAGGTTGTTGAATTTATTGGCATAATTCGTTCATAAAATTCTCCCTGTTCCTTGAAATCCCTGTAGGATTTATAGTGATGCCCTCTCAAATTCATGATATGAGTAATGTGTGTCTTTTCTCTTCTGTTGCTTATCAGCCTGGTTAGAGGTTTGTCAATTTTATTAATCTTTCAAAGAATTAGCTTTTAGTTTCATTGGTTTTCTGTTATTTTTCTTTTGTTTTCTTTTTAAGACAGGATCTCACTTCGTCACCCAGGCTGGAGTGCAGTGGCGCAATCTCTGCTCACTGCAGCCTCCACTTCCCAGGATCAAGTGATCCTCTGGCTTCAACCTCCTGAGTATCTGGGACTACAGGCTTCCGCCACCACACCTAGCTAATTCTTGTATTTTTTGTAGAGATGGAGTTTTGCCATGTTGCTCAGGCTGGTCTCAAACTCTTGAGCTCAAGTGATCCACCCCCCTCAGCCTCTCAAGGTGCTGGGATTACAGGTGTTACCACTATGCCCAGCCTGTTATTTTTCCTTTTCATTGATTTATATGGTTATCTGTATTATTTCCTTCTGTTTGCTTTGATTTAATTTGCTCTCTTTCTAATTTCATAAGGTAGAAATTTAGGTCATTGATTTTAGATCTTATTTTCTAATATGAAAAGTTAGAGCTGTAAATTTTTCCTGTGCTAACAACATCTCACAAATTTTGGTAGGTTGTGTTTTCATTTTCATTCAGTTTAAAATATTTTCTCATTTCTCTGGTGATATATAGTAATGTGTTTCATTTCCATTATTTGGGGATTTTCAAGATATATTTTTGTTACTAATTGCATATTTAATTCCCTGATGGTCAGAAAATATACTCAGTGTGATTACAATCCTTTTAAATTTATTGAGAGTTGCTTTATGGTCCATTGTACAGTCCATCTTGTTGAATGTTCTGTGTGCATTTGAAAAGAATGTGTTCCCTTGTTGTTGAGTTGTTTTCTATAAATCGCTTTTAGAAGTTAAGTATGTTGGTAGCTTTTAAATATTCTCTCTTTACTTATTTTCTGTCTGCTGGTGACCCTTAAACAACACCCAAGTTAGAGGCACTGGCCCCCTGTGCAGTTGAAAATTTGCATATTTTGACTCTTCAAAAACTTAACTGCTAATAGCCTACTATTGACCAGAAGCTTAACCTCTTTTTTTTTTTTTTTTGAGACAGAGTCTCACTCTGTCTCCCAAGCTGGAGTGCAGTGGCACAATTTTGGCTCACTGCAACCTCTGCCTCCCGGGTTCAAACGATTCTTGTGCCTCAGCCTCCCAAGCAGCTGGGATTACAGGCGCCTGCCACCACACCCGGCTAATTTTTGTATTTTTAATAGAAATGGGGTTTCATTATATTGGCCAAGCTAGTCTTGAACTCCTGACTTCAGGTGATCCACCTGCCTTGGCCTCCCAAAGTGCTGGGATTATAGGCGTGAGCCACCGTGCCTGGCCCAGAAGCTTTGCTGATAACATAAACAGTTGATTAACCCATATTTTATATATGTATTATATACTGTACTCTTACAATAAAGTTAGAGGAAAGAAAATGTTATTAAGAGAATCATAAGGAAGAGAAAATGTATTTACTATTCATTAAGTGGAAGTGGGTCATAAAGATCTTCCTCATCATCTTCATGTTGAGTAGGCTGAGGAGGAGGAAGGAGGACAGGGAGGGAGGGGTTGGTCTTGCTGTCTAAGGATGGCAGAGGCAGAAGAGGTGGAGGAGGTGGAAAGGGGAGGCAGGAGAAGTAGGCACACTTGGTATAACTAACTTTGTGGAAATCCATCATAATTTCTGTCTAACATTTTTACTTTTTTATTTCTCTGAAAAATGTTGCTATATGGTACCAGTCTTTTTCCACGATTTGCTTTAGTTCTATTGCCTGTATCATAGAATGGTTCATGTTGTAAAAGAAGTCAAAAGCAGTCTTGAATAATTGGAAACCTTCATCCAGATTGTCTAATGTCAATTTGTTTCTTGGCTCTGCTTCTTCTATGTCTTCTTCCTATTGTCTGGCACTGGTTGGGGAAGAACGCATCTCCCTCATGTCTTCTTCTGTTTATTCCTCTGATGTTGTGTCTGTTAGCTCTGGAATTTCTCCAAGATCCATATCTGCAACCTCTTTTGTAATTTCCTTGATTTGACTCTGTAGTAAATCCTGTGAAGTCATGCACAACATCTGGACACAGTTTTCTCCTGCAGAAATTTGTTGTTTTGGACTTGATGACTTTCATGGCTTTTTCCAATTCTTTTTTTTTTTTTTTAATAGAAACAGGGTCTCACTATGTTGCCCAGCCTGATCTCAAACTCCTGACCTCAAGCCATTCTCCTGCCTCAGCGTCCCAAAGTGCTGAGATTATAGCCATTAGACACCACCCCCAGCCTTTCATGGCTTTTTCTTTTTTTTTTGGGATGGGGTCTCACTCTGTCATACAAGCTGGGGCGCATTCACGTGATCACTGCTCACTGTAGCCTTGGCCTCCTGGGCTCAAGTGATCCTCCCACCTCAGCCTCCCGAGTAGCTGGGACCACAGGCATGCACCATCACACCCAGCTAATTTTTTATTTTTTGTAGAGGTGGGGTCTCACTATGTTGCCCAGGCTGGTCTTGAACTCCCGGATGCCAGCAGTCCTCCCACCTTGACCTCCCAAAGTGCAGGGATTACAGGTGTGAGCCACTGCACCTCGCCCATGGCTTTTTCTGTAACAGTGATGGCATCTTCAGTGTTGTAATCCTTCCAGATTTTCATGATATTCTCTCCAATTGGGTTTTCTCCCACAGCATTGACAGTCCTTTGCATAGAGTACCATATGTAATGAGCCTTAAAGGTCTTTATGACCCTCTGATTTGGAGGCTGAATTAGAGACATCTTTGGGGCACCCATGGTTGGTGCTGAATTCGTGGGGTCATGGGTAGCCAGTGGCATTGTACAGTATCAAAAGAACTTTAAAAGGCAGTTCCTTACTGGCAGGGTGCTTTGCGATTTCAGAGACAGAATCAATGGAACCAATCCAGTAAAAGAGTTTTTGTTGTCCAGGCCTTCTTGTCATATAACAAGAAGACTAGCAGAAGATTAGCAAGATAAAAACTAGGTGTTTTTCTTTTCCTTTCAAGACTCAGGGCTTAAAGGTTTATAGATAAGGGCACTCCTCATCATAAACCCAATTGCAATTGCACAAAGCAGGGTTACTGTTCCTGCCTTAAATCTTGTCGGTCACTTTCCTTCCTTACTAATAAATGTCTTTTGCAGAAATTTTTTTTCAGAATAGGGTACTTTTGTCTACAGTGATTTTCTTTGTTCATTCTTTTTGTTTGTTTGTTTGTTTTTGTTTGTTTGTTTTTACAGACAGACAGGGTCTTGCTATCTCAGTGATTTTCTTAATAGTGTCTAGAAATTCATCTGTTGCCTCTTGGTTGGCAGAGGCTGCTTCTCCTGTTATCTTGACATTTTTAAAGCCAAATTTGTTTCAAAATTATCAAACCATCCTTTGCTGATATTAAGTTCCCCAGCTTTAAATTCTTCACCTTCCTGTTTGCTTTAAGTTGTCATATAATGACTTCACTTTTTCTCTAATCACATTAGAGTCTATAGGTATGCCTTTCTTACAGCAATCCTCCATCCACATAAAAGCTGCATCTTCAATACAAGATAAAAAGGTATTTTGCAAAAAATGCAAGATTTTCATGCCTGCTGGCGTAGCTGCAGGAATGGCTTCATAAATTTCTTTTCCTTTTCTTTTCTTTTTTTTTTTTTTTTACACTTGTCCTTACACTGGATTCATTTTTCTTGAAATGGCAAGTGACTGCAGCTGCAGACCTCAGTCTGTGGTACATATCAAGCAATTCAGCCTCTTCTTGTAATGCTCTGACTCTTCTCTGCTTCTTGCGAGCACTTTCAGTCTCTCTCATGGCACTTTGTGTGGGTTCCATGGAGTTGTTCAAGTTTTACACTATTGCACTAAACACCATGAAAAATATATGAGAACTGCGAAAGATAGCTTTTTTTTTTTTTTCTTCTGAGATGGAGTTTCATTCTTCTTGCCCAGGCTGGAGTGCAATGGTGCAATCCCAGCTCACTGCAACCTCCACCTCCTGGGTTCAAGTGATTCTCCTGCCTCAGCCTCCCAAGTAGCTGAGATTACAGGCAAGTGCCACCACACCCGGCTAATTTTTGTATTTTTAGTAGAGATGGGGTTTCGCCATGTTGGCCAGGCTGGTCTTGAACTCCTGACCTCAGGTGATCCACCTGCCTCGGCCTCCCAAAGTGCTGGGATTACAGGCGTGAGCCACCGCACCCAGCCAAGAGATCGCTTTTTACTGCAATACACAATTTATTGGAGAGAGGAACTACTCATGTGGAGATGATTAGCGTCACAGGGCATTTTAAGTGGATAGTCACACTTGAGCTCACCACACTAGCAACAGGAGATGGCTATGAAAATATTACAGTAGGCCAGGTGCAGCGGCTCACGCCTGTAATCCCAGCACTTTGGAAGGCCGAGGTGGGCGGATCATCTGAGGTCAGGAGTTCAAGACCAGCCTGGCCAGCATGGGGAAACCCCATCTCTACAAAAAATATGAAAATTAGCCTGGAGTGGTGGTTCATGCCTGTAATCCCAGCTACTTGGGAGGCTGAGGCAGGAGAATCGCTTGAATCTGGGATGCAGAGGCTGCAGTGAGCCAAGATCATGCCACTACCCTCTACCCTGGGCAACAGAGTGAGACTCTGTCTCAAAAAAGAAAAAAAAATTACGGTAGTACAGTAGGTACTACAGTTAATTTTATACAGTTATAATTTAATACTGCCTCTTTACGTTTGCTTACATTTCTCTCAGCTGCAAATGGTGCCATGTGTGGTGTTTGTGTGCATGAGTTTTGTAAATTTTAACTTTTTATAATAGACTTGTGTATATTTTATGGTAGTAAATGATAAAATACTCTCTATGTATATCTTACGTGTTCATTACATATTTAATGTTTTCTTACTCTTTTTGTTTGTTTGTTTGTTTTTGTTTTTTTTTTTTGAGACATAGTCTCACACTGTCGCCCAGGCTGGAGTGCAGTGGCGCAATCTCAGCTCACTGCAAGCTCTGCCTCCCGGGTTCATGCCATTCTCCTGCCTCAGTCTCTCGAGTAGCTGGGATTACAGGCGCCCACCACCATGCCTGGCTAATTTTTTGTATTTTTAGTAGAGACGGGGTTTCACCATGTTAGCCATGATGGTCTCGATCTTCTGACCTTGTGATCTGCCCGCCTCGGCCTCCCAAAGCTTTAATATAATTAAAAAAAAATTTTTTTTTTTGAGCTGCGTCAGGGCTTTTAATTGAGAGTTTGTAAAGTCCTGATTTTTTTAAATTTAAGTTCTAGGGTACATGTGCACAATGTGCAGGTTTGTTACATATGTATACATGTGCCATGTGGTGTGCTGCACCCATTAACTCGTCATTTACATTAGGTATTTCTCCTAATGCTATCCCTTCCCCCTCTCCCCAGCCTGCAACAGACCCCAGTGTGTGATGTTCCCCAACCTGTGTCCAAGTGTTCTCATTGTTCAATTCCCACCTATGAGTGAGAACATGCGGTGTTTGGTTTTCTGTCCTTGAGACAGTTTGCTCAGAATTATGGTTTCCAGCTTCATCCATGTCCCTACGAAGGACATGAACTCATCCTTTTTTATGGCTGCATAGGATTCCATAGTGTATATGTGCCACATTTTCTTAATCCAGTCTATCATTGATGGATATTTGGGTTGGTTCCAAATCTTTGCTATTGTGAATAATGCCGCAATAAACATACGTGTGCATGTGTCTTTATAGTAGCATGATTTATAATCCTTTGGGTATATACCCAGTAATGGGATGGCTGGGTCAAATGGTATTTCTTGTTCTAGATCCTTAGGGAATCGCCACACTGTCTTCCACAATGGTTGAACTAGTTTACAGTTCCACCAACAGTGTAAAAGTGTTCCTGTTTCTCCACATCCTCTCCAGCACCTGTTTCCTGACTTTTTAATGATCGCCATTCTAACTGGTATGAGATGGTATCTCATTGTGGTTTTGATTTGCATTTCTCTGATGGCCACTGATGATGAGCATTTTTTCATGTGTCTTCTTTTGAGAATTGTCTGGTTTTTGTGTGTGTGTGTGTGTGTGTGTGTGTGTTTTTTTTTTTTTTTTTTTGAGATGGAGTCTTGCTCTGTTGCCCAGGCTGGAGTGTAGTGGCACTATCTTGTCTCACTGCAGCCTCTGCCTACTGGGTTCAAGTGATTCTCCTGCCTCAGCCTCCTGGGCAGCTGGGACTACAGGCAAGTGTCACCACACCCAGCTAATTTTTGTATTTTTAGTAGAGACAGGGTTTCACCATATTGGCCAGGCCAGTCTCGAACTCTTGACCTTGTGATACAACCTCTTTGGCAGCCCAAAGTGCTGGGATTACAGGTGTGAGCCGCTGTGCCTGGCCTTAATTTTATTTTATTTTTTAAGAGATGGAGTCTCACTATGTTGCCCAGGCTGGTCTTGAACACCTGGGCTCAAGCGATCCTCTCACCTCGGCCTTCCAAAGTGCTGGGATTTACAGGCACGAGCTACCATGCACAACCAATTTTTTCAAAATTTCTAAGATACACAATTTGCGAGATTTTTCAAATTGTTCCAAATCTTCAAAAACCTTTCTAATATATATGTATATTTTTAAATTTGCATATAAGTGGACCCACACAGTTCAAACCCATATTGTTTAGGGTTACCTATTTGTTCTATTAGTTACTGAAAGTAGTATGGAAACCTTCAACTTGTAACTATATGTTTTTCTGTTTCTTCTTTAGCCTATCGATTTTGTTTCATTCAAAGTTTTGAAACTGTTTTTAGATGCATGTATGTATGGGTTTGTTACGTCTTCATAATGAATAGACCTCTTTATCATTACAAAATTTTGCTCTATATTCCTGATACTATTTCTTGTTTTTAAGTTTCCTTTGTCAGATATTAATATAGCAATTCAACTTTCTTCTATCATTTTACTTTCAATCTGTGTCTTTATATTTTAGGTAGATTCTTGTTGCCCAGGCTGGAGTGCAGTGGCGTGATCTTGGCTCACCGCAACCTCCGCCTCCCGGATTCAAGCTATTCTCCTGCCTCAGCCTCCCGAGTAGCTGGGATTACAGGCATGCGCCACCATGCCAGGCTAATTTTGTAATTTTAGTAGAGACAGGGTTTCTCCATCTTGGTCAGGCTGGTCTCGAACTCCCGACCTCAGGTGATCCACCCGCCTCTGCCTCCCAAAGTGCTGGGATTACAGGCATGAGCCACCGCGCCTGGCTTAAGTGGATTTATTTTGGGCAACTTGTATAATTGGCTCTTGATTTTATGTCCAATCTGAAAGTCCCTGCCTTTTAATTGGAGTATTACATTGAACTTATTTATGAATATAACTGAGTTAAAAACTACCATCTTGCTTTCCCCCGTTTTTCCCATCCACTCATTGTTCTTTTTCTTTTTCTGCCCTCTTTTTATTTTACTGAGGGTTTTTTTTTTATGATTTCATTTTATATCTGCTATTGACATTTTAGTTATCCGTTTTCGTTTTCTTTTTTTAGTGGTTGCTATAAGGCTTACAATATACATCTTTAACTTATCACAGTGTACCTTCATGTTATTTATTTTTTTAGATGGAGTGTCACTCTGTTGCCAGGTCTGGAGTACAGTGGTGCGATCTTGGCTCACTACAACCTCCCCCTCTTGGGATCAAGCAATTCTCCTGCCTCAGTCTCCCCAGTAGCTGGGATTACAGGCATGCGCCACTACGGCCAGCTAATTTTTGTATTTTTACTAGAGACAGGGTTTCACCATGTTGGCCAGGCTGGTCTCGAACTTCTGACCTCAAGTGATCTGCCTGTCTCTGCCTCCCAAAGTGCTGGGATTGCAGGTGTGAGCCACTACACCCGGCCATAGTGCACCTTCAAAATAATGTATTATTTCACGTTACATGTGAAAACCTTGTAATAGTATGTTTCCATTTGCCCTATTCTTTCATTGGTACTATTGTTGTCATACATTTTAAATTTGTGTAAAAATAATTTCTGTTTACCCATGTATTTACTATTTCTAGTGCTCTTTATTATTATTTATAGATACAGGTGATATAAGTTTCCTTCTGCCAAAGAACATCTTTTTTTTTTTTTTTTTTTTTTTTTGAGAGGGAATCTCGCTCTGTCGCCCAGGCTGGAGTGCAGTGGCACAATCTCGGCTCACTGCAAGCTCCGCCTCCCAGGTTCACACCATTCTCCTGCCTCAGCCTCCCGAGTGCTGGGACTACAGGCGCCCACCACCACGCCTGGCTAATTTTTTTTTTTTTTTTTTTTTTTGGTATTTTTAGTAGGGATGGCGTTTCGCTGTGTTAGCCAGGATGGTCTTGATCTCCTGACCTCGTGATCCACCCGCCTTGGCCTCCCAAAGTGCTGGGATTACAGGTGTGAGTCACTGCGCCCAGCCTTTTTTTTTTTTTTTTTTTTTGAGACGGAGTCTCGCTCTGTTGCCCAGCCTGGAGTGTAGTAGTGCAATCTTGGCTCACTGCAACCTCTGCCTCCCGGCTTTAAGCAATTCTTCTGCTTCAGCCTCCCAAGTAGCTAGGATTACAGGCATGTGCCACTATGCCCAGCTAATTTTTGTATTTGAGTAGAGACAGAGTTTCACCCTGTTGGCCAGGCTGGTCTCAAACTCCTGCCCTCGTGATCCGTCCGCCTCAGCCTCCCAGAGTGCTGGGATTAGAGGTGTGAACCACTGTGCCCAGTCAAGAACTTCTTTTAATATCTCTTGTAGTACAGGACTTTTGGCAACACATTCTCTCAGATTGTTTGAAAATGTCTTTATTTTACTCTCATTTCTGAATGATGTTTTTGCTGGACGTAGGATTCTAAGTTAACTATTTTTTTTCCTGTCAGCACAAATATTATTATTACATTGTCTTCTGGCTTACATATTTTCTGGCAAGCAATGTGAACTCTTATCTTTGTTCCTCTATACATAATGTGTCTTTTTTTCTCTAGCTGATTTTACTATTCTTCCTTTAACACTAGTTTCATTACAATGTGCCTTATATCTACCATTTTTCTCTTTATTATGTTAATGGGTCTTTAAAATAATAGCTCTTTAAATGTCCTTGTTGCTAACTTCATCATCTCCCTCATTTCTGGGTCTATTTCTATTGACTGCTGTTTCTCTTGGTTATAGGTCACATTTTTCTGCTTCTTGATATGTCTGGCTATTTTTATTGAAGTTAAGTGCTAGATTTTGTTGTCTTTCTTTAAATTATATTGGACTTTATTCAGGAAGGCAGATAAAATATTTATGGAGTAGTACAATCCTTCTGACACATTTTTGAAATCTTCATTTGGGTTAGTTTAAAGTAGCCTTTACTCTAGGGCTAGTTTAGTGCCACTGCTCGGGTGTAACTATTGTGGCATCTTGTTTGAATGCCCTAGGTATTCAACAGGTACTCTTCATTCTGGTTAGTCAAAATTCAAACATCTCCCAGCCCTCTGTGAACTCTGAGAATTGTTCAGCTTACAAATTCTCAGATAATTTTTGTCTGACCTAGTTGAGTCAGACCCAACATATGCAATCCATATTATTAATATTTAGGAACAAATTCAGTAGGAACACTTTGAAAATTTCTGAAGCTCCTTCTCGGCCTGTCTCCCTTCTCTTTGATAGTCTGCCTCCCCAAACACCTATATGTCTCCTTAGCTTGGCAGGACCTTCAAGTTCTCCTTGTTTTCCTTCTCTTAGGATTCCTGTCCTGCACTGCCTGATATCCAGTATCTGACAAGAATTGTTTCCCAGTTCTCAGTTACTCTATCAAGTGGAAGTTCTGAACTACTTTAAAATACTGCATACCCTGAGTTGCCCAACTGAATTTTTTGAATTTCACATATTTTTCAGAGAACCTTCCCTTATATTAACTATTCATCTATATCTATATATCTATATCTATATCTATATATATCATCTCCACCTACTTCATTCTCTTTCTTCCCTCCTCTTTTCTCAGTTACTACAGAGGGAAGTCTCAAATGGGTGTTGGAAATGGTATATATAGTGAGCATTTTTATGTCCTTTTTAAGATAATTTACTAAAACATTTCTGATATTCCCTTTCCCCGTTTTTTTTCCATCTATTCTTGGGTCCAAGTGCTAGCCTTAACTAACATTGATCATTTACAAAGGCTCAACCTTCATATCTCTCAACAGTAAGGAGAGTTTGAACCTGAAGCTTTTGGGTCTCTAATATTTTATCCTTTTAACTGTCTGCTTGGTCACTGTGTCTCTTTGAGACCCTCCATCTGCCCATGGACCAGAGGGGTAAGCCGATAGCATTTAAAGGAATTTAACAGTCTCCTCTGGGTACTAGTTAGCATTGGAGCTCATGAATCTAATTGTTTTCCTTGTTGTCTGAGATACAACTCTTTTGGTTGCTATATGCAAACAAGTGCTAAAAATGGCTCAGCAACTCTTTGAACCTGGCTGCTCAAAGATCACCATGTTTCTCTGCTTAGATTGTTTTGGACAGTTATCTAATAAGTACACTGCACAGCTGAGCTGAATTTATGCAGTTGGAATCCATCGCTACATTGAACACACCTCAGAAAGTCATTTCAGAATGGATCAAACATAATTTCTGAGAAACCATAGCTATAGCTTGTATATTTTGAGAGTAGAGTGACATCCTCTCCCATTCGTTTCATCTTTTGCTCATCTTTTGTACAGGATTTATTTATTTCAGTGTCAGGGCTGAGCCTTGAAGAATCTGCCTTTCAGGTGATTGCCCTGATGGAGTCTAGGCTGTCAGTGTCAGTCACAGATATGTCCAAGCTAATGGTTGGTCCTTCCTGCAGCTGCTGTCTCAGGGGCCCTGCTACACTTGTGTAGAATTTTGCACTCACAATTAGCTACTACAGTAATGTAAAGAGGAAGAGGTGGTAAACAAAAGAGAAAAAACCTTGGGTTCCTTATTTTCCCAGTCTTAGAAGGTGTGACACTATCTCAATCTAGCTGCCCATTCACTGGTCAGTTAAGCAGCTGACTCCAAACCATACTTAGTGTTACTGGCTCAACCTTCTATGTCCTTACATCTGTGGGTGTGCCTGTTGATGGTGGTTTATCTTGATTCCTCAGTTTGCATGTTAGCTCCGTAAAGGCAAGACTTGGCTCTGAGGGCTTTTGAAGCCTGTCAAAGAATGCTGAGAACAGTGCAGAAGGTACATCAGGGTCTAACTCTAATCTTACCACGTGACCTTGATGAGAGATTACTTTCTTTTTTGGTTGGGCCTGTGTTACTAAATTAGTCAGCAAACATGTTGACTGTTTGTTGTTTCTTAGGACTCTGTTAGACATTATGAAAATCCATAATGTCACACTGAGCCTCCTTCAGAGTGCTAAGCATCTAGCTATGAGAGATTTCAGTGAGGAAATCAGTCGTAATGGCATGTTGTTTCTCTAGGAGAGGGCCTGCCACTCTGCCTGCGTCCACCTGCTAATGCACGAACCCTAAAGCAGTATATTCTTTCCTCCACAGGAAATCCCTCATTGGGAAACCTGTAGAATGCAAATGTCTTCCAGAAAGGGTGGGGACAGATGAGAGGAATTTTTTTATTTATGGATGGGGTTGAAAGGGAAGCTGTGGAAATAGGTCACTTCTCCCAATTTCAGGCCCTAAAAAATAGTTATTCATAGGGTCATATCAAGGCAAAAGAAAATAGTAGTAATAGCTACACTTCTTAAGTGCTTTCTGTGTGCCAAGCATAGAAAGCTTTCAATACATTGTCTTATTTAGTCCTCAGAACCAGCTATATATGATGAAGTTATTAGTATTTCCACTTTAAAGATGAACAAACAGGCTTACCCAGCTCCATCCTGCTGCTAACTGGTGAAGATAGGATATGAGTCCAGGCAGGCTAACTCTAGAGCCGTGCTCTTAACCACTATGCCATCTTGACTATCACTAGCTACTAATTGGAACTTTTCAGCACCCAGGTACAACTAGACCCAACAGTGACCTGCCAAGATCTTTACTTAGAGAACATCTTTGCAGTGCTGTGCTTCTTGTTTAGCTTTAACTAATCTTGAATTTGGAAGAATATGGGTTTTAGGGAAAGAAGAATTGGCTTTTGCTTCTCCCTTATCAGAATCCCTCTTCTAAGCTGTCCAGCATCTGACTACCACTTAACATAATTGTTACAATGCCATCAAGAGGCTCTGCCTAGGCTGCTGAAATTGCAAGGTTAGGGACAGACCTTTATTGCTTCTGGGAGAAAAGAGGGCTATTCCTCATTAGGAGACACATAACCAGTTCTGGGAAAGGCCTGGTTTTAGGAAAATAGAGGAAGAGTGGGAGGCTAAATTTAGTCCTTTCAGAGGAAATAAAAGATAAGACCTTCCATTTCTCTTTCAGTCTCTTGCCCAAGTTTATAGAGCATTTTAGACCCAATAACAAATCCAGAGAAGAGAATTAGGCAATGCCCTGAGTAGGTCATTCTCATTTTTGTAGGAAAAGTCGTCTTCCTTTGAGTTTGAGGAAATTTGCTGGGTATTAGAAAGAAGATGACTTCAGCCTTTCTGGCTGACAAATGGTATATTTGAGTTGTGATATTATTTCTCCAGGATGATGAGAGGGAGATTTCATTGTGTATTTACCATTAAAAACTGCCTGAAGCTGCTTGGACCTTCCTCTCCCCTCTAGCAGTCCATTTGCCAGTGACCATTGTTGAAGGCCTAAGGTATGCTCAGCACTATTTTTTTTTGAAGTGGAGTCTCACTGTTGCCAGGCATGATCTTGGCTCACTGCAACCTCACTGAACCTCTTGGGTTCAAGCGATTCCCCTGCCTCAGCTTCCCGAGTAGCTGGGATTACAGGCACATGCCACCACTCCCGGCAAATTTTTGTATTTTTAGTAGAGATGGCGTTTCACCATGTTGGCCAGACTGGTTTTGAACTCCTGACCTCAAGTGATCCGCCCACCTCGGCCTTCCAAAGTGCTTGCATTACAGATATGAGCCACTGCACCTGGCCCAGCACTATTTCTTTTAGGGATAAGACAATTATGCTAGGACCAGGAGGTCAGAAAGGTCAGAACAGTGAACAGCTTAGAAAGGTAGTGTGGGGAGCAAACCTGATTATTCAGTCCTTCTTTTTTTTTTCTGTATACCTACTTTGTGGTCCAGACTTCTTGCTTCTTGATTCTGTGGGCACCAGGATAGATGTGTCCCAAATCCTGAAACATCATGAGGAATAAACTCCATTACCCAACTTGCTGTGGAACAAACTCATTATTTCTCCATTATCAGCTTGCAGAATAAGTAGTGCCTGCCCAGCCCCCTCCACATTATGGGAAGGAGAAGCAAGGGCAGTGTCTGGACTTGGCCTGGTGATGCTCTTGTTTGTGTTTTCAGAGTTTGATGACTCAGGCTGTCCTTTCCTGCTTTGTGGAAGAAATGGGTTCAAAAAATCATATTCTCTAGTGAGTAAACAGCTAAAGTAGAACAGTGATCAAGAATCCAGTGGGACAGATAGATGGAAATTATTATGAAAATCCTATAAAAAGCCTTTTTATCTTTTTTTCCTTCTGATTCCATTTTAACTCCTTTATCTGTTTCAAGTCATCCAGAGATTTTTTTTTTTTTATGATTAGGAGTTGGACAGGGTTAAAGCAGAACTGCATGGAAGTGGAACAGAATGATGACAGTCTCTTTGGGAAAATGGAAGATTAGCCTTGAGATAGGAGCATTCATTGTAGAAGGGATTTATTGAATCTTTCAGCACCCCGCCCCGAGCCTGAAGACCACAGGATGGCAGAGGCCTAAAAAGCCCAATTAAAGATCAAAGACCTTTGAATTTCAAGCTTCCATCTAAAATGAGTATTGAGTAATCAAAATAGCAGCCAAAATCAGATATTGCTGACAATGAGTTTGGAGTGATCTGTAAAATTTTGTTGGTTTACACCAACTATCAACAGGGTTGAGCAGGGTGTTCAACTGCTAGTATTGAAAATTGTCAAACCCTGGAGCCCTAAGGAGCTGGGTAGTCATTAAAGCTCAAACAGCAAATCAAGGCTTCACCAGGTTACTTTCTTAGCTCTCCACAAATCATACTTCCAAACTTCTTAGGAGAAGCAAGTTTGAATTCCTTGAATCTTTGGTCTCTGAAGGCCAAGTTTAGCCTGTAAACCCAAGAATGTGCCTCAGGTTAGACCAGCCTGCACTGGGTTGAGCACAGCCTGCACTGGGTTGAGCACTAGGAAGAGCACTGGATTGAGAGAAAATTCTGGTATATAATCCCAGTTTTATGACTTTGGGCAATTTACAATCTTTCTGGGCATTTATTTCTTCCTCTGTGAAATAAGGGCCATGAACTAGCTAAGTGATTTCAAAGGCTCCTCCCAGAACTATTATTTTTTTCTTTATATATATATAATATATTTATATATAATACATAAATATATTTTATATAATGTATTTTATATAAATATATATAAAATATATATATATATTTTTTCACACCTGTGATTCCAGCACTTTGGGAGGCTGAGGTGGAAGAATCACTTGAGACCAGAAGGTCAAGGGTGCAGTGAGCTGTGATTATGCCACTGTACCCCACCCTGGGTGACAGAGTGAGATCTTGTCTCAAAAAAATAAATAAAACATAGAGATGGGGTCTCACTCCATCATCCAGGCTGGTCTTGAACTCCTGACCTCAAACGATCCTCCCACCTCGGCCTCCCAAAGTGCTGAGATTATAGGAGTGAGCCACTGTACCTGGTCCAGAACTATTATTTCTGTGGTTTTGTCCATGTAGTAGCACTTGGCCAAAAAGAGGTATGATAGCTGGGCGTGGTGGCTCACGCCTGTATCCCAGCATTTTGGGAGGCCGAGGCAGGTGGATCACCTGAGGTCAGGAGTTCAAGACCAGCGTGGCCAACATGGTAAAACCCTATCTCTACTAAAAATACAAAAATTAGCCAGGAGTGGTGGCAGGCACCTGTAATCCCAGCTACTTGGGAGGCTGAGGCAGGAGAATCACTTGAACCCAGGAGGTGGAGGTTGCAGTGAGCTGAGATCACGCCACTGCACTCCAGGCTGGGCAATAAGAGCGAAACTCCATCTCAAAAAAAAAAAAAAAAAAAAAAAGAATAGACAGTGTTGTTTCCTCTTCACCAGAATCTGCCATAGGCTGAATGAAGATGTATGAGGCCCTAGCCCCTGGCTTATCATTAGAACTATCTTGAGATAGCCAGAACTCCAAATACTCCTTGTCACCAGAAAGACTTTCATTATAAAATTAGTAACCATTATTGACTATTGATTATGTGCCAGGCATTGTACAATCGTTAATCTCATGTTATCCTCACATCAGCCTTATAAGATGTAGATGGTGTTGTCTTCATTTTATAGATACTGAAAACTGAGGCTCAAAGACATTAAGAAACTTGTATAAATTTATTTTGCTAATTAGTGGTTGACTGGGAACTAAAACTTAGGTCTCTGACCTCAATCCTATGTTCTTGATGGCTTTGCTGTCCTCTCAGGCCCCTTACCTCCAGAGGCTTCAGGGGCAGATGTTTAGGCCTTCCCAAACATTGCCCACTTTGTTTTCCCCTCGCCTAAGTTGAGGCAAAGTGTTTTAAGGCAAAGAAGAGGGCATGAGATACTTGAAACTGAGGCCATTTGTGTATTCCTTGTCTTCCACTTGAACCCAGAAGTTGTTCCTTTGTGGTGAAGAATCACTTACGCACATAGAATCTTTGGGACAGTTTGAAATAGGTAGGTACTTCCTGGACTGTGAAAGTAGTTACTTTTGAGTCATAGGAGCTGTCTAGGTAGCTGTGTAGCCATTGGGATGACAGTGTTTCCATCAATTGTATGTTACTTAAAACTTTTATTCAGGAACTTAAAAACTTTTATTCCCATGTCATTTTAGGAAGGTGAGTTCAAGTTCCATTTTATAGAAAAAAGGGCTGAGACTCACAGAGGCTAGGTGAATTGTCTGAAGTCCCATAACAAGAGGCTAGGTGAATTGTCTGAAGTCCCATAACAAGAGTAGGACTCCCAGCTCAGTTAATTTTCTTTCTTTTTTTTTGAGACGGAGTCTCGCTCTGTTGCCCAGGCTGGAGTGCAGTGGTGTGATCTCGGCTCACTGCAACCTCCGCCTCCTGGGTTCAAGTGATTCTCCTGCCTCAGCCTCCCGAGTAGCTGGGATTACAGGCACCTACCACTGCACCCAGCTAATTTTTGTATTTTTAGTAGAGACGGGGCTTCACCATCTTGGCCAGGCTGGTCTCGAACTCTTAACCTCGCGATCCATCCGCCTCGACCTCCCAAAGTGCTGGGATTACAGGCATGAGCCATCGTGCCTGGTCAGCTCAGTTAACTTTCTATCAGGCTCTTGCCAAGACCCAAGTGTCTGTCTCCTAAGGGTCATAGGTGGTGGTGTGAGGATTCCTTGGAGAGCATGTGACCTGTAGGTGACTTACTGGCTTTGAGGCTACCTTGGGCTGAGGTGGTTGGCATGATTCTAGGAAGCCCACAAGCCCAACGGCCGATGAAAGAAGGTAGCCTTGTGCTTGCGGGGGCGTAGACTGTTACCTGACGGATTGGAAAGGGATTTCAACCTGAGAAGGACCTTTAGAGTTGCCAGGAAGCAGATACTGAGGCTGCAAATTGTGGTAAGCCTCAGGCCTTTAGGCAGAGGCTCTGGGAGATGGCCCTCTCCCTAAGTGTGGCCCTCACCATGTCCCAGGCCAGTGCTGAGACTCAAATGAGACATGTTCCTTAAGTCTGAGCTACAGAAAGCAAAGTCCCAGGCCAGGCAAGTACCTGCTAGTGTTCTGAAGTCTTGGATGGGTTGGGGCCCAGGCCTGAGCCTAGAATGTCTTTTTCCTTTGTGAGTAAAAGAAAAGTGACAAGGGCAGGAGACAGCAGAGACTAGATGAACTGACAGGCAACTTTCCTCAGGTATAAGAGGAAGAAAGGAAGTAAGCCCACAAGAAAGGGCCAGGGAAGGCCGGGCGCTGTGACTCACGCCTGTAATCCCAGCACTTTGAGAGACTGAGGCGGGTGGAGCACCTGAGATCAGGAGTTCGAGACCAGCCTAGCCAATATCATGAAACCCCGTCTCTACTAAAAAAAAAAAAAAAAAAAATTAGCCAAGCATGGTGGCAGGCGCCTGTAATCCCAGCTACTCAGGAGGCTGAGGCAGGAGGATCGCTTGAACCTGTGAGGTGGAGGCTGCAGTGAGCTGAGATAGCGCCATTGCACTTCAGCCTGGGTGACAAGAGCAAGACTGTCTCAAAAAAAGAAAAAAAAAAGAAAGGGCCACGGAAGGGGGAGGTGGCAACGGGCAGTGTCTGGACAAGAGGAGAGCTGAGATCATGGGCACTATAAGTCCAGCCAGGCTTCTGGATTTTTTTCTTTTCTTTTTCTTTTCTTTTTTTTTTTTGAGACAAGGTCTTGCTCTGTCATCCAGGCAGTAGTGCAGTGGCGTGATCACAGCTCATGGCATGGCATCCTCTGCCTTCCAGGTTCAAGCAATTCTCCTGCCTCAGCCTCCAAAGTTGCTGGGATTATAGGTGCGCACCACCACTAATGTTTGTATTTTTAGTACAGATGGTGTTTCACCATGTTGGCCAAGCTGGTCTCGAACTCCTGACTTCAGGTGATCTGCCCGCCTCGGCCTCCCAAAGTGCTGGGATTACAGGCGTGAGCCACCATGTCCGGCTGCTTCTGGTTTTCTTCCAAGGAGCTAGTAGCTCAGGGACCTTTTCTGCTCTCACCTCCCTGTAACAAACTAAACTAAACCATGCTGGCAAAAGCCAGCTTTATTGGGATAGGAAGAAATCACTCTTCTAAGTGAGACCTTAGACCTTCTACCATGCCCTGGCAAGAGGAGAGAGTCCAGGTGATCAAAGCAGCCTTACCTGCGGCCTGAGGCTCTCAGGATGTAGTCAGAAGGTTCAGCCATCTCTTCATATGCAGTAACCTCTTTCGCAGAAATTGACTTTAGCATGATGTTTGTCCTTTGGCACTTGACACCGCTCAGGAAAGGCTGAGCCCAAGTTGCTGGGTCTTAAGCATTGCTGAGGCTCCCCAGATTTCAGGGCATAGGAAAACATGTATTACTCTATTCTGCCTGGTTCCTAGGGGCTGATTTCCATCTTGGAGGAATTTTGCCTTTTTCTGGGCTTGAGCCATTCACTTCTGAGCCAAGACCTTGGCTGCAGATATTCCAGCCACGAGTGCAGCCCACGTGCATGAGAGGACCAGATTACTTTGTGGGTGACTGCTGTTGCTGGGTACCAGTCCTCCTGCCTACAGAACTGACAAGTGGAATGAGAAGCAGAGGAACCAGCCTATACTACAGTCTGTGGGACACACCAGGCAAAATGATCTTGTAGAGCTGGGTGTCTGAAGGGGAGAAAGCTGGGCCAGCCCTTTGCCCTAGCTGTTCCTTCCCTCCCAAACCGAACTCGGTAACTCTCCCATTGGGACACAAGCCTTCCCTGTGCCCTCTAGCCCTTCTCTCTCCTCAGGAATTTTTGGCAGCCAGAGTGTTTGCTACCAAGTGAAGTCTGCCTGGCACAAATTTGGACTGGTGCAGGGAACAGTGCAGAGGCACCTTTGGGCCCCTCAAGAGCCTGTCCTCCATCCTGACTCTGGCTTATTTCCTCTTCCCAACCCCCAACCCCCTTCTGTCAGAGCTGTGTGTTCCTTGTCACTCACTAATTCCTCCAAGCTCCCTACTGAGCAGGGAGCTCTCCATGATGCCATAGGCTTTCCTCCAGGTCAGATCAACTTCACTCCGATGATCAGAGTGAATGATCATCCCCTTTCTTGGTCTCCCCTTTCTTCCTAGCTCACTTCTGATTTGATGTGTAGTGCCTCTCCCCTGATTGTCCTTGCCTTTGATTCATGATCTTACAAGCTGAAGTCACATCTGGCCTGGCTATGAACAGTCCCTTCTTTCTGTAACCACAGATAGTCAAGTTTCCTGGAGTCAGTGGAAGTCTGAATCCTCCCCGCATAGAAAATCAGAGAGATGTTGTGGGAGAAAAACCCCACAGAATAAAGGCTCTAGCTTAGTCTTGAAAGCGTACCCTATACCCAAAGGCTGGGATGCCCTAAAGTTCAATCCAGGCACTGGATAAGAAGACTGAGTTGGCACTGAGCAATGAAAACAAGTAGCAGATGGTGCTGAGGAACATCCCAAGACTGAAGAAATGTGGTTCCCAGAACGGGAGAAGGAAGGAGACATTGGCAAAGTCTTACTCAGCAACTGTGACAGCCTGGCCAGGGAAAGCTTCAGGATAAGGCTGAGAGCACATTTGTGGTGTCAGGGATATTGGTGAGCTGAGATGCTCACTGTTCTGTAACCTCTTCTCATGCTCTTTTGCCGTACTCAGAGTAAACAGACTTGGTGGCCAGGCTGGGCTGGTCAGGAAAGGCAGGGAATAGAAGAGATGAGAAAGTCGCGGTGGGTGCAGTGGCTCACGCCTGTAATCCCAGCACTTTTGGAGGTCAAGTCTGGTGGATCAACTGAGTTCAGGAGTTAGAGACCAGCTTGGCCAACATGGAGAAATCACATCTCTACTAAAAATACAAAAATTAGCCGGGCATGATGGCACACACCTGTAATCCCAGCTACTCAGGAGGTTGAGGCATGAGAATTGCTTGAACCCAGGAGGCAGAGGTTGCAGTGAGCTGAGATTGCACCACTGCACTCCAGCCTGGGCGACAGAGTGAGACTCTGTCTCAAAAAGGAAAAAAAAAAAAAGAGAGAGAGAGAGATTAGAAAGTTGGCCAGGCTCAATGGCTCACACCCGTACTCCCAGCACTTTGGGAGGCCAAGGCAGGTGGATCACCTGAGGTCAGGAGTTCGAGACCAGCCTGGCCAACATGGCGAAACACCATCTCTACTAAAACATATAAAAAACAGCCAGGTGTGGTGATGTGCCCCTGTCGTCCCAGCTACTCGGGAGGCTGAGGCAGGAGAATCGCTTGAACCTGGGAGGCAGAGGTTGCAGTGAACTGAGATCACGTCACTGTACTCCAGCCTGAGCGACAGAGCAAGACTCAGTCTCAAAAAAAAAAAAAAAAAAAAAAAAAGAGAGAGAGAGAAAGTGGTCCCAGAAACCTGAGGCATCGCTCCCTGTAGCCAGGCTGTTTTCTGGAAGATAAGTAATAAGCAAGGTTTCTTGGGGGTGTTGTCACAGACCAAACCCAACCCAGTAGATCAGCAGAATGGGGCTCAGGGTTGTGGGATTTGCATGGCCTAAGCCCTGCCTGGCCCTTGATGTCCTCCAGGTGCTGGAGGTGGTGAGAGCCAACTATGACACGCTCACGCTGAAGCTGCAGGATGGCCTGGACCAGTATGAGCGCTACTCAGAGCAGCACAAGGAAGCTGCCTTCTTCAAAGAGCTGGTGAGTGCCCCACCGCCTCTGCCTGTGTCTTAGGGGCCCGCCCCCAGCCACTGGGTTCTGCAGTTTATCTGCAGTTTATCTGCAGATAAAACAAGACTTGAGGGGTCTGCTGGGATGGGGTATGCAACTTCTCTCCCCCATTGTACCAGGCAGTAAGAGAAGATGCTATTCGAGGTAGTATTGCCTACTTCTCCTTTGCAGCCATGGAGACAGCCCTTGCACAGCTCCAGCTGGGCCTGGGGTTTGACGTGTGTTCCCAGCAGCAGATCTGGCTCATTATTCCTTAACCTGTCCTCAGGGCAACTAATAAAAGTAATTAATTCTTCCCCTTCTTATGGAATCACGTCTTCCTAAACTCCTAACTGGCCGCTGGTCTGAGTCCCCTCCCAATCTAGTTCTCCAGTCTCCATTCCCTGCTTTCCAATCACTTAGCTTCCTGCAGCCCCCACCCTTGGGCACTTGGAGCCATGAGCATTTGCTCTGCCTCCTACTTAAGTTCCCAGTCAGTGTCTCCACAGAGCTAGCCCTATTGATGGTCCCTTTCCTGCCCTGTACTCTGAGCTGTTCTCAAGAAAAGCTCAGCCCCCCTGCAGTCCTGTAACCCTACCAGCTTGGTTTACACAAACATCCTGGCTGGGGACTGAGACCAGGACCTGCAGGCCTCTGTACCCACTTCCCCTGTCCTTAGACCTCCCTCTGCTGGGGCTGAACTTGCGTCAGCTCAGCTTTTACTTACCCCATGCCAATTGTGGTGAAGGCACTGCGTATTAGATCGTTTGTCTTGTGCTAAACACAGCCCAACTCTGATCCTGACATGACATTCCTCAGGATTTTGGACTTCCACAGGGTCAGGAAGACATGCTCTGGGGTGAGTTAGTTTGGAACACAGAAACCATTAGTGTAAAGTGATAGCAGAGTGGAACATTTTTATGGGATGGTTGGCAAGTCTTTAAGTTGATGTGGAGGAAGTTCTGGGAGCAAATGGTTAACAGAGAGCAATCTGTGAGGAGCTGGAGAGGGTTACGGGAGCGGTGTCTCGAGGCTCTGAGACACTCACCACGGCCTTACTCAGTTCTGCTCATATTTGTTCCCCTGGCACAGGGGAGCAAAGAGGGTCTGGTCCAGTTTGGAGCTAATGAGCTCAAGTTTCCTGCTGTTTGCCATGCTGCCCTTTCCTCTGCTTCCTTCCTGATGACTTCATTAAGTTTCCTATAGCATAGCAGAAATTGAAGGAAAGCTCCTGAGACTTTGGGGCCCAGGGCAGACACACTCTCCTCCTCCTTCCCCTTTTTGTTTCTCAGGCAATCTACACAGCTATTTCCTGTGGGGAAATCTCCTTGAAGAGTCTGCCAGATTCCTCTTGGAACCCTCTCAGAGTAGGGACTTGGGCCCTCTGACCCTTTCTCTACAGGCTTTTACCCTGCTGACCCAGGCAACACTGGGTTAGGGTTCTGTGGGTAGAGAGTATGTGAGGTGAGCAGTGGGCACACAGCAAGGATACGCCCCAGACTTTCCTCTCGAGTGGGCAGGCATCTTTAGAAGGAGTGCTAGACTAGGAGTTAAGAACCCTCGGCCCTGCTCCCAAGCTGGGACTCACTAGCAATGTCACCTGGCCCTGGCCATTGAAATTGGCCTCCTTGGATCCTACTCTTGCCATCTGTGCCAGAAAAGGACTGCATCTCTAAATGCTCCTTCTAACCCCAAAATGTAAATAAATCCAAAGGGAGAGTGAAGAGACTAGAAACACATCTAAAGAGAGGTGGTGCTAGAGCATGAGTCTTCTGGCCTCAGTTTCTCCTCCTCCATCAGATCACTGAGCAGCCCAGTCCCCCTTCTGCATAGCCAAAGCAGAGACAGATGTCAGCCTCAGCCCTCCTTTCTTGTCTGTGCCTGCTTCTACCTCCCCAGGAGCCCAGATGCTCTTCTTACATCCTCCAGAGTTTGTTCCTGTCCACCCCTCTTCTCTCCTTCCCTGCTGTCAAGGAACTGTTTGCTCATTTGCCTGCAGGGATAATAGCTGTTAAGGGTTCATTTCCTAAGAGAGAGACTTCTAGTGCCCCGTGTAGCAGGCACTGTCCTCTGCCGTTTAGAACTGACTCTCTCCTGTTTTCTCTCTGGCTGCGCCCTCCCACCTTCCCCAACTACCCTTTCCCAGGTTCGATCCATTAGCACCAACGTCCGGAGAAACCTGGCCTTCCACACACTCAGCCAAGAAGTCCTGCTCAAGGAGTTCTCCACTATCTCCTGAGGCCACGCCTACCTGAGCAGCCTCTGACTGCCCTTACCCATGAGGATCATGGGCTGGAGGGGGAGCGAGGGGAGAGGGGGCTGCCCCCGAGGTTGGAGAGAAACACAGATACCAAGTTCTCTTGGTGAAGACCGCACTTCAATGGAGCTTGGGCAGCAGGGGCAGGAGGGTCAAGCCAGGGATAATCTTATTTGGGGAGGAATGGGTGGGCACAGTGGGGAGAGGCCTCCAGGAATGTGGGGACTTCCAGAGTGGGCTCCCTAAACAGCCCCTCACATTTCCAATCTTGAGGTTACAAGCTGTAGCTACTGACTAATTTTCGGGAGCTGGTGAGGCAAGCCTCAGGGTAATGCCAGCACCCTGAAAGTCAGTGGCTCTGCTCGGCTTCTGAAAACAGATCAACTCTCAGATATAGCTGGAGCTACATCCTGCTTCCTTTGGGCCTGGGGCTGTGCTTGGCTTGAAATCTGTGTCCCCTGCCTGCACTGGCACTTTGTCCAGTCATCGGGACCTTTGGCTCAGATTTAGGGTAAGATAGGAATAGGGTACCTTTTTCCTTTTTTTTCTGAGACGGAGTCTCACTCTGTCGCCCAGGCTGGAATGCAGTGGCGTGATCTCGGCTTTACTGCAGCCTCCGCTTCCTGGGTTCAAGCGATTCTCCTGCCTCAGCCTCCCGAGTAGCTGGGACTACAGGAGCGTGTGCCACGCCCGGCTAATTTTTTGTATTTTTAGTAGAGATGGGGTTTCACCATGTTACCCAGGATGGTCTCAATATCCTGAGTTCATGATCCACCCACCTTGGCCTCCCAAAGTGCTGGGATTACAGGCGTGAGCCACCACACCCAGCCAGTTTTCCTATTTTCTGAATTCAGAATTGACTTCTCTGGGAAAACTGGAGATGAGAATCTGCCCAGTGCTCTGCTGTCCAGTCACCGCCTTTTGAATTTTAGTTTTGGCACCAGGAGTACCGTTAGCTTTCCCCTTCTTCTGGCCCATTTGACTCATCAGCACAATAGGGTCACCACCTTAACTTTTAATTTCTAATCTGCTTTACTGTCTTTAGGGTGTGTATGAAATAAACATTGACAGGCTTTCTGGAGCCCTCAAGGTGCCTACTTTGCTGGTTCCCTTTCCAGCAGCTCCCCCACCTCCCTTAGCCCCCCCTCCTCTGGCAGCCTCTCCTGCCTCTGCTGAGCTCCCCTCCACGTGTTCCACCCCCTTACCCTGCTGTTGTTTACATCCAACCTGCCTGAGAATTTCCTCTGGGGAGGAATCTATTCCTGTCATGGTCTAGTGCCTGGGAGGGAGAGAACTTTCTGGGGGTAGGGTGCCCTCCATCTGAAACAGGCCAGGTGAGCATCATGCATAAGGCCTCCATTCTGTCCGCTCAGATTCTGGGTGGGGCCACAGGCAAATCTCCTGACTTATGGGGAGTTGGCTTGTGGTTCCTCCCTTGGATAGCCTCCATGGAACCACTATAGGCTTTCCCAACAGCTGCCTCTGAAATAGCTGCTGCTTCGAGATCCTCCCTTTTTAAAGCACTTTCTAAAGCCCTCAGGATGGCGGGAGCAAACAGCACTGGTATATTCTAGGAGTAAGTGCAGGAATTCAGCAGTGAGAGCATGTCTGGGACCACCTGGACTGCCATCCATTTAACCTCAAATCTCTT
The DNA here is from genome assembly GCF_000001405.40 of Homo sapiens. Classification (NCBI taxonomy): domain Eukaryota; kingdom Metazoa; phylum Chordata; class Mammalia; order Primates; family Hominidae; genus Homo; species Homo sapiens. The sequence continues at coordinate 101,845,858 of NC_000010.11, read as the reverse complement.
TGGGATACTCGCCCTCCCTGGGAACCAGAGTTCTGGCTCTAACATTGAGCAGCTATGCACTAGTTCCAGAGAAGCCACTAACAGGCTGCCATGTGTAGATGTAGGTTCTTAAGAGATCACAGGCTGGGTCATCTGATCACTGGATGGATAGCTCAGCCTGGGGCATTTAGTGTTTTCCCTGGTGATAAATCCCCAAGGCAGCTGGATTTGGAGCTGGTGGCAAGTTGAAATTATTAAAAATTGATTTGTGTGGGACTGTCTTTAGTGTTGCTTTTTTTTTCCTTAATCTCTGTTGCCCAGACTCATTCCTCAAAGATAGAGGTAAGGTAATCTCCTAGGTGCTGCTGCCATCTGGCTAGGGGACCCCTACCTGCCCTTGTGAACTCTCCTCCTTCCTCTGAGTCTCCTGGCCCTAGTAGAGGTCAGTTGGGTTCGGAGAGCTGTAACCTCTCTTGTCCTCTGGGTAGAAGGAGGGAGAAGAGAGTTAGTTCCCTTATCTCCAAACTTAGTGGTATTGAGGAGGCAAGCCAACCCATTTGGCCACTTACGGATTCCTGCCAGCCTTTCCTCCAAGTGAATGAGGACAGGTCTAGGGCATGGGGCACTAAGCAGAGGGCTCCTTGCCCTCCATTGTAAAGGCCCTTCTCTTGACCAGTTTATTCACATATACCTATCCCAGAACTCCAAACGAGAGTGCCCATTCTCTCCTGGAAATCAACCTTAACAGGAGCTGCCCAAGCACTTTCTATGCCCAGCCTCTATACCAGGTCTGTGGAGCCTCCTCCAGAGCCAAGGGAGATCCAAGCGCAGGGCATTGCTCCTAAAGACAATCTTACCCTCAGCCACTTGTCCCCCTCTTAGGCCTGAACTCCCGCCACAATTCCTGCTGGGTTGATTAAATCAAGTGGTTGGAAATTAAAGCCAATTGAAGAGATTAAGTGTGCTTGAGTCACTTTAAAGTTTTTGGTCTTAACAGGTCACTCCTTTGGACCCACCAGACAAGGTCCCCTCATCCTCATAGCAACGGGTTGGGGGGCTTTTGGGTGTGGAGCCCAGGAAGCATCCTGAGGAAGGTCAGACCTGTGACGCTCAAAACACTCAGGATCCATTCCTGGGAGATGAGGCAGCCCAGCTTCCGTGCTAGCCCTGCCTTTGGAAAGGAGCTAATCTTAAGGAAGGGGTTTCATAACAAGGGCATTTCTTTCCTACTCTGTATCCTGACTTGGATCCCCAAACCTGTCAGTTGCTCCCCATATCTGCTGGAAAACAAGGAATCTAGGACAGGACAGGTGACAAAAGAGAAGGGCAGAAAAGTTGCTGCAGGGGAGGAACAAAAGAGCAAGGATGTCTTGAGAAACTGACCTGGTTCACTAGTTTTTTTATCTTCCTAGTCGGCCTATGGGGTTCATTAGATCAGTGAAGGAGGCACCCTGAGAGTGAATAGGTTCCAGAGACGGGGTCCTGGAGTGGGTGAGAGTTGGGGTCCTTCTGGAACTTGAGAGAAGATGAAACAGTAGTCCATTGGCCCACGATGAGCCTGCTAATATTAGAGGCTGGGTTGACTCTTCCTTTGCATCCCTAACCTGCTTTAAGCACGGTGGGGACTGTCTGGGACCACGAGAGACGCATACACGGGAGGAGGAACAACAGAGAAAATACAGGCTGACATGGAGACAAACGGAGCGGGGACTCAGATATGATACCCCAGGCTCTGCCTCAGCCAGAACTGTGTTGACGAAGGGGGACGGGGTGCCTGAGAATTGGGGGCGGGGTTTCCTCCTCTCAGTGGGGCTCTTCTGTCCCGCGCTCTCCTCCTCCCCCACCCCCCCCCCCCGCCAAGCCCCGTGACTTCTGCTTTAGGGGCAGATTGCTGGGGAGCTAGTCTCCTTCCCCGCACTTTGCAGTTCACCCTTTCACCGGGTGCCTCCCCCGGGCTGCAAAGGGTGGGGGGCGGGGGTAGGGGGAGCCAATCCCGGCAGCGCCAAAGAGGGGAGGAGGCGGTGACAGCCGCGGGGAGGGGGCGGGAGGAGAGAGGCAGCTCGGCTCGGCTCCGCGCTCAGCTCCGCTCTGCCTCCGGCTCTGCGCTCACCTGCTGCCTAGTGTTCCCTCTCCTGCTCCAGGACCTCCGGGTAGACCTCAGACCCCGGGCCCATTCCCAGACTCAGCCTCAGCCCGGACTTCCCCAGCCCCGACAGCACAGTAGGCCGCCAGGGGGCGCCGTGTGAGCGCCCTATCCCGGCCACCCGGCGCCCCCTCCCACGGCCCGGGCGGGAGCGGGGCGCCGGGGGCCATGCGGGGCCAGGGCCGCAAGGAGAGTTTGTCCGATTCCCGAGACCTGGACGGCTCCTACGACCAGCTCACGGGTGAGTCAGTGACGTGGGGGTCGCGGGAGGGAGGGTGGATTCCATTCCTCCAGACCCTTCCGCCTCTCCGACCCCGGCCTGGCCCGCACCCACACTCTGCCCCATTCCCAGGCACTCTTATGGCCGGTCTGGGCGGCAGGACACTGGGGGTTCAAAGCCTTGGGTCCCGCAGGGGTTGGGGAGGAACAGAAGAGGCAGGTGTGGAGAGGCAGCAGGTGTGGGCGTATGTGACACAGGGCTGAGAGGGTGTCTGGAGTGGGAGGTGTTACGTGCGTGAGCACCTGTCATTCTGTGTGTGTGTGTGTGTGTGCGCGCGCACCTCCCACAGCTGGTTGCCATGTGCCCTGGGCTTGGTGACAGCTAGGGTGAGTGTGATTGTATGTGGCAGTGCAATTGTATGGTCTCGTCAGATGTTTGAGTTTGCGTAGGACCCTGGTTGTACTGATGAAGTTGTTTTGACCATGTGTCTCTATGTGCAACGATGTGTTGTGAGTGTGTAATTCTGTATGAAGTGGTGTGTAACTACCAGAATGTGTCAGGGCTCTACTTTAGGGTGGCTTGTCTCTTTGTAAGCCTTCATGACCATAAGCCCTCTGGGCAAGAATTTGTTAAAGTAGGTTGTGTTGTGTTTTGTGGTTGTGAGATTAGTGTTCAGTGCTAGTTGTGTACTTTCATGTGGTGATGTCTGCAGCGGGGCTCTGTGAGTGTCTATGACGTGTCTCATCCCTGCTGCCTCTCTGGCTTCCTGGTACAGATAGGGGTCTTTAGTACACCCCACTCCTTCACCAATTTTTCCACAAATAGCCCAGGTGGACCCAAGGAGGGACTTTAGTGTTCAGCTGCCCAGTCTGGTTTCCAAGAGACCTTATGGCTCCAGCACCTGGCCCCTGTAGGGAGGCTTTAGTTAGTGCTGGGTCAGCCCTCTCTCCCCACACCAAATCATGTACTGAGATTATTCTTACAACTGAATCCTTCAACCCCCAACAAACCTTTCAGAACTTCACTCAAACCCCAGGAAAACACATCCTCTTCCTTCCCCTCCAGAGACAGAGCTAGAAGCTCTAGGCCTGGGAAGTGCCATGTGGTGTCCTGCATGTCCACCAAACCACTTGGCTGCCCGGGCATCCTCTCTTTCCCACATGGGGAGGTATGTGAGGCCAGTACATCTGTGCATGTGCATGTTCCTGGGTTTGGTAGGAAGAGCCATGTGTTTGTGTAGGTGACTGTGTCACCCTGGGTACATTTCCATGTATGTGTTTGTGTCTCTCATTGTGCAGCCTGCTCTAGAAAGCCAGCAGAGTGGGAGGAGGGAGGCTGTCTCCCTGAGGCCAAAACAAAGCTGGGGAGGTGGAGGGAGGCCATGATCCTTGTCCTTCCTGAGGGGAGTGAGATTGAGACCTGGGAAGGGGGAGGGGACTAGGATGAGGTGCCTTGAGCATGTGTCTTCCCCCATCCCCCATCACTGTCCCTAGGGAGGCCCTAGTCAGGATCAGGGGAGCCACTCAGGCTGGCCCCAGATGAGAGACCATGCCAGATGTGCCTCAGAGCTGGATGGAATCCAAAGGACCCACTGTCCAGCTCTTCCATGAATTCTGTTCCCATCACCAGCTTAGGATTCTTGAGAGTAGTAAGGGCCTAGGGGCCTTCAATAGTATCACATTAGTCAGTGTTTGCTTCCAGCTTTAATGGGTTCTCACCCTTAGTGAAACCATCCCTTCCCCACTTGGCTATTTGAATGAGATTGGGTGGGGGAAGCATTTGTATTTGGAGATGCCCTGCCCCAGTTCAGTCAGGAATGGAAGTGTACCAGCTATGTGACTTTTGTTCTCTTGGCCTCACCTTTCTCATCTGTAAAAGGGAATGTTACTTCCTGCCTGCCTGCCTACCTCCCAAGGAAAATGGAAAGGTCAAATGTTGACAAGTATCAAGAATTGTGGTCCGGGTCTACAGCAGCCTAGCTGTAGATAGCTCCACACACGACTTGGAAAGTAGAAATAGGACTACCAGGAGCTCTCCTCTCGAAGGGCGGCTTATTTTATAGCGGGAGACAAATCGGGTTGGGACGCCAGTGTCAACGAAGACTCCCGGGCGGGCGGGCGGCGCTGAGCTCTGAGCGCTGAGAGATGCCTAAGCTGAAGCATGAAGGGGAGTCGTTGTCCGCGGTGCTGAAGCGCGCGCCAGGCTTCGCCTCCCCTTCCCTGCAGTTGGGATTCCTGGGATCGGATTTAGGGTAGTCTGCAGCTCCCGTCTTCCCGGCCCATCAGGCTTGCAGGGAAGCAGCTGGAAAGTTACACCTCAGGGCATCCTGGGTACCTCCGAACATTTTACTTCCCCACTCCCACCCCAAGCTCAAAAGGGAGCTGGGAGAGACTCTTTAGGAAAACAAAACAAAACAAAAAACAGTCCGAGCCCCGCCCGGACCCCTGTCTAATCCCTCAGGTCTTCCCAGCCCGGCGGGGCCGCTGGGCAGTGCGGTTCCGAGGGGAAAGGCCGCGTTTAGCAGCGGCCCTGTCTGAGCGGAAGAGAGAAAGGCCAAGAGAAGATGCGGAGAGGGTTGGAGCCTGGCTGGCTAGCCCTGAGCTCGGTCCCCCGACTGGGATCTCAGTGGAGTCCCTCCGGCCCTGAGTATTGTTGCCGGGGCGGGGGCGCCCCCGTGTGGCTGCGAGGAGCCATGCGCACGGAGCTGCTTTGCGGTGGGGATAGTCGCCGTCAAGTGGACAAGATTTGCCCAGAGTTAGGAGGTCATTCTCACCACTTAAATGTAGGGTTTTCAACCAATCATGCGGGATCCCAGTCGAAAGAGCGGGACTATATCTCTCCCGTAGGCTTTCCCAGGAATTTTAAGGCGTTAGAGAGTCCTGGAAGTGTTTACTTGGGGTCTAACCTGATAGAGATGAGTCCGGAGTCCAGGAAAGGGGCGCAGCGGGACCGAAGTGGGGGGGGGGTGCGGGGGGGGCTCTTCTCGAAGCATTCGGCTGTAGCCAGCGTATGGTGGTAGTCTGTGAACCTGCCGCACCGAGACAAACACAAATAGAAACAGTTATGAGAGCAAGGAATTTGGAGCCAGGAGACAGAAGGCAGTGGGGCACAACTCTGCTGCCTCTTCTTTGCCACCCCAATACACTGGCCTCTTTCTCCTTCCTCCTGGCTTTCTTCCATTGGCCCAGGAAGTGTGGGGAGTTGCCATGACAACTCTGTCCTCTTACCCCTTCGGCTCTTTATGCCAAAATGGTGGGGGCGGGGTGCAGGGTGCGGGGAGGAGTGCGACAGGCGGAGAAAGGGGGGCTGAAAGGGGGCAATAAAAGATACGGTTCATTCCCCATCCAGCTCTTTTCTCAAAACCCACATGTGCCTGCCTGGCCTCCCCGCCAGAACCCAGAAAAATGCTCCCTGAGAAGGCTGAGTCCGCGCCGCCCCTCCCCGCCACCCCCCCCCCCCGTCCAGGAACTTTGGGGGCGGCTGCTTCACATGATGGGGCCAGGGTGAGCTCCTCTCGTGCGGCCAGGAGAACATGGGAAGGCTCCAGGGTTTCGATCCTATGCCTGCCGGGCCGGCCCTCCCGCGCCGCCCACGCGGGCCTACCCGGGTGAGGGCGGAGACCGGACCGCCCCGGGGCCTGGGGGTGGAGCTTAGACGCCGAGCTCGCCGCCAAACCATGAACCGATGCCCCCGCAGGTGCCGGAGCCCGCTGGGGCAGGCAGCGCGATCCCTCTACCAGCTGGTGACTGGGTCGCTGTCCCCAGGTATGATGAGGAAGGGAAGGGAGGGGCAGGATCCTTCAAAAAGTGAGCGAAGTGGGTTAGGAGCTCCGCAGAGGTAGGGAGGGAAGGGCCCCTCAAATAGATGGAGGGAGCAACATCCCTCCAAGGAAAGGGCTTCCAAGACGAGATCCTGGACAGAAGCGGAGCAGGGGATGGGCCTCCTTACTGAGCAGGAGGAAGACAGCGCTCTTCAAAGAGGAAAGGAGAGGGGCATCAAGGTCCCTCACAATGGTGGAGGGGGCGGGGCTTCTCACCGAAGGCAGAGGAGGGGGCCTTAACTGAGGGGCAGGGCGCCTCCCAGGGATGAAAGGAGGAGGCCTGCAGCAGAGCAGGGAAAAAGTTCAGTCCTTTCCTGCATTTCTTGGCTGAAGGGGTCTTAAGATGAAGGGTTCAGTGTCCAGAAGGAAAAAACCCTGAGATGGGCCTAGACCAACATGAACTCAGCTAGCAAGTTCATACATGACATGGGACTGATAGACTTGTGTGGCTTAAGGATTGTATGTCTCTGTTTTCTCTCTCTCTGGGAGTGTGTATTAATGGGATTGTGCATTACTAAGTTGTGCATCACTGGGCTATGTATGGCTGAGTCTGTGTCTCCCTGGGGTTGTGATCACTGGGATTCTGTGACACTGAGACTGTGTGTACCTGGAGTTCTGTACTTTAGGACTGGGTTGAGGGTTCCTGAGCCTCTAAGTTGGTTGTGTAGCCTTCGTGAGGTTGTACCTTGGTGTGAAATTTGTGGAGTGTATGAGGTGTGGATTGTTGAGTATCCCACGGCACTGCTGAGGTGTATGCACATCTCCACTTGCATTTCCTTATGACTGCTTGGGCAGGGCCCATAGAACGCAACGTCTCCTCTGTACCTGACCTCAAACAGACCAAAACAACCTGGTCCTGTGGCATTCTGAGATCTGTCATTTTCTGGCTCTCTCCATGGGTATCCACTTGAGCCCCTGGAGTATAGATAGGGCCTGTGGCCTCTCCTTGCCATCTGTCCCCCAAAAGGAGGGTAGATGGATGGTCCTGAGCCAGAACCATACCTGGAAATCTTCTGGGGAGCATACAACCTCCAAGCCCCCTGCTTGGGCCTGTCTCCAGTGACAGATGGCTGGAGCCAGGCAGGGCCAGCTCTCAGTCATTGCAGGCATGACTTCCAGGACCCAAAATAGCCCCAACGTCTAGGGAGGTCATTAATCACTCGATGCAGCTGGGGGCTGCAGTGTCTTTGGCCTAGCTGGGAATGGTGTGGGTCTGGGGGACTGAGAGAAGGGCTTTGAGGTCTTCACTGGCTGGGTTAACAGTGGCGGTGGGGGGTGGGACAAAGCTAAACTGGGGAAGGTGGGACAGTTGCATAGAGTGGGTTCCCCCACAAGGCAGTGTTACTCACATTTGAACTGGGGGAGATAAATAAATAAATGATAGGAATATCTCTGTGGTAAGATTTGAGGGATCTGGGGAAGGCCCACCTCATGCCTCGAGATGGTTTTCCCTTGAGTTCCCACTCTGCCAAATTGCTTCCACAGAGATTTTACTTTGAGTGAAGAGCTAAATTCGTGGCACAGGGATGCTTGGGGAGGATGGATCTGGCAAGTTTCTCACTGAACCCGAGGACTTGAGAAGTCTCTGAGTGGGGAGAAGGGACAGCCTGGAAAAATAACTCATCCTTTCACTCCTGACAGACTCTGCCACAGGATGCCTGGCTGATTTAGGACCATGAGTCCTGGCAAGGCTGGGTCAAGGTCTCTGAGAGTTGAGAGTGGGAGTTAGGAAAAGGAGGGGCCAGGGCCAGGGCCAGGTCCAGGGCAACTGGCTGCAAGTTATCAGTAGCAGGGAGCAAGAAGGGGCTGTTGTGGGGCCCCTTTCCATTCAAATAGTCTGGCTTGGCATTCAAGGTTTCATGGAATTTGACCCTTTTTGATTTTATTACCCATAGCTCCCTTACCTAAACTAAGCTGTAGGCCCTAGGATTCCTTGACACCCCGCACATATTGGAGAGACTGCCTGAGGGAGCTGACAGATCACTGACTCTGGTTAAACAACTCATTATTATTATCATTATTATTATTATTGAGACAGAGTTTTGCTCTTTCAGTCAGACTGGAGTGAAGTAGCGTGATCTCAGTTCACTGCAACCTCCGCCTCCCAGGTTCAAGCAATTCTGCCTTAGCCTCCTGAGTAGCTGGGATTACAGGCAAGCACCATCACGCCTGGCTAATTTTTGTATTTTTAGTAGAGACGGGGTTTCACCATGTGAGTCAGGCTGGTCTTGAACTCCTGACCTTGTGATCCACCCGCCTCGGCCTCCCAAAGTGCTGGGATTATAGGCGTGAGCCACTGCACCCAGCCAAACTCATTCTTAATTAGCATGTCAGCTGTTATCTTGGAAAAAAAATCACTCTTTTTTCCCAAGATAAGCAGGGAGCTTATCTTGGCGGGGAGCTTCAATTCCTTCATCTGCAAAATGGGTATACTATCACTCACTCTGACCATGTCAGCTGTAAAAACAGGAATAATAGATCCTACCTCTCAGGTTTATTATGAGGACTAAGTGAGATACTACATGTAAAGTATCCAGGACACAAAATGTGCTGGATAAATATTATCTTTGTTTATTTGTTTATTTTGAGATGGGGTCTCACTTTGTCATCTAGGCTGAAGTACAGTGGCACAATCATGGCTCATTGCAGCCTCAAACTCCCCACCTTAGCCTCCCAGGTAGCTGGGACTATAGGTGTGTGCCACCACGCCAGGCTAATTATTATTATTTTTTTTTTGAGACAGAGTCTCGCTCTGTTGCTCAGGCTGGAGTGCAGTGGCGTGATCTCGGCTCACTGCAACCTCCACCTCCTGGGTTCAAGCACTTCTCCTGCCTCAGCCTCCCAAGTAGCTGGGATTACAGGTGTGTGCCACCACGCCCGGCTAATTTTTGTATTTTTAGTAGAGACAGGGTTTCACCATTTTGGCCAGGCTGGTCTCAAACTCCTGACCTCGTGATCCACCTGCCTCGACCTCCCAGAGTGCTGGGATTACAGGCATGAGCCACCTTGCCCAGCCCAGGCTAATTTTTTGTAGAGACAGAGTTTCGCCATGTTGCCCAGGCTGGTCTGGGACTCCTGATCCAACCTTTAGGGATTGGCAAGCAATCCCTAAATAGACTTTTTCCTAGGGGAAAGGAGTGGAACAGACCAAGCCTATTTGAGGCCAGACGCGGTGGCACACGCCTGGAATTCCAGCACTTTGGGATGCCGACGGGGGCAGATCACTTCAGGCCAGGAGTTCGAGACCAGCCTGGCCAGCATGACAAAACCCTATTTAAAAATATAAAAATCAGCTGGGCGTGGTGGTGCACGCCTGTAATCCCAGCTATTCGGTGGCTGAGGCACGAGAATCGCTAGCGCCACCGCACTTTAGCCTGGGTGATAGAACGAGACTCTGTCTCAAAAAAAAAAAAAAAAAAAAAGAGAAAAAAAAGCCTGTGTGAAGCGTCATCTTCCCACCTCTTCCCTGGATGGGGCAGGTCGGGGAGAAGGAAGGTGTATGGTACTGTGTGAGGTTGGACGCGTGCCCCCCGGTGGTGGCTGTATAGAACTGCAGATCAGCCAACCTCGACTGGGGCCTTAGGGACTGGCCCCCACCCCACAAATTGGGCTGAGACACAGTCATCCCAGAGCTGGACAAGAGGGAGGGCTCCTTCTGGGGCCAATCCCCCTAAATTGGGCCTCCTGGCTGGGCCAGCTTTCTAAGAAGGGAGCCAGTGTAGTGTGGTGGTTTAGAGTGAAGGCTGAGTCAGACTGGGTTAAAATTGAAGCTCTGATCTTGAAGATTTGCTTAACTTCTCTTTGACTTAGTTTCACCACCTGTAATATGAGGATAATAGTATGCCTTCATAGGCTTATTGTGAAAATTCGGTGTTACAACACCTGTAAGCACATAGTGCATTATCTAGTACATAGTGAATGCTCAGTCACCGTTAGCCAGCAGCGGTAGTAATGGTGTTACTAACCCAGAGGCCCTAGTCTTGTGGCTCATTGGCTCTGTAGGCCTCTCCCCACCCCTTTACACACACAAACACCCCACCAAGAAGAAGCAGGGAAGAGGAGGGAGGGACTCCGGGGATGCTGGCTGGGAGGGGTGGCTCCCTTAGAAGGTTCAGATTTCCCTCCTACAGCAGCTGGGCTTCTCCATCAGCTCAATAACAGTTCCTAAGGAGCAGGCAGGGCTTTAGCATCTCCCGGATGAGGTCCCAGCCACATACGGAGCCAGCACAGTCCCCCCTCCTCTCCCAAGAAGCTTGGGTTTCTTGACCCCAAAGGCAGCTGCAGTAAGTCCCCTCCCCAGAGGGTCCTGATGGGGTTAAGTGGCCTTTTTCTGCCTAGGCTACTACTGTATCTTATCCCCCCTCCCTTGGGCCTCAGTTTCACTGCCTGTGGCCTGTGGGAAGAGAGTGCTTCCCTCCTCACAGTCTCCATGGCAACCAAATCGATATTGGTGATATCCTCCTAGCAGGAGAGGTCACTGCCTTCTCCGCCATTATTCTCATACAATTCCATGCCAATACAATGACAAAACAGTAGACCCACCCTCCAAATTATACAACACATCCATACCTAACAAACTTCAGACCCACATCCTACAACCCTACTAAAACACAGGAACCTCACTCCCCATGCACACTCACAAATACTTCAACACACTCCTACACATGCAGACCATAGACACCCAGCTCACATACCCATATACGCAAGAGTCAAAATGCATAACCATACGCCAAACACACACCTCTGTGACAGGTGCACAGTCACGTGTAAGCACACAAAGACACACATAAGAGGAGACATATGCACTGCCATACTGACAAACACAGGAATATACACACAGGAAAACACCTGGCCACCACAACATATTCTGACCCATGCATCTGATTACTTATACATGTGCAGATGGTGGTTTCTCATGCACATACACCCTGCCCTTCCCTGCCTTCTCCCTAAGCTCAGCTCCTCCCTCTGCCCCTTCCCTTTGGCACAGAGTAGCCACAGGATGTCTAGGGGAAGCACTTCTCAGGGACAGAGGCGGGTCACTGCTCCCTCCCTCTGGCCCATATCTTGGCCAAAAGTTCCCAAGGAGGTGCCAGTCCAAAGGCTGAGGTGGCCCTGCGAAGAGGAAGAGGCGGCGGCTGTGGTTGGGAGGCTTGTGGGGCAGAGGCGGGGTGATGGGGGAGAGGAAGGAGATCCTGGGAGGGAGAGTGGGAGGGAGGCTGCAGGCAGTCCTACTCAGGCTGGGGAGTCTGAGGGGGAGGTGGTGTGAGGCGGTGAACCGGCGTATCTGAACCTGGGCCCTGTAGGGGCCATGCCCCAGGCCCACCATGAACCTGGAAGGGCTGGAGATGGTTGCTGTGCTCGTGGTCCTCGCTCTGTTTGTCAAGGTCCTGGAGCAGTTTGGCCTCTTTGAGCCTGTCTCCTTGGAAGGTAATCCAGGTGTCCTGGCATGTCTGAGCTGCTGGCTGGTGGGGCAGCTGCCCCACAGCACTAGGGAGGGTGTTTGTCTGTCTTCATGACTGGGGCAGGGATGAGCAGGTGAGTGATGGCACAGGGATCTGGGAGGTGAGTAGGGGTGCTTGGGGGATACAACATCTGGGAGGGGTGAAGAGGAGGCCTCAAGGAGTAGATATGGAGGGAGGAGGGAATCTGGGGGACCAAGGTGTCAGGAGGTGATGAGGGGTGCAGTGTGGGAGGACTGGGGTGTGGAGATGAGGAGGTGAGGGGATTCTGGGCGATACCAGGAGGGGTCTGGAGATAGGGAAGGAGTGTCTAGAGTAGAGGAGGGAGGTTCTAGGGATCCTGAGATAACAACGGATTTCTGGGGGGTCCTTTTTGGAGTCAGGGGCCCACCACGGTGCCTGTGCATCCTCTCCACACCTCCATCTGTGCAGTGTAGCTTATGGGGTGTGTGGGCATAGTGTGTGAGAGACACAGGGTGTGACTTTGTGTTCCTGTATGTGAGAGAGTACAAAGTGTGTAACTGTGAGCCTGTGTATGGGACAGGGATATGACTGTATGTGTGAGAGTGACAGGGCATGTGGCTTTGTGAGAAGGTGGATGTGGCCAGGCCTGAGTGGCACAGTATGTGGCTGAGCCTCTGGGTATCAGGTTGTGCATGTGGCTGTTTCCAGAATTTCCTGAGGATATACCAGCTCCATACCCAAGGCTTGGGAGGAGGTGGGTTCTGGAGGGAAGAGTGTGAACATTGTGAAGGAGACATTTATAGCCCAGCTATGATTGGGGATGAGGAGTGGATCAGATCAGGGACCCTGCTTCCCAAGTCCCCTTGCCTCTCCAAGCTCCTATCAGGATCCAAGTGCAGAGTGATCTCCAGGGCCTAGACATTGGGAGTGGAAAATCAACTCCCCTCCCCAGCCCACCCCAAAGTCAGTAGGGAGAGTAATATTGGGGTGGAGTGGGGAGCACTTCTGCCTCCCCCTTGGGAGTTTTGACCTCTCCCTCCTCTTCACGGCTAGAACTGTGTAACTCCGTAGCATGGCTGTTCCCCAGTACCACCAGGGACAGGAAGACAGACTAGAACCATGATGGAGGACTGCAGGGTAGATACCTGGAAGAACTGGAAAAATATGAAGGAAACTGGGAACAAGAGGAAGGTGCATGAATTGCCTGCTCTAGGGTTCAGTAAGAGCAGAAAACTCCTAGCTCACCCTCCATCCTCTGCTGCATTTATTGGGGTGGAGTGGGGAACAGGGAGTTGGACCTAGATAAACTGGGACAGCTGGGCTGAGCTTGTTCTCATTCAATCTGGAAAAGGTGAAGTTGATTGAGCTCTAACTTGCCATTCCTTTTAGATGGGAAAGGGGGAAGAGAGGGCATCTGGAAATCCCAGGAGTCTTGGGCTGAAGGCAGCCATTCTGTTCTCACCTTTAGAGGAGACAGAGGCTTAGAAGCAGGTAGGGGGCTGGGGTGGGGGGCAGGAGAGCCACCCCCGAGTCGGGCAACTACACCATTGGAGGCCCCAGGCGCAATCCAGCTTTGGGAAACTAGAGTCCAGGCTAATGGAGCCCTGGGCCAGAGGCCAGGAATGCCATCGATCCCCCTGCCTGGCCCACTGCCTCCCTCCCACCTCTCCATGGCTCCTGGGGTGGGAGGGAGGTAAGGATGTGTTGAAGGAGAGGAGGTGGTTACTCACCCAGTCACCTCCTGAGAACAGGGCCTGATCTGGAGGGTGAAGCCTGGATTGGGAGGGTGGGGTATATGGAGGGGGAGTAACCTTTAACTAAAGGAAGTTGGACCCCTCCAGGAATGGACTGAGGCCAACTTTAGTCACTGTGTCAGATCCAGTGGGATCTGATCCAGGAATCTGGATGCAGTGCAGCTGGGAGACACAGACACACACACACACACACACACACACACACACACACACACACACAGTAACACTGAGGGTCCTCTGGGGGTGCAATTAGAGCTGTAGAGCATGTGCAGAAATAAGGGAGAAGAGGGGAAGGGGAGCCATGATCAGTGGGCCATGGATAGCCCCACAATACACCAGAATACTCGCCTCCAAGATCTCTTATTGCCACAAAGTTTACTATTATTTCACCCTCAAAGAGCAAGCCATACTGGAAGAGACTGTGAAGGGGCCACAGTTTAGGGTAGATGAGTTAGCTGATGAGGAACCCTGCCCTTTGGCAGAAAGATTCTGGGCACCTTGGAATGAGGAGGGGTTACAGGAAAGAAAAGTGGGTGTACCCAGGAAAAATGAAGCCTCTGTGGGTGAGGTATTGAGGTACAGCCTTAGATATCTGGGTGCCATGGGGACCCAGGTCACAGTATGATATGGATATGTGTCATGACAACCTTGATATGTCTCATAATGTTATAAGGTCACAATGTCATAGTGTTCTTTGTAGACTCACATGTCATGATGTCCCAGAGGCATTGTGTGTTCTTGTGTGGTTTGATCATGCTGTGTGTGAGATGGCCTATATGGGTCTCCATGTGTATGCATCCTGTTTTACTTAGGTCACATTTGTATATGTTTGTGTTAAGGAGTTAGCAGGTCATTGTGTGTGTGTGTGTGAGCATGCATATTACGCCATCAGGTGTGAGTTACTGGATATCAAGCTGTCACTGGCACCCATCACTGTGATGTATTGTTCTACATGTCACTATACACGCCTGTCACTGTAGGTGTGTGTATGAGAGAGGTGTTCTTACCCAGGCAATCCTTGGGTTGGACATCATCCTGAGAGGTCCAGCCATGGCACTTGAGCCAAGGGTACTAGGTCAGCAAAGACACTGAGGCCACTGCCACCTCATCCTTGCCGCCTCGCTGTCACCGGCCACGTCCCATTAAACCAAGTGCCTGAGCCTCACCTCTATGGACTCACTGGGCTCCCCTAACCCGATTCCAACCACCCTTGCCATTCCTTTCCTCCCCTTAATTCCTCCCCCAGCCCGGTCCCCAGATGGGGTTGATTTGTGACTGGCGGGGAGGGGACAGGGAACAGAGGGACAATGGGAGTTAATGTGCCTTCCTGGGGTCTTCTCTCTTCCCAGGCCACCCTCCAGGGCCCACTAAAAAAGCGCTGAAGCAGCGATTCCTCAAGCTGCTGCCGTGCTGCGGGCCCCAAGCCCTGCCCTCAGTCAGTGAAAGCAAGTGCCTCTCATGTGCTTCCGGGGGCGGGGCTCGATGTGTGCGTGCGTGTCTGTGCATGAGTGTGTGCGCGTGTGCCCCAGGCCTGCGAGTGTGCGCATGCTCCAGGCCTGCATGTGTGGGGGGGCGTGCCCCAGGCCTGCGTGTGTGGGGGTGGGGCCTGCCCCAGGCCTGTGCGTGTGTATGTGTGTGCATGTGCGCGCGAGCGTGCCCCAGGCCGGCGTGTGTGTGTGGGGGGGCGTGCCCTACCCCTGCATGTGTGTGGAGGGCGTGCCCCAGGCCCGCGCGCGTGTGTGTGTGTATGGGGAGGCGTGCCGCACGCCTGCGTGTGGGGGAGGGGCGTGCCCCAGGCCTGCGTGCGTGTGTGTGTGTGTGTGTGTGTGTGTGTGGGCGTGACCAGCGTGGCGAGGGCGGGTGCTGGCAAGGCTGGAGCATAAGGGGGCGTGGCTACTGTGTGCGTGTGCGGCTGAAGCCAGCGTGTGTGGGCGTGGTCAGTTGGGAGCGGGTGTGTGTCACCGCTCCCGCAAAACTGTGGGACCCGAGAGTGTGGGTGTGACCATTGTGACCAGGCTGAGGCCTGAGCCTGTGTAGCTGTGGCGGCCTGTGTAGACCAGGCGGCCGTGAGGGTCTGTATGTGGCTTAGCTGGGTTAGTGTCTTCAACTCCGTGCGGCCGCCCCCTTCCCCACCGTGTTTTGGACCCCTGATGTGTGTTGCCTATGCCCCGACAGGATGGTGACAGGTGTAGAGGATGGCGCCTGCCCTCCTCCAGACGCCAGGGTATTTGGGTTTTCTGTGCCAGCCTGGTCCCCTGCTGAGTGATCTCCAGTTGAGTGACCTCGCTTTGTCTCTAGGTCTCCATTTCCTCAGTTGGGCCTTGCCCACCTCATAGGATCATACTGCATTTTGCAAACCATAAAGGCCCGCTTTGTAGTTATTTGAGCATGCTGTTGTGTTGGACTTAGATGGGTCCCACACGGGGGTGGATTCGGAAAAGGACAGGCGTGAGTCCCGCAAGCTTGTGTGCATGGGGTCCGTTTCGTGTGTGTCTGTGCTGGTTGGGTGTGCCTTTGCACGGGCTGGGTTGTGAGGTTTGCTCTGAGTGTGAGGGGCCAGGTGTGTGTCTGCAGTTGGCCGGGTCTTCCGCTTTCTCGGTGACAGTTCGCTCCCTTCAGCATTAGCCGCCCCAGCCTCCCTCCGCCCCCACAGACCCCGCCTGCTGGACCCAGGTGACTTACGCTCCTGGTGGGGGCGGGGCGGGGCAGGGCGGCTTTGCCATCTTGGGGTGGGGGGCACTTGCCTGGGGGCTGGACGTTGGGGGCGGGGCAGGATTGAGATGGGGCCGGGGGTGGGGTCTGGATGGAGGTTGGCTGAGCTGGGCGGGGCATGGCTCAGGCATGGCTGGGATAGATGGGGCTGGGCGGGGCGAGGGGAGGGGCTGGGTGGGACGAGGGGAGGGTTTGGGCGGGGCAAGGCTGGGGCTGGGCGGATCTGAGTTGGTCCCCGAAGGCCCGGAGCTCTGACCCTCAGACGCCCCCTCTTGAACTGGCTTTTCCCACTCCTCCCTTTCTAAAACGAAGATGCGGCTGGGGGCCTTCCCCTCCAACGAGGGATCGAGGGCCGCGGGGCGAGCACTGAGTCGGATCCCTGGCTCTGGGGCCAGGCCAGGCCTTGGCCCGCTGATAGACCTCGAAGATGGCCATCATCTTTTCTCCTTACCTCAGTGTCCTTGGCTCGGGGCCCAGGGAACTGGCAGCCTGGTCTCCGGCATCGGATGGGACCGGGGGGCGGGGAGGGGGTGAATGGGGCAGTGATTTGAAGAGGGGTCGCGGAGGCTGGGCCTGAGGCGCGGCTGTCCTCACCGCTCCCGCAGACAGCGTGGACGATGAATTTGAATTGTCCACCGTGTGTCACCGGCCTGAGGGTCTGGAGCAGCTGCAGGAGCAAACCAAATTCACGCGCAAGGAGTTGCAGGTCCTGTACCGGGGCTTCAAGAACGTGAGTGCAAGGCGAGGCCAAACTCAGCGAGGGTGGGACAGGAGGACCCAAGCCGGTCCACAGCTTCCCAGAAAGCATGGCTTGGATGCTTGAGGTGTGGGCGGAAGGGAGGCAAGGCCCTGAGACTGAACTTCTAGCTGGAGGTTCTGGGGCGGGGCCAGAACGGAAGTGGCGCCTGTAGACTGTCAGTTTCGTTCCATGTTTTTTATTTGTGCACTGGGAAAGAAGTCTTCCCTCCCATCACATGAGCCACGTGGTGAGTCCTCTGGAGGCTTGAAGATTATCCCCCTCCCTGGGAGTCTTGGGCCATGGAGGGTGGGGGCGGTGAACGGAAGGGGATTTTGTCTCTGCCCTCAGCCTGGTGCCCTCTCCTTCCAGGAATGTCCCAGCGGAATTGTCAATGAGGAGAACTTCAAGCAGATTTACTCCCAGTTCTTTCCTCAAGGAGGTGAGGGGACAAGGCCCAAGGGGAAGCAGTTGTCCTTCTCTAGGCTGAGGGAGGGAGGGATTCTGGAGGAGCTGGGAATGCCAAGGTGATGGGGGGTATGGGGAGCTCCTTAGAGGGAGGAAGTCCTCTCCTGTGTGGAAGCCAACTTCTCCACACTCACCCTGCAGACTCCAGCACCTATGCCACTTTTCTCTTCAATGCCTTTGACACCAACCATGATGGCTCGGTCAGTTTTGAGGTGAGCTGGGCGAGGTGGGCCAGGGAAGCCTGTTTCCTGGAGTTCAGGGCCAGGATCTCCAGGCCAAACCCAGAGAAGGAGTTGGGTGAAGAGTACCCGAGGACACAGCTCCCTCCTGCCTCCTTCCCAGGACTTTGTGGCTGGTTTGTCCGTGATTCTTCGGGGAACTGTAGATGACAGGCTTAATTGGGCCTTCAACCTGTATGACCTTAACAAGGACGGCTGCATCACCAAGGAGGTGCAGGGCAACTGAAGGGCTGGGGGTCTGTGGCGGTGATGGGGGTGGCGTGCAGAGGGTGATGGGAGGGAAATATGACCCACATATGCCCACAAGCAAGGGATCAAGGGAGGCTGGAGGCTCTGAGGAAGGATCCTCTTCTCTCTTGGCCTAACAGGAAATGCTTGACATCATGAAGTCCATCTATGACATGATGGGCAAGTACACGTACCCTGCACTCCGGGAGGAGGCCCCAAGGGAACACGTGGAGAGCTTCTTCCAGGTACTTGGGAGTGGGTAGGCTGGAGGGCCCTGGAGTGAAGGGAAGAAGGCCAAGAACCAGCAGGGAACTCACCTGACTTCTGTCTGCCTCTCTCTTGCCATCCCTCCTGTTCTCCCTGCCTGACCACCTTCTTGCAGAAGATGGACAGAAACAAGGATGGTGTGGTGACCATTGAGGAATTCATTGAGTCTTGTCAAAAGGTACAGCTCCCTGCCCTCTACATTACCCTGACCTGGACTCAGGCCTGATTTAGTAATGCAGGGAAAAGCTTCTTTGGGAAGAATACCACCTTCCCACCTCACCCCCATATTTCAATCCTATTCCTTTGTGGGAGGCTTACCCCTTCCCTACCTCAGGTCTCTCTGGGCATCTCCTTCCTCTGTGCTTTTGAATGTCCCCGTCTGTGACTCAGTGTCCCTCTCACTGTCTCTGATAAGCTCCTTCTCTTTCTCTCTCTTCAATCTGCCTCGCTCACATCATGGCCACAGGATGAGAACATCATGAGGTCCATGCAGCTCTTTGACAATGTCATCTAGCCCCCAGGAGAGGGGGTCAGTGTTTCCTGGGGGGACCATGCTCTAACCCTAGTCCAGGCGGACCTCACCCTTCTCTTCCCAGGTCTATCCTCATCCTACGCCTCCCTGGGGGCTGGAGGGATCCAAGAGCTTGGGGATTCAGTAGTCCAGATCTCTGGAGCTGAAGGGGCCAGAGAGTGGGCAGAGTGCATCTCGGGGGGTGTTCCCAACTCCCACCAGCTCTCACCCCCTTCCTGCCTGACACCCAGTGTTGAGAGTGCCCCTCCTGTAGGAATTGAGCGGTTCCCCACCTCCTACCCCTACTCTAGAAACACACTAGACAGATGTCTCCTGCTATGGTGCTTCCCCCATCCCTGACCTCATAAACATTTCCCCTAAGACTCCCCTCTCAGAGAGAATGCTCCATTCTTGGCACTGGCTGGCTTCTCAGACCAGCCATTGAGAGCCCTGTGGGAGGGGGACAAGAATGTATAGGGAGAAATCTTGGGCCTGAGTCAATGGATAGGTCCTAGGAGGTGGCTGGGGTTGAGAATAGAAGGGCCTGGACAGATTATGATTGCTCAGGCATACCAGGTTATAGCTCCAAGTTCCACAGGTCTGCTACCACAGGCCATCAAAATATAAGTTTCCAGGCTTTGCAGAAGACCTTGTCTCCTTAGAAATGCCCCAGAAATTTTCCACACCCTCCTCGGTATCCATGGAGAGCCTGGGGCCAGATATCTGGCTCATCTCTGGCATTGCTTCCTCTCCTTCCTTCCTGCATGTGTTGGTGGTGGTTGTGGTGGGGGAATGTGGATGGGGGATGTCCTGGCTGATGCCTGCCAAAATTTCATCCCACCCTCCTTGCTTATCGTCCCTGTTTTGAGGGCTATGACTTGAGTTTTTGTTTCCCATGTTCTCTATAGACTTGGGACCTTCCTGAACTTGGGGCCTATCACTCCCCACAGTGGATGCCTTAGAAGGGAGAGGGAAGGAGGGAGGCAGGCATAGCATCTGAACCCAGTGTGGGGGCATTCACTAGAATCTTCAATCAACCTGGGCTCTCCCCACCCCACCCCAGATAACCTCCTCAGTTCCCTAGGGTCTCTTCTTGCTTGACTCAATCTACCCAGAGATGCCCCTTAGCACACCTAGAGGGCAGGGACCATAGGACCCAGGTTCCAACCCCATTGTCAGCACCCCAGCCATGCGGCCACCCCTTAGCACACCTGCTCGTCCCATTTAGCTTACCCTCCCAGTTGGCCAGAATCTGAGGGGAGAGCCCCCAGAGAGCCCCCTTCCCCATCAGAAGACTGTTGACTGCTTTGCATTTTGGGCTCTTCTATATATTTTGTAAAGTAAGAAATATACCAGATCTAATAAAACACAATGGCTATGCACAGGCTGCCGTCTCTGCCTTTTGTCCCTCCCACCTACAAATACTACACAACCCCTAACGAATGCACCTGCAGCCTTTTAGATCCCCAAGAAAGTGGCTTTCTTTTCCATAGTTGGCCATACCTTGGCATGAGACTGAGACACAGGCTCTGGAATGGTTGGAAACCCACCCAACCTCAGGCCCCCACATGAATCTCCCTCCCACACAGCCTGAGAGGAGACAAGGAAGGAAGGACAGGACACTGATGTCCCGAAGACTGTGCCAAGCAAGCTGTTTTTTAGCTGACATTCTTACAAGTTGAATCACAGATTTCTAATTTACAGACTTTTTAGTTAATCTCAAAGTGCTTTCTTTTGAGGGGCCTCCCTTTAGTTTCTTTCTTTTTTTTTTTTTTCTGAGACAGAGTGTCTCTCTTTCGCCCAGGCTGGAGTGCAGTGGCGTGATCTTGGCTTTACTGCAGCCTCCGCTTCCTGGGTTCAAGCAATTCTCCTGCGTCAGCTTCCCGAATAGCTGGGATTAAAGGCGTGCACTGCCATGCCCGGCTAATTTTTGTATTTTTAGTAGAGACAGGGTTTCGCCATGATGGCCAGGCTGGTCTCAAACTCCTGACCTCATGTGATCTGCCCGCCTAAGCCTCCCAAAGTGTTGGTTACAGGCGTGAGCCACCATGCACAGACCTTCCCTTTAGTTTCTAATGAAAGTTCCTTTGTGTCAACATTCCAACCTTGCCTCCAGTATAGATAAATATTTTTTGTGTCCATACCCCAGCCAGGAATGATGGGGGAATGAGATGGAGTGGACCCAGCGCAGGTCACCATGAGGCAGATGGCACAAAGGATGACATGGACTTTCTGTGTGTTCCCACTCTTTCTTTGTTCTGCTCCTGCAGAGGGACCCACCAATGGTTGGTTCCTCTCATCCTTTCTCTGGGTCACCATTATGGGTGACTAAGCTTCACCATCCATAGGAGGAGTAACAGGCCTTATCCTCCCTCGTGATGAAGTCAAGGGGAGAGATATGTTGTCCAAAAAGCAAAAACTCACTTTTAGCGTCCATTGTTTTATCATCTGTGTTCCCTGCTTATATCATCAAAGAACCATCTGCTTCTTGGGCCCTTGGGTTTCTTTGAGTCATCAACATAAAGATCTGATAAAAGCTGTGGGCCCACTATCCAGAAGAAAGAAAAAGGCAAGAATTCCCATGCATTTTTGTATCCCTGAAGCTCATCTATGGGTCCTAAGTTAAGAACCTGTGATCTAGAGTGAGTGCAGCGGCTCACGCCTGTAATCCCAGCACTTTGGGAGGCTGAGGTTGGTGGATCACTTGAGGTCAGGAGTTCAAGACCAGTTTGGCCAACATAGTGAAACCTCATCTCTATTAAAAATGCAAAATTAGCTGGGCATGGTGGCGCATACGTGTAATCCCAGCTACTTGGGAGGCTGAGGCCAGAGAATCGCCTGAACCTGGGAAGCGGAGGTTGCAGTGAGCCGAGATGGCACCACTGCACTCCAGCCTGGGCAACAGAATGAGACTCTGTCTCAAAAAGAAAAGAACATGTGATCCAGTCTAACCCTCCATTTCATAGAAGAAGCAGGCTCAGAGAAGGGAGACTTGCTCAAGGTCACTCAGTGAGTTTGTAGCAGGACTGAGGCTAGACTCAATCCCTCAAGTCTGTCAACAGTGGCCTTTGGGCACAGTCAAGAGTTGTATGTGGGCCGGGCGCAGTGGCTCACACCTGTAATGCCAGCACTTTGGGAGGCTGAGGTGGGCAGATCACGAGGTCAGGAGATTGAGACCATCCTGGATAACACAGTGAAACCCTGTCTCTACTAAAAATACAAAAAATTAGCCGGGCATGGTGGCAGGCGCCTGTAGTCCCAGCTACTCGGGAGGCTGAGGCAGGAGAATGGCGTGAACCCAGGAGGCGGAGCTTGCAGTGAGCCGAGATCGTGCCACTGCACTCCAGCCTGGGTGACAGAGCGAGACTCCATCTCAGAAAAAAAAAACCAAAGAATTGTATGTGAAGAGTGGATGCTGTGCATGTTATGCATAATCCAAGCAAAGTGACACTATGACAGGCTCTCACAATGCCCTCTGCTTTTCCTTTATGGCACTTCTCAGTTTGTAACCATATACTTACTTGGGTAATTATATACTTGTCTTCTCCTATACACTGTAAGTTCCTGAGGGCTCCCTGAGTGCCTGGACTAGGGTTTTTTTCTTCACCATCTTATCCATGGGGCCTGGCACACAATAATGGATGTAAGGACATCCATTATTCAGTAAATAATAATGGATGAAAGTACATGGTGAATGTGTGTATATAATTACATAGGTATGGAGACAGTTGTTTTTTCTTTTGAGACTGGGTCTCACAATCTCAGCTCACTGCAGCCTCCACCTCCCAGGCTCAGGTGATCCTCCCACCCCAGCCTCCCAAGTAGCTGGGACCACAGGTGCACACCACCACGCCTGGCTAATTTTTTGTATTTTTGGTAGAGACAGGGTTTCACCACATTGCTCAGGCTGGTCTCGAACTCCTGAGCTCAAGCAGTGTGCCCACCTCAGCCTCCCAAAGTGCTGTGATTACAGGTGTGAGCCATCACGCCTTGCCCAGTTTCCATTTTCTAAGGTAGATTCAAGTTTAGTGGGATTGAAGCAGAGAACTGCTAGTAAGCTGAGAAGTGCCCCAGAGCCCAAGCCTACAGATGAGATCCAGAAAAAAAACAGTAGGTTGGCATTCAGATTGTCACCCAGGCTGGAGTGCAGTGGAGTGATCTCCACTCACTACAACCTCCGCCTCCCGGGTTCAAGCGATTCCCCTGCCTCAGCCTCCGAGTAGCTGGGATTACAAGCACATGCCGCCATGCCTGGCTAATTTTTATATTTTTAGTAGAGACGGGGTTTCGCCATATTGGTCAGGCTGGTCTCGAACTCCTGACCTCAGGCGATCCACCCGCCTCAGCCTCCCAAAGTGCTGTGATTACAGGTGTGAGCCACTACGCCAGCCTCAGATTATTTCATCTTGGCCATTGGTTGGGTTCTGAGTGTTGTCAGCTGCTCCATCTCAAAATACTCTCCTTTCTTGCCTTCCAGTATTTCCTACGCTCCTGGTTTTCCTCGTGCCCTTCTGGCTACCCCTTCTCAGCCCTCCCTTATAGACTCATCCTTCTCAACTTGAATTTTAAATCTTAGGCCCTACAGCTCAGACCTAAGCCTCTTTTCCAAACCACCCCTAATCCCATGGCTTTAAACACCGTCGATATGCAGAGGCTCCTAAGTTTATATCCCCAGAACTCTCTCTTCTGAAATCCAAAACCTGTCTATCCAATTGCCCCCCGCTTTTTTTTTTTTTTTCCTGTCACCCAGGCTGGAGTGCAGTGGTACAATCACAGCTCACTGCAGTCTCAAACTCCTGGGCTCCAGCGATCCTCCCACCTCAGCCTCCAGAGTAACTGGGACTACAAGTGTGTGCCACCCACACCCTGCTAATGTTTTAATTTTTTGTAGAGATGGGGTCTCACTATGTTGCCCAGGCTGCTCTTGAACTCCTGGGTTCAAGTGATCCTCCTCCAGTCTCAGCTTCCCAAAGTGCTGAGATTACAGGAATGAGCCACCGTGCCTAGTCCAATTGCCTATTTGATATATTAATGTGGACCTGTAATGGTTGAACTTAACATGTTCAAAATGGAGCTTAGATTCATGCCTTTCCAGTCTTTCCCATCTCAGTAAATGACACCAACATCCATCTAGTTGCTCAGGTCGAAATTTAGAAGTCTCCATTTCTTCCTCTCCTTCATTCTCCCTCCACCCCCATTTAATCAATCACCAATTCTACCACCAAAGGTACACCACCTCTCTCTCTCTGATGCTGTTTCCTAGCCCAAGCCACTATTGCTACTCACCTAAATTACTCCTTCCTATTTGTCCATCTGAAGTAGCTCCTCCTTGATGCAGTTGGCAGGTTTCTTCCCTTAATAGCCCTTACCACAAACTGTGAGTTCCTATGTGTGTACTGAATTTGTTATTGTCTGGTTCTCCAAACAGAATGTAAAATCTGTGAGGGCAGGGCCCTATCTCATTCATTCCGCAAATATTCATCATAGGTCTACTAAGCACTGTTACTGTTGTAGGTGTTGGGGGTGGGTGGAGAGAGGTGTGGTATGGTGAGAAAGTGTATAGCAGTTATGTGGCAAGAACCACTCTTCAAATTTGAGGGACACAGAAATGGGGCAAACCTTCCCTATGAGACTGGACTATGGAAAGTAGGAGAAATTGTGGCTGCTGACTTGCTGGCAGTGATTAAGGCAAAGAGGAAAATGTCATGAGACTAAGGACATCAGCCAGAATGACAGCCCCCAAATCTC
This sequence comes from Homo sapiens, assembly GCF_000001405.40. NCBI lineage: Eukaryota > Metazoa > Chordata > Mammalia > Primates > Hominidae > Homo > Homo sapiens. The sequence goes on along the minus strand of NC_000010.11, from coordinate 101,821,607 downwards.
CTGTCAACCTATAAGGAAGAAGCTGAGGCAAAATGAATACAAGTAGAGAGTTTATTATAAGCTTGAGGATTGCAACGAAAGAGCATAGATTCAAGTTGCCCTAAATAGACACTCTGATTAGCAGCAGTTACAAGTGGATTTTTATAGGGAAAGAAGAGGCAGTTCCTGAGTTATTTACCAACAGTTTACATTAAAATAACATAAGCTATTGATTGGCTATACATTGTTAAACTATAGGGTGTGTGTTAGAATGTCCAGTACAACATTATTAGGTTAATTTATAGCTACTTGTGGCAAGAGCAAGCAGTGTCAAGAGATGAATACATAGCTCAAAGGAGGGAGGCATAGGATGTGATTCTGTCATTTTCTTTTCTTTTTTTTTTTTTTTGAGACTGAGTCTCACTCTGTTGCCCTGGCTGGAGGGCAGTGGCACGATCTTGGCTCACTGCAACCTCTGCCTCCCAGGTTCAAGTGATTCTCCTGCCTCAGCCTCCCAAATAGCTGGGATTACAGGCGCGCACCACCATGCCCAGCTATTGTTTGTAGTTTTAGTAGAGACGGAGTTTCAACATGATGGCCAGGCTATTCTTGAACTCCTGACTTTCTGCCCGCCTTGGCCTCTCAAAGTGCTGGGATTACAGGCGTGAGCCACTGAGCCCGGCTGATTCTGTCATTTTAATGCCTCGCTGGGCCTATTTATTTATTTTTAATTTTTAAAGATTTATTTATTTTTTAATTTTTTTTTTTTTAGAGGCAGGGTCTTGTTCTGTGGCTCAGGCTGGAGTGCAGTGGTGAGATCCTAGCACTACAGGTGCACACCACTACGCCTGGCTTTTTTTTTTTTTTTTTTTTTTTGTTTTTTTTTTGAGATGGAGTTTAGCTTTTGTTGCCCAGGTTGGAGTGCAATGGCACGATCTCGGCTCACGCAACCCGGGTTCAAGTGATTCTCCTGCCTCAGCCTCCCGAGTAGCTGGGATTACAGGCATCTGCCACCATGCCCAGCTAATTTTGTATTTTTAGTAGAAACGGGGTTTCTCCATGTTGGTCAGGCTGGTCTCGAACTCCCGACCTCAGGTGATCCATCTGCCTCGGCCTCCCAAAGTGCTGGGATTACAGGTGTGAGCCACCACGCCCGGCCTATTTTTATTTTTTTATAAAGACTGGGTCTGGCAATATTGCCCAGGCTGGTTGCAAACACCAACACTGCGCCCAGCCATCTGGGCCTGATAATTTAAAAGGACTCTCATTCCTCAGATAAAAGTTCTTTTCGGCCAGGTGAGGTGGCACGTGTCTGTAATCCCAGCACTTTGGGAGGCTGAGACTGGAGGATCACCTGAGCCCAAGAGTTTGAGACCAGCTTGGGCAAGATGTTGAGACCCCCGTCTCTACCAAAAATGAACAAATTAAAAGAGTGTGGTGGCGGGCACTCGCCTATAGTCCCAGCTACTCGGGATGGCTAAGGCGGGAAGATCCCTTGAGAGCCCAGGAATTCGATACTTAAGCTATGATTGCACTAGCCTGCGTGGCAAAATGAGACCTCTTCTCTTACAAAAAAAAAAAAAAAAAAAAAATTGTGTTCTCAACCCCAACGGACCACAATATCCAGTAAAGCTGCTATGGCCCCTAACTCTCAGCACAGGAGGTCCCTTAAGAAAATGCTTGTCCGGCCGGGCGCGGTGGCTCACACCTGTAATCCCAGCACTTTGGGAGGCCGAGGCAGGTGGATCACCTGAGGTCAGGAGTTCAAGACTAGCCTAGTCAACGTGGCGAAACCCCGTCTCTATTAAAAACACAAAATTAGCCGGGTGTGGTGGCGGGTGCCTGTAGTCTCAGCTACTCGAGAGGTTGAGGCAGGAGAATAGCCTGAGCCCAGGAGGTGAAGGCTGCAGTGAGCCGAGATTGCGCCACTGCGCTCCTGCGCTCCAGCCTGGGCGACAGAGTGAAACTCTGTCTCAAAAAAAAAAAAAAAGTTTGCTCCTAACCCCCATCTCAACAATCCAGGACTGAAAAGAAGAGGGACCATGAAAGTCCCTGAAACTACAAGTTGGGCTACGGCTAAAGAAGGTAAATATCAGACTGAAGTGTAAGATGGACATTACTAAGTCTTAATCATCATTTCATGTTTATACCTCACAGGTTGAGATAGATTTCTCAAGCATCATAAATGTAAAGTGCATTAGGGTAGGTCTACAAGAGAGCTCTGAGAACATACAGCAAGGAGACCCAAACCCATCTAGGGCTCAGGGAAGGCTTCCCAAGGAAGCGATGCCCATGCCGAGGCCGAAGGGATCTCATGCCCCACTGCACACACCGCGCGCTCCCCATTCCCAAACAAGGCAGGCTTTTCATGCCTCCCTACCTTTGGACTCTGTTGTTCGTTCCACTTTCCTGGAGTGCTGTCTTCCCTCCCCTTCTGCTCAGTCAGGCTAACTTCACATCCTTTATAATCCAGCTGAAAAGTGAAGCCATGCCCACGGCCTCTCCCCAAAGGAGGAGTGAGTATCACCTGTTCTGAGCTCCGAAGTTCTTGGGGACACCTTGTGGGAACTGCGTGTGTGGTGGCTTGTCTCCACCACCGTACTGTGAGCTCATAGTGTTCTAGAGCCCAGCACGAGGCAAGCTCTATAGATGTCTACTGAATGAAGGAATGAACGAATGATTACATTTTAAATGGGATTAGGGGAAAATGATTCAAGGCAGAGGGGTGAGCTGAGCTCCTTGGAATGGTGTCTTTACCGAACCAAGCCTGGGTTAGGCAGATGTAATGAGCCCACCTATTACAAGAATCTCCATAGAAAGTAGGTCAGTTCTTTCCTATCTCTTTAAGAACGAGAGGCCGCGGCTCCGCGCCTGCGCACTGAGAGAATAAACACCTCTCCTTTTCACCTTCCCCCCTTCTCCCTATTGCCCCAACCGGCGGCAGCCTCCTCCCATACTCCCCTCCTTCGGGGCGGGTAATGGTCCGTCCGTCCCAGGGTGCCAGGCTTGTTTCGGAGGGTGGCAAGCAGAAATGGTACATTCCACTGCCTTCATTACCTTCTGCTTTTCGCGTCTCCTGTTCTATTTCCCCCTACCTAAAGAAGCTTAATAGGCTAGCCCCAAAGAAGGCGGGGGAGCCGGGCGGAGGGGACCGGTCTGAGCCGGTCTGCAGCGCAAGCGCAGTGCGGATAAACAGGAAGCGGGCGGTGGAGGCAGCAGCAGAGGGAGAGCTCGGGGCTTGGAGGGGAAACAGCGGAAGACCTAAGATTATCGGGAGGGCAGCAGAGGCAGAGAACGAGGACAGGACCCTTGGCCGTCTTCTTCCAGGGAACGAGAGGTCACAGCCTCGCTCTCCGCTTAGGCTTCTGGCGCCCCAGCTTAAAGCCGAGGCTGCGGCTGACAAAGGGCTCGCGCCGGTGCCGCCGCCCTTCTCATCCGGGCATTCGGGTCCCTGCGGAGAGGGAGGGGGAAGGGCAGAGGGGGAGGGGAAGGAGCCGGAGGGGCGCACACTTGGAGCTGAAGCCCTCTCCAGGGCTCCGGGCCGGTGCCCCAACGGACAGAGGTCGAGGAGGACCCGCAGAGGTGGCAGCGGCCGGGGGCAGGAGGATGGTGCAGAAGGAGAGTCAAGCGACGTTGGAGGAGCGGGAGAGCGAGCTCAGCTCCAACCCTGCCGCCTCTGCGGGGGCATCGCTGGAGCCGCCGGCAGCTCCGGCACCCGGAGAAGACAACCCCGCCGGGGCTGGGGGAGCGGCGGTGGCCGGGGCTGCAGGAGGGGCTCGGCGGTTCCTCTGCGGTGTGGTGGAAGGTGAGCGCCCTCCTTCCCTCCCCGTTTTGGCACTAACACGTTCTGTCCTCGGGAGGAGGGTGGTGGCGGGGATTTTGGAGACTCTAAAAGGCCGGAAAGCCTCTGGGTCTGAAATGTGGCCCTCCTAAAGCGAGGGGAGAGACGAGATGTTGGGCGAATCTCCTTGCACGTCTTAAGACGGCGTCGAATTCCCCCCTGGCCACTCACAAGTCTGACCCCACCCGTCTTGGGCTTGGAGCCAGGCCACCTCCTAAGGAGGCGGTGGTTAAGAGCCTGGTGTTCTGTTAGCCTCTGAGTTCTACTTCTTTGTACCTTGGGATCTTATTCCCTAGGGTTGTCTGGTTCCAGTGAAAAAATATGTGTAGTGCTTCTGTCACCACCCTTTGTGGAAAATCGGCCCACACTGACGTGCTTGTACTTCTGGAGTGAAGAGAAGCACGTTTGGCCTATAGTATTTCAAGTTCCACTTGGCTTAGAATATTTTTGTTGCTTCCCCCCACCCCCGCAAAGATTCATTTGCAACTTAGAAAATTGCCCTCTTTCCCAGCTACTGTACTTTGCTCTCGAGGGATGAAACTTTGGCTTTAATCACAGATTCTCGAAGTATCTGAGATGCGTAATTGGAATTTAGTGACCGCAGAAGCGGCTTTAAAAATGCCCTTCTCGCCTTTTTTCCCATTTACAGTCGAAAAGAACGATGGACTTTTTGGTAGTGAGGGAAAATTACCAGATGCTTGTTTCAGTTTCTGGATGAGAATGGACAGATAGTCCACCTTGCAGCTCTGTAGAGGCACGAATCGGTTACATTATTAGTCTTTCCGCAGTTACAGCATGTATTTGAATTTTCTGAAGTATTTTGGCCGATTCAGAGTTTCCTAGATGTCTGTTTTATATCTCTCTCGTATGTAATGGCGTGGATAAGGGTAAAAAATATATATATTTAAAAAACCAAAAAGGTATGGAAAAAGGATTGCTCTCGACGTTGAGAACATCAGCTTTTCTGTTTTTTTTCACCATATAAATTAGAGTATTCTTTCGAAAAATGGGTGGTGGTTATGGTACAGACCATAACAGGCTACTTTGCTGCTACAGTAAGGCATGAAAGAGTTCAGCGAAGTTAACTGTCTTGCAGAATTTGGGGGATTACAGAATGGAAAACTGCTATATAGTATTCATCAAAAATGATTGCATTGTGTGACTTATATCGTTGTATTTATTGGCTTGAGTGCAGGGAGATTTTAGAAAAAGAATCTGGTTTTTGTTATCAAAGATCTTGGAGTGGGGATGAGAGAGTGCTGGGAAATTTCGGAGCTAGACTGGAATGAGTCTAAGGAAACTTGCCAGTCCATTATACCTTCAGTTATAAAAGGAGAAAACTCATTTGGTTTAAATTCGTTTGTTTAGAATAGCATTAAAAGGCGATTCTTCCTATTTAAAGAACAGAGTTGTCTGCCATTCTCTCGTTTATTCCTCCTCCCTCCCGTGCCCTTGTATATTTTCTTAGTGACTGAGCACCTGAGCCAGCACTGATTTTTTGTGTGTTTTGTTGTTTTTGTTTTGGGAGACGGAGTCTCGCTCTGTCGCCCAGGCTGGAGTGCAGTGGCGTGATCGCGGCTCACTGCAACCTCCGCCTCCCGGGTTCGAGCAATTCTCCTCCCTCACCCTCCCAAGTAGCTGGGACTGCAGACACGGGCCCGGCTAATTTTTTGTATTTTAGTAGAAACGGGTTTCACCGTGTTGCCCAGGCAGGTTTCCACCTACGGAGCTCAGGCAGTCCGCCCGCCTCGGTCTTCCAAAGTGCTAAGATTACAGGCGTGAACTACCGCGCCTGGCTTTTTTTTTTTTTTTTTTTTTTTTTTTCTCTCTTTTTGATACCTCTTGGTTGGCACCAGCCGTAAAATGAATGAGCATAGAAATACTATAGTTACTGCTAGGATTTCTTTTTTGTTTTCTTTCCATCACAAAACTCTCTTGGTTTTTAACTTACATTAACAGCATTGCTTCCTCTTTGTGGTGCCAGTCAACCGAAACCATGAACCTGACTCTCAAAAGAGCCAAGGTAGGGTTTCTAAAGATTAAAATGTTTAATTAAGCTAGACATTTGAAAAGTCTTTTTTTATATTGGAGCAACTCTGAAAGGATGTTTAATGCCTACTCCTTAAAAAAAAAATGATAATGCTAAGTGCCGTAGGGATGCTAAAGACTTGTATAGGTCTGCCTGATCAAGAATATTTTATATTGGCCGGGCGCGGTGGCTCACGCCTGTAATCCCAGCACTTTGGGAGGCCGAGGCGGGCGGATCACGAGGTCAGGAGATCGATACTAGCCTGGCCAACATGGCGAAACCCTGTCTCTACTAAAAATAGAAAAAATTAGCCGGGCGTGGTGGCGGGCTCCTGTAATCCCAACTACTCGGGAGGCTGAGACAGGAGAATCGCTTGAACCCGGGAGTTGGAGGCGTAGATTGCATTGAGCCGAGATAGTGCCACTGCACTCCAGCCTGGGCGACAGAGTGAGATTCCGCCTGAGAAAAAAAAAAAAGAATATTTTGTATCACTTGTGAGAGGCTAACATTAGATTGTCCAGATGAAAGTGCTACAGTTATACATTGGTATGTAATGAATTTTAATTTGGTCTGTCATTGTCCTTTTTGTGGTGCAGAGGAGTCATTCTGCCTAGAGATTGGAGCTAAAATACATTGCAGAAATTTGTTTTAGACTAGTCTCTTATGTAGATTGTGTGGGTTTATGTAGAACATTTTGTGTTCAGAATGCTTTTATTAACCTTCTTCATGGTACTCTTGAGAGGCTGTCCTTATCTCTTACTGATGATTAGACTGAGACAAGTGGAAAGTAAAGGTTAGACAAGATGTAAAGTGTGTGGTTTGAGCTGTGATGAGCACACTAGGGAGTTCCAGATACCAGTTTGATGCTTATTCAACCATTTAGGTTATCGGTCTGCGAGTTTGTTTTCTGCAGTGTGTGCATAACTAGTGTTTTGTCCTCTTAGAGGATACTCTGGGGACATTCTTGAGTTTTCTTTGTTTATTCCTTTCCGTTTAAGGACCAGAAGTAATATTCTTGAATTTTCATTTGTTCAGATCTTTGCTCTGTAATTAAGATTGCGTGAGAGTTTGTTGTTTGGGCCAGTTAGGCTGTTGAATTTCTTGGGAATGTGGTTTCAGGCATTTTTTGGTCCCTTTGATTATATCATTGTATGTGGAACTTTTTTTGAGAGAGAGAGTTTTGCTCTGTCACCTAGGCTGGAATGCAATGGCGCGGATCTTGGCTCACCGCAGCCTCCGCCTCCTGGATTCAAGCAGTTCTCCTGCCCTAGCCTCCCAAGTAACTGGAATTCCAGTCCTGGCCAGGAACTTTTTTTAAAAAAGAGGAGCACGATCATAAAATTAAGTCAGATTCTTTCCTAATCCTATCTCTGATTTGTTTTTAATTGCTTTACCTGTTTATCTCCCCTCACCCTTTTGTTGTTGTTGTTTGAGATGGAGTCTTGCTCTGTAGCCCAGGCTGTAGTGCAGTGACGCAGTCTCGGCTCACTGCAAGTCCGTCTCCCAGGTTCAAGTGATTGTTGTTTCTCAGCCTCCCAAATAGCTGGGATTACAGGCATTTGCCACCATACCTGGCTAATTTTTGTATTTTTAGTAGAGACATGGTTTCACCATGTTGGCCAGGCTGGGTCTGGAACTCCTGACCTCAAGTGATCTACCTGCCTCAGCCTCCCAAAGTGCTGGGATTACAGGCGTGGGTCACCTCACCCGGCCTCCCCTCACCCTTTCTAAAGCAGTTTTACTATCATTCTAGGAAGTAATTGTTACTGTTGGCAGCTTGTATTACATTGCTGCCGTTCCCCATTATAAGATTGAGATCTCTTAAAAAATTGGAATTAAATATATTTGGACTTTATCAACAGTGGAAAGATGATAGATGTTTGTTTTAAAATAACTATCACCTAAGTAACTAATGTCATGGTAGAAAAAATAAAAAAAATTACCTAAGCAAAAATGGAATAAAAGTCACCTTGTAACGTCACCACCCAAAGATTAAAGGAACCTTAGTATTTTATTAAATATCCTTCCGATTTGGTGTATTTTATGCTTTTTACAAAATAGGATTGTATTATATGTTTTGTAACTTGCTTTTCTCAATAAAGCTTACCACATTTTAAAACTGAATATAATTTCATTCTTACTTTGAATCTAGGATTTTATGGAAGACCTTGGGTTATGGAACAGAGAAAAGAACTCTTTAGAAGGTAAATCTTCATTATATGAAGGAGAGAGGAGAACCTTAAACTCTTAACATTTTCTTTTGTTTGAAGAAATACTAACAGTGAATAGCCCAGGTGCATTTTGATGGTTTCTCAATTGCAGAAGTTATTTTACCTTGGTCCCTTTTTTCTTCACCTAGGCCTTTGATTTTCAAACTTTTCCTGGGGAGCTGAATAAGTTTTGGGCTTCACCTTACCCAGAGCTGTTGTGTTTTTTAAGAGTGTTTTGTATGTTGGCATACATTGTAATACTTAATTTTTTTAAATTCCACTGATTACAAAAAGGTTAAAAGCTACTGTCATAGAATATTAGCTTTGTATGAGATGGAGATGCTCCAAGAAGAGGGAAATGGAGATTGACAGCCTATGAATGTTGCCTGTTTATACATATGTAATTTTCTTTCTCCTTAAGGCTCCAGAAATGGGAATTAAATACATACTTGTATGCCCCAAAAGATGACTACAAACATAGGATGTTTTGGCGAGAGATGTATTCAGTGGAGGAAGCTGGTAATCTTTTTCTTTTTATCCATAAATTCAAAATCTGTGAAGAAAACGGTTATATTTTAAATGTAGTTGTACAAGAATTTTATGACATTTTATTTTTATTTTGTAGGTAGTTTCCTTTTCTTCTATCTGGTAACTATTCAGTTAGCTGAGATTGAAAGAGTGCTCTGCGCTAGCAAGGTCATGACCATATGTGTGATATCATGGGCGTGCTAGGCTGACTCCATCTGTTCTGTGGTCATAGATTGTGCTGCTTACTTCTGCCAGTGGATTAAACAGTGGGCCACTGGGCAAAGAAGTGCTGGAGCTGGGCTAGGCCCAGGGCAAGGCAAGTGAGGCACGTACCTTGGGTGCAAATTTTAAGGGACCCCCAAAAAGTAATCAACATAAATAATATTTTATGCAATTTTTTTAAAAAACCAAAATTAATGCAGAAATTCATGATGTACACAATGCTAAAATTTTAGGTAAAGACAGGATCAGCACTACTGATTGTTCCTTTTGCTTCAGGCTCTAGTATGGCTTGGCCTTGTCAGCAGTTACTGGTCCTTAAACCCTAGTCCAGGAAAGTGGGAAGCCATTAATAGGCTGTCTTTGGGTTTTGTTTTGTTTTGTTTTGTTTTTTGAGACAGAGTCTTGCTCTGTCCCCCAGGCTGGAGTGCAGTGGTGCGATCTCGGCTAACTGCAAACCTCGCCCTCCCGAGTTCAAGAGATTCTGCTGCCTCAGCCTCCCAAAGTGCTGGGATTACAGGCTTGAGCTCCTGTGCCCGGCCGGCCTGCTATGGGTATACTTAACGTTGAGTTGGTTACATAAAATTGATAAAAAGTAGTATAGCATTGAACCGCCAAATTAGAGAGGTGCTTTTCTTTGGGAACTTGTAAATGGTGAAACATTTTTGTACTTGAAATTAAATGGTATACGCATATAGCTAACAAGATATTTGGTTACAGAGCCCAGCCAAGGCACAGAAGGCTGAAAGTTTTCTTGAATTACAAAGAAGCAATTACAGCTTACCCCATCTCCATCTAGTGTTGTGGTTTACTACTCTATTTAAGTGTGCCTTCAACTTAATTACTTTCTGGTGGTGCTGGTAATGAAACTTAATGTGATCAATAATCAAAATAGAGTAAAAATGACTATCTTGAGATACTACTGAAAATTATTCAAAAATATGTCTTATAGTATATACTAGTAGTAGTTAAGTTGATTTAGGAAAATTGTCAATTGATAATTTTAAAAGGTTAAAATCTATAATTAATGTTTTTCCCATAGATAGAAACAGGTCAAGATTGTTAAGGCCATGACTTAACTCTGGTTCTTTTTCTTTTTCTTTTTTTGGAGACAGCGTTTGTCACTTTGTTACCCAGGCTGGAGTGCAGTGACTCACTGCAATTTTGATCTCCCCGGCTCAAGCAATCCTCCCGCCTCAGTCCCCCAAGTAGCTGGGACTACAAGCGCGGGTCACCACACCCAGCTAATTTTTGTATATTTTGTAGAGAGAGGGGTTTGCCATGTTGCCTGTGCTGGTCTCAAACTCCTGAACTCAAGCAGTCAACTTGCCGTGGCCTCTCAAAGTGCTGGGATTACAGGTGTGATTCATTTTTTTTTTTTTTTTTTTTTTTTTTCATTTTTTTTCATTTTTTGAGATGGAGTCTTGCTGTGTCGTCCAGACTGGGGTGCAGTGGTGCGATCTTGGCTCACTGCAACCTCTGCCTCCAGGGTTCAAGCAATTCTCCTGCCTCAGCCTCCCTAGTAGTTGGGATTACAAGTATGCGCCACCACGCCTGGCTAATTTTTGTATTTTTAGTAGAGATGGGGTTTCACAATGTTGACCAGGCTGGTCTCAAACTCCTGACCTCAGGCAGTCCTCCTGCCTGGCCTCCCAAAGTCCTGGGGTTACAGGCATGAGCCATTGGGCCTGGCCTACCCTGATTCTTAAGAAAGCATTTTCTTTCTTTCATATTATAAAGTAGTTATGTGTAGGTTTATTTAGTTAGGAATTCCAGCTGTTCAGAGATGGCAAAACAAAAAAAAAAAGCAAGATCCAGTACCATGGCTCATGCCTGCAATCCCAACACTGTAAGAGGCTAAGGCAGGCGGATCACTTGAGGCCAGGAGTTCGAGACCAGCCTGGGCAATATGGCAAAACCCTCATCTCTACTAAACAAAAATTAGCCGGGTATGCCTGTAATCCCACCTACTCAGGAGGTGGAGGTTGCAGTGAGTCAGGATCGTGCCACTGCACTCCAGCCTTGGGCAACAGAGCAAGGCTCTCAAAATAAAAAAGCAGCGGCTGCATTTTATGCCTTTCAAATGCTGCAGGAAATAGAAATGGCTTAAGTTCAGTAAGAGAATTGACAATTCAGTGTTTTTGAGAAGTGGCAATGAAAGGGAGGAAAATGTTTATTGATTTTAGCCTGTTTCCCCAAAAGGATAAGAAACTATTTGGAAGTGAAAAAGAAGGGCCTCTTATTTTCTGTTGGTTCAGATTTCAAAGGTGTGAAAACTATTCTTTTTCCCTTACTGTGACATTAAATCACTTCAGGCTTGTACCATTTTGTATGGCCTGTTGTTAAGTTGGACATGACAATTTGTAAAATGTGAGGATCTTTTCCTTTCTTGTAAGTTAGAAGAAATAACCTCTTCAGTTAAACCTTCAGTGAAGGTTCTTTTAGTTTTCTGTTCTGCTTTCTAAAAACATAGACTCTGTTCTTTAGAGCAACTTATGACTCTCATCTCTGCTGCACGAGAATATGAGATAGAGTTCATCTATGCGATCTCACCTGGATTGGATATCACTTTTTCTAACCCCAAGGAAGTATCCACATTGAAACGTAAATTGGACCAGGTAACTCCTTACTTTTTATTCATTTTTCCTGACTATGTACTTGAAACTAGAAGTTTACTCAGTTGCTTTTACGATGTTAAAAGGAAATCAAATTCCTATTTCTTTGTTTTCTTTTTTTGTTTGTTTGTTTTGTTTTTTGAGACAGAGTCTTGCTCTGTCGCCCAGACTGGAGTGCAGTGGCACAATCTCGGCTCACTGCAACCTCCTCCGCCTCCCGGGTTCAAGTGATTCTCCTGCCTCAGCTTCCCGAGTAGCTGGGACTATAGGTGCGTGCCATCATGCCTGGCTAATTTTTGTATTTTTAGTAGAGACAGGGCCTTCACCATGCCAGCCAGGCTGGTCTCGAACTGCTCACCTCATGATCTTCCCAAAGTGCTGGGATTACAGGTGTGAGTCACCATGCCTGGTTTTTTATTTCTTTG